>NC_000002.12:62008534-62311564 GCF_000001405.40 Homo sapiens
ACCGAGGGGAACAGATAACGTGCTTGGTTATATAAGCTGTAATGCAAGCAATACAAATTTGTTTCTGATAATTCTTGTATTTAAGGTTGATTTTTACTTTCAATAATCTACTAAAGGAAAGCCTCCAAAGAATTAGTGAAACTAGTTTTCTGATAAGATATTCAACTATCATTTGTCAGTAGGGATTGATAAAATTTAACAGCTTGAAGATACTTAAATCATTTTAGAATACATTATTTATTTGTTTGTTTATTTATTTACTTACTTACAGAGTCTCCCTCTGTTGCCCAGGCAGGAGTGCAGTGGCATGCTCTTGGCTCACTGCAACCTCTGCCTCCCGTGCTCAAGTGGTGATTCTTCTGCCTCAGTCTCCCAAGTAGCTGGCACTACAGGCATGCACCACCACTCCTGGCTAATTTTTGCATTTTTAGTAGAGACAGCATTTTACCATGTTGGCCAGGCTGGTCTTGAACTCCTGACCTCAAGTGATACGCCCACCTCGGCCTCCCAAAGTGTTGGGATTACAGGTGTGAGCCACCGGGCCCGGTCTAGAATACTTTAAAAAAAAACAGATAAAGGAATTTTCCATTTCGTATTTTATATCAGATTTAGAACATGGAATTTACTTAAACTTTAATTCTGAATGAGTCAACTCTTTTTGTAGCTCTAAGAAGTGTTCCATAATAGTTTGTGTTCTAAAGTTATGGTCTTCAACTTACAGTTGAATTTAAAGGTATAATTTATAGAAGGCAATGCTTAAAGTTTATAAGAGAAAAAAGAAAGAATAAGACTGGGCATGGTGGCTCATGCCTGTAATCCCAGCACTTTGGGCGACTGAGGCGGGCGGATCACCTGAGGTCAGGAGTTCGAGATCAGCCTGGGCAACTTGGTAAAACCCAGTCTCTACTGAAAATACAAAAGTTTGCCAGGCATAGTGGCACATGCCTGTAGTCCCAACTACTTGGGAGGCTGAGGTAGGAGAATCGCTTGAACTGGGAGGCAGAGGTTGCAGTGAGGCAAGATCACACCACTGTACTCCAGCCTGGGCAACAGAGTGAGACTGTCTCAAAAAAAAAAAAAAAAAGAAAGAATAAGAAATTTTGTTTCCTTAGAAAGTTGTTATAATTTTTGCTTTCACACACTTGTTAAAAAAATCTATGAAAATCTAAAACTTATTATTGAAATTCAAGCTAACTCTGAATTAGCTATTTGTAAACATACTTTGTGGAGAAGGGAATGTTTTAACAAAGTAAAATAAAATAAAAAATAAAAAAGCTAAGAAAAACCCCTTTTAAAAGCATTACTAGTTATAATGAATAGTGAAAGGACTATTCTTGTGAATTCTAGTGAATGGCTAGTGAAATACTTGTAGTAACTAGTGAAATAAAAATGTAAGTTTAATGCTTTTTAGTTTTGAAAACATTAAAATCAGAAGTATTCAGTTATTCATAACTTACCAGTTGAAAAGTAGAAATTTTTGGGAATGTTTTACATAAGGATTATAATAAGTGATATTTAATATTTTTGATGTATTGTAGATTAGACTGCTGTACTGTTAATACAGTACTTCTTTTTCTTAGCTAAGTCTTTCCTTTAAAATTTATATAATGTTTTTGCATTTATTCTCGTTTTAAATAATAGTCTTGAGATTTTAGTTACTGGATCCATAATCAACATTTGACATACTTGAATTACCTTGTCTTTGAAATATTTGTCTTCCAGAATACCGCATTTGCCTGATTTTCCTGCTAGCCTTCTAGCTCTTTTTTTTTTCTTTTAAAATCTCTTTTGCAGCTTCCTTCTAATCCTCACAACATCTAAATGTTGGTGTACCCTTGAACTCTGTCCTCGATCTTCTTTTCTTCCTTTTTACAACTCACTTCCTAGTTGATCTCATGTAATTCCTTGCATTTAAATACCATCTATATGGTAATGACTCCCAAATGTATATCTCCAAACTGGATTTCTCCCCTAAATTTCAGATACATATTTATGACATACTGGAGATCCTGACTTAAATGTGTAAAAGGTATCAAAAATTGAATATGCCCAAAACTAAGTTCCTCATATATCTCCAAAACCTGTTCCCCCTGCATTTTTTCTCATCTCAGTTAGTGGCACCTCCATTCTTCCAGTTCATATCTTTTTGTTTTCTCCTACCCACATCCATTCCACCATCAAATCTTGCTGGGTCTGTTTTTAAAATATATCTAAAATTTGAACACTTCTCACCACCCCCAACTACTCTGTTTAGATCACCATCACCTCTCTCCTAGATTATAACATCCTCCTAACCGATGTCTCTGTTTCTGCTTTTCAGTCTGTTTTCAACACACAGCATCCAGAATGACTGTTAATGCATAACTCAGAAAATATATTCATGGCTTTCCAGTTCACTCCAGTGGCTTTCTGTGTCAGTCAGATTAATAGTTCTCTCCCTTACTTCGTCTACTCTAGCTAGACCCACTGGCCTTGTTGCTAATTTCTGAAACATTCCAGGGATCTTCAGGACCTGTATACTTGCTCTTGCCTCTTTCTCAATTCGTCTTACTCCAGATATGGCTAGCCTTTTCACTTCCTTAAAGTCTTTTGTTTTTTTTAATCACCTTCTCATTAGGCCTTCACCAGCTACCTCTCTAAAAGAATTCTCCATGTCCTGCTTTATGTTTTATATTTACAATTGACAATGTATAATACAATAAACTATTTATTTAAAGTGTACAATTTGGTTAATTTTGGCTGGTGTACATGTCTGTGAAAACACCAGTACAGTCAAGAACCAGAACACGTTCCTCAGCCCCTAAATGGGGACTGTGTCCCTTTACAGTCATCCACAATTTGTGGACAACTGCTGGTCTGCCTTTTGTTACTTTAGTTGTTTTTCTTCTTGTTACTTATTACTACCTAGCATGCTATTTTACTTATTAATCTTGTCAGTGCTCCAGATTAGCATTTAAGAGGACAAAGATTTTTTTTTTTTAATTGCTGCATCCTCACAGTCTTGGATGCCTCCCGGCACATGGTGTTCAGTTAATATTTCTTGAGTGGATAAATCACGTAACTCACTATAAAGCATCTCCTATGTGTCAGACACTACATAGGAGTTGAGGATGTATCAGTGAACAATACAGACAAGTTTATTATCTTATGGAGCTCACAGTGAAAGAAAGTTGTTAATAATTAGTGTAAGAAATTTTATCAGAGATGGAAGAGCCTTACCAAAGCTCAAAAGATGGAATGGCTATCTTTACCCAGGAAGTTGAAGAAGGCAGTTCTTAAGAGGTGACATTTACATATGATTTTTCCAACATCGTAAACTCTGTGATCCAGAGCTGAGAATCATGAAATAAGAACAACAAAAAAGTTGATACAGGCAAGATGGATTCTCTAGAGTTTATGAACATATCTTTGCATTTAATGCATAGATGTATGACTGGGCGCAGTGACTCGTGCCTGTAATCCTGGCACTGTGGGAGGCTGAGGTAGGTGGATCATTTGAGGTCAGGAGTTTGAGACCAGCCTGGCCAACCTGGTGAAACTCCGTCTCTACTAAAAAATACAAAAAAATTAGCTGGGGCTGGGTGTGGTGGCATGCACCTGTAATCTCAGCTGCTTGGGAGGCTGAGGAACGAGAATCACTTGAACCCAGGAGGCGGAGGTTGCAGTGAGCCAAGATCACGCCATTCCACTCCAGCCTGGGTGACAGAGTGAGACCTTGTCTCAAACACACACACATACACACACACACACACACACACACACACACACACACACACGTGACCTTTGGCAGTGATTTTTTTTTTTTTTTTTGAGATGGAGTCTTACTCTTGTTGCCCAGGCTGGAGTGCAGTGGCTCTCACCGCAATCTCTGCCTCCCAGGTTCAAGCAATTCCCCTGCCTCAGCCTCCTGAGTAGCTGGGATTACAGGCATGCACCACCACGCCCAGCTAATTTTGTGTTTTTAGTAGAGACGGGGTTTCTCCATGTTGGTGAGGCTGGTCTTGAACTCCCGACCTCAGTTGATCCACCCGCCTGGGCCTCCCAAAGTGCTGGGATTACAGGAGTGAGCCACCGCACCCGGCCCCTTTGGCAGTGATTTAGTACAAGTCCCTAGTGATTGCCATTTCTTTCTCACCACCTCCCACAATGTTGATTTTCCATTTTTTCAGCCCGCTGTCAGTAAGAAGTAGCAAGAAGTAAATTGGCAGAAAAGCTATTATAAGCAAAAGGAAGATTCACTTAGCTAGTGATTCAAAGCATCACTATATGTCAGACTCATCTGAGGAGCTTAAAAAGAAATTAAGATGCCCAGACCCCATCTCAAAGTAAGTGGCTTTACTTTAATTTGAGTGAAGGAAGATTTCTTCTCTGAGGTGAGCTGAGCTTTGAATGACAAGAAGGAGGCAGCCCCAGGAAGATCTGGGGGCACAAAATACAGGCAGAGGGAGCAACCAAGGCAAGAAATTAGCCTTGTTAAGAATTTTAAGTGTAATGGGAAGCCATTAGAGGGTTTTAAACAAGGAAAGATGTGATGTGACTTATATTCTAATAGGATTGCCTTGATTCACCTATGGAGAATGGATTTCTGGGATCTCAGTACTGGGATACTGAGATCCCAGGGGGAAAATATCACTAAGGTTGGAATTGCTTTTCTGCACATTAAAAGCAATTCTCTTTTTCCTTGAAACCTCCATGTGATGTTAATTAGGTAAATGGGATTTCAAGGAAAAAAAAAATACAAAACAACAAAAAGAAAAACTGTTATCCTTCATTCTCTTAATAAGATGAGGTATTCAGAAATGAATGGAGCCAATATTAATATTCCACTCCAAAAAATAGTAGAAATGAGTTTACATGGACTTCTCACAATCTCCATTCCACATTTCCATCTCTGTTTCTCATTTATGACAGGTCCCTTCCTTTAAAAACTTTTTTTATTATAATATGTTCCAAAACTTGTTTGTCAAACCTAGGGATAACTAATAAAAATCAGTATTGTAGGGGGAAAAAAGTGAAAGCAGGAGGCCACTTACTGGGCTCTCACAGTGGTCCAGGTGAGATAACGGCATGGAAATAGAGGTAATTTTAAGGAAGTGAAGTGAGCAGGTAGAGTGTAGGTTTTGAATATGGGTGAGTTGCTTTGAGTTGACTTGGAAGGGATGTAGAGAATGAGAGAAAGTGAGGAATTGGGGGTAACACCTTGTTTTTTCTTGTAAGACTATGTTAGCATAATTTGGTAATTCTAGTCATTGTTAAAACAGTCTTATTGCAGTGTTGACTGTCTAACATACAACTTGAGTTTTCTGGTAGCTATAATTACCCCTTCCACTTGGGGAAAAATATGAAAGAAATCATTTAACATTTGGCAGTTAAGAAGATGTTGTTTGTGCTGAAGTAATTTTATTTTTAAAACTCTCAACTTACAGAGAGATGCACTTGAGATTACTGAACATAAATTTTTTATAGACTTTAAAAGAAAATCATTGTTTCTTATGATGTGCCCTTTCTTATGTATACTATACCCAATAAAATGATTTAAAGAGGAGGAGAGAAAAAGATGAGTGTCTTTGCAGATTCATTGACCCTGTGAGAATAGGGCTTTGGCACTGCTGAAGTCCTCAGCCTCTGACTAGTAGCTTGCCAGCACGCAGCCCCTGGTGTTGGACTTCGTTCAGCTGTTCAGGCTGTCTGTTTCTATTCTTGCAGACAGATGGGGTGCTTGAGAGGAAGCCAGGAAGCCAAGCCTTAAGAGGACTTGGAAGCAATTTTTGGATATAAATCCCTTGTCCTAAACTCAGGGCAACAGTGTATCCTGCCCAGCAGTGTTGAACTGCCTGTGTTTGTCTAGTATGTGTGTACTGGCTGGTTGGCTCTGGGCTTCATTCCATGTATGCCACTGCTCTATTGCCAAGATAAATGTAGAAGGCCTCTGGCCCAAGCCCTTCTTTAGTACTTAAAAAAAAAAAATTGTGGTAAAATACACATAACAAAATTTTACCATTTTAACCTTTTTTTTTTTTTTTTTTTTTTTTTTTTTTTTTTTTTGAGACAGAGTCTTGCTCTGTCACCCAGGCTGGAATGCAGTGGTGCAATCTTGGCTCACTGCAACCTCTACCTCCTGGGTTCAGGCGATTCTTCTGTCTCAGCCTCCCGAGTAGCTGGGACTACAGGTGTGCACCACCACGCCAGGCTAATTTTTGTATTTTTAGTAGAGATGGGGTGTCACCATATTGGCTTGGCCAGTATGGTCTTGAACTCCTGACCTCATGATCCACCCCCCTCAGCCTCCCAAAGTGCTGGGATTACAGGTGTGAGCCACTGCGCCCGGCCATTTCAGCAGTTTTTAAGTGTACAGTCCAGTGGTATTAAGTACAGCCCAGTGGTATTAAGTACAGATGGTTTTCTTTTTTAAGAGATGGCAGTCTTGCCACCCAGGCTGGAGTACAGTGGCATGATCATAGCTTACTGTAGCCTCAAGTCCTGGGCTCAAGCAGTCCTCCTGCCTCCACCTCCCAAAGCACTCGGATTACAGATGAGCCACTGCATCCAACCCATTCATGATGTTGTATAACCATCACCACTATTTGCAGATCTTTCTTTTTTAAATCCCAAACAGAAATTCAGTACACATTAAACAATAATTCCCAATTTCCATCTCTTCAGCCCCTGGTAACCTCTTTTCTACTTTTTTCTCTGTGTATTTGCCTATTCTAGGTACCTCATATAAATAGAACCACACAATATTTGTCCTTTTGTGTCTGGTTTATTTTACACATAGTGTCTTCAACTTTTATCGTTGTTGTAGTACATATCAGGATTTCATTCCTTTTAAAGGCTGAATAATATTCCATTGTGTACATATACCACATTTTGTTTATCCATTTATCTGTTGATGGATATTTGAGTTGTTTCCACCTTTTGGCTCTTGTGACTAATCTGCTGTGAACATGGGTATACAAATATCTATTTTAGTCTCTGTTTTTAATTCTTTTGGGTATATACTAGGAGTGGACTTGTTGGATCATACGGTAATTCTATGTTTTAACTTTTTAAGGAACTGACAAACTATTTTCTACAGCAGTTGCTCAATTTTACGGTTTTTTGCAGTACATGAAGTTTCCAGTTTCTGTACATCCTCACTAACACTTGTTAGTTTCTGGGTTTTTTTTTTTTTTCTTTTTTTTTTTTGATAGTTGTCATCCGAATGTATATAAAGTGGTATCTCATTTAGTTTTGAGTTGAAGTCCTTAATGATTAGAGATGTTGAACATCTTTTTATGTGCTTATTGGGTTTGCCCTTTTTGTTTGTTTTTTTGAGACAAGAGTCTTGCTCCATCTCCCAGGCCGGAGTGCAGTGGTGCAATCTTGGCTCACTGAAACCTCCGCCTCCCAAGTTCAAGTCATTCTCTTGCTCAGCATCCTGAGTAGCTGGGATTACAGGCACACACCACCACACCTGGCTAATTTTTGTATTTTTAGTAGAGACAGGGTTTCACCACTTTTGGCCAGGCTGGTCTTGAACGCCTGACCTCAGGCAATCTACCTGCCTTGGCCTCCCAAAGTGCTGGGATTACATGCGTGAGCCACGATGCCCGGCCAGGTTTGCCCATTTTCAAAAATCTTTTTTATTTTTCTTTCTTTTCTTTTTGTCTCTCTTTTTTCTTTTCTTTTCTTTTTTTTTTTTTTTTTTTCGAGACAGGGTCTTGCTCTATCGCCCAAGCTGGAGTGCAGTGGCACAATCTCGGCTCACTGCAACCTCTGCCTCCCAAGCTCCAGTGTTCCTCCCACCTCAGCCACCTGAGTAGCTGGGACTACAGGTGCAAGCTACCATGCCTGGTTAATTTTTTATATTTTTTGTAGAGACGGGGTTTTGCCATGTTGCCCAGGCTGGTCTTGAACTCCTGGGCTGAAGCAAGCCACTGCCTCGGCCTTGCAAAGTGCTGGGATTATAAGCATGAGCCACTGAACCCAGCCTCTTTTTTTTTTTTTTTCCTACACCAAACACCTGAACTCATTTTATGCACTTTTATTGTTTTTTTTGTTGTTGAGTTGTAGGAGTTTTTTTAAATGTATTCAGGATATCAATCACATATTAGATATATGGATTTGCAAATATTTTCTCCCGGTCTGGGTTTTCACTCCCCTCCAGATCATATCCTTTGATGCATAAAAGTTTTAAATTTTGATGTGGTCCAGTTTATTTTTACTTTTGTTGCCTGTGCTTTTGGTATCCTATCCAAGAAGTCATTGCCAAATCCAATGTCATGAAACTTTTCCTCTCTGTTTTCTACTAAGGGTTCTATAGTTTTCACTCTTAGGCTTAGGTCTTTGATCCACTCGAGTTAATTTTTTCATATGATATGAGGCCATTCTTAACATTTTGTATGGATTTTTAAAAAATGATTTATGCTACTAGGGAAACAGAAAAAAGGACTTCTGAACTTGAAGCTGATAAGTTGTAAATTTATCATGTTTCTGAATTTTCTAGATAACTCTGTATAATTAATTAAACAGAGCTCTTATCACCCAAGACATTAATGAGTGGTAGTCTCTAGGAACCAGCTCAGATTAACTGCCAAATAAGCTAAACTTCCTTTTTATTGCCAGAGTTATTAACCTAAGTGGATTATAAGTCAATAACAGAGGAAATATATCTGAATTTTAATGAGCCATTTTATAGTCTTGTGGATACAGTACAAAAGCCTGAACTGAATTATGATAAACCTAGTGAATGTAACAGTGTTGATCACAAAATTAGTTTGATCTTTGATCCTGTGATACTGGCCTCCGTCCACACACACACTTCTTAGTCTAAAGAAAACAGCCTAGTCTTCTTAGAATATCATTTAAAGGCTGGGTGCAATGGCTCATGCCTCTTATGCTAACACTTTGAGAGGCCAAGGCAGGCAGATCACTTGAGCCCAGGAGTTCAAGACCAGCCTGGGCAACATGGTGAAACCCTATCTCTACAAAAAATTAAAAAAAATTAGCAGGGCATGGTGGTGCACACCTGTAGTCCCAGCTGCTTGGTAGACTGAAGTGGGAGGATTGCCTGGGCCCAGGAGTTTGAGGCTGCAGTGAGCTGTGATCATGCCACTGCACTCCAGCCTGGGTGACAAGAGTGAGACCCTGTCTCCAAAAAAAGAAAAAAAAAAGAAAAATGAAGGTATCTTTTGGCTGTGTGGCTCTGTTCATGTAATTCTTTAAAAACGCTGACTTCAGGCTGGGCATGGTGGCTCACGCCTATAATACCAGCACTTTGGGAGGCCAAGGCAGAACGATTGTTTGAGTTGAGAACAGGAGGTCAAGATCAGCCTGGGCAACACAGGAAGACCCCATCTCTACAAAAAATTTTTAAAATTACCTGAGCATGGTGGCATGCACCTGTAGTCTCAGCTACTTGGGAGGCTGAGATAGGAGGATCACTGGAGCCTGGGAGGGGAGATTGAGGCTGCAGTGAGCCATGATTGTACCTCTGCACTCCAGCCTGGGCGTCAGAGCATGACCTATCTCAAAAAAAAAAAAAAGTCTGACTTTATGTGGAGGTAAGATCATGGGTAGCAGGCCCATACGCATCTTTTCAGGTACTTCCGTCTTCCCAACACATGTATATTGATGAAAGGTGGATTCTTATTTTCCCTGCTTAGGTCACATGGCACATGGCTACCCAGGGGGAAGTCACTGTTCATTGGAATTAGGGTAATTTAGGGAAGGTATAAATTGACAGCTGATACCACAGGGAATAAGTGAGGAGCAGTTCACCAAAGGAATTAGGCATGCTGGACAAACAAAACCAATATGATACAAAGGTACTTTTGTCAAAATAAAAAACTAAAAGTAGTACTTTGTTACTAACTAAACTCCAGATTTTATTTCTATTTCAGCAGTTTTTCCATTAATATTCCCTTTCTGTTCCAGGATTAAATCCAAGCTACCACTAAATTGCTAACAAGCTAAATTGCACTTACTTATCATGTCTCCCAATCATGTCAGATCACTGTTTCAGTTTTTAATGAGCATTATGGTTATTTTCCGGCTTTATTGGGATATAGTTGGCAAATTCAAATGGCATATATTTAAGGCGTAAAAAAACTCGATGTTTTGATATATATGTACATTATGAAATGACCTTGACAGTCTTGAAGAATACTAGCCAAGTATCCTATAGTGTGTCCTCTAATCTGTGCTTGTCTGTTGTTTTTCTCATGGTTAGATTGGTTTATAGGTGTCTTAGTGTGTTTTGTGCTGCCATAACAGAATACCTGAGCCTGGATAATTTATTGAGAACAGAAATTTAATTTCTCATAGTTCTGTAGGCTGGGAGTCCAAGATTGAGGTGCTAGTAGGTTTTGTGTTTGGTGAAGGCCTGGTCTCTGCTGCCAAGAGGGTGCCTTGAATACTGCATCCTCCAGAGAGCAGGAGCACTGTGTCCTCACATGGTAGAAGAATAGAAGAGAGCAAACCCACTCCTACAACCAACCAACCAACTTCCCTCCCTCCCTCCCTCCCTCCTTCCTTCCTTTCTTTCTCTCTCTCTTTCTCTCTCTCTTTCTTTCTCTCTCTCTCTTCCCTCCCTCCCTCCCTCCCTCCCTCCCTCCCTTCCTTCCTTCCTTCCTTCCTTCTCTTTCCTCCTTTCTCTTTTCTTTCATTTTCTTTTTGATGGAGTTTCACTCTTGTTGCCCAGGCTGGAGTGCAATGGCGCGATCTCAGCTCACTACAACCTCTGCCTCCTGGGTTCAAGCAATTCTTCTGCCTCAGTCTCCCAAGTACCTGGGATTACAGGCACCCACCGCCACACCCAGCTAATTTTTTGTATTTTTAGTAGAGATGGGGTTTCACCATGTTGGCCAGGCTGGTCCCAAACTCCTGACCTCAAGAGATTCACCTGCCTTGGCCTCCCAAAGTGCTGGGATTATAGGTGTGAGCCACTGCACCCGGCCCTAAAAGCTCTTTTCATAATGGCATTAATCCATTCATGAGAGTGGAGCCCTCATGATATAAACATCTCCCAAAAGGCCCTACCTCCCAACACTGCTGCACTGGGGTTTAAGTTTCTAACACATGAATTTTGGGGGACGCATTCAGACCATAGTAGTGGATTTTGGGAAAGAGCACAACAGAGGTGAAGTAGCTTTCTTGTCACACCATGTTAGGCGATAGATGCAATCCACATGTCATCACTGTTGATGTTAACCTTTACCACTTGGTTAAGGTAGTGTTTATCAGATGTATCCACTGAAAAGTTACTATTTTTCTCTCTCCCAACTCAGTTCTTCAGAATTTGCTTTTTTATTATTGTAGAAACAAGTCACTCCAGCCCGCACTCAAGAGGAGGGAAGATTGGCTCTACATTTTGAAGGAGGTGTCAGAGAATTTGTGAACATATTCTAAATCTCTACAATACACTCTTCAGCCACAGATTATTTACATTCATCCCACGTGCAGAATACACTCACCCCCTCCTATTATTCTGCAGAATTCTCATTTATAGCATCAGCTTACAGTCCAGGATATTGTCATCTAAATTAGGTCCAGTTTTGGATGAGGCTCCTCAGATGTATGTAGTTTCTTCAGCTCCTTGAGTACATTACTTCTCTATGTGAAGACCTGTGAAACTAAAGAGGCAAATTGTTTGCCCCACACATAACCAAGATGCAATGATTGGTCAGGTGTATGATAACTAGTGTAGACATTCTTGTTCAAACAGAGGGAAAATGTTGGTACAAAGGTGTCGTTACGTCACACCATTTTTGAAATTCAGCTGGGCACAGGTTGGTAATTCCTTGATTAAAATACAGGTCTGGAAATAATTCATTATGGCTCTTAGCTCGTCCTTCTGGGCTTTTGTTTCCACACTCTGAGTTTTCTTTTCTGTGAAAAGTAGGAAAGTAGGCTTTTTTTTGCAGCTGTGTAGATTCCTCTATCCACTTCCAACCTGTAGATGTTTGGGAGTCCAAGGCCCTCTTTTCATTTTGTACTATTTCTGTCTCTTTCAGTCGAAATGGGCAGTGTTTCTGCCAATATAACTTTCTTCAAAACCTTATGGGTCTCCTGTTAATATTTGGGCTCACTTCCTTAAACAAAAGTCACACCTAAAAATCTCTTTGAGATAAGCCATTCTCGTTCTTGAAATTCCGCTGAGAGGCAATAGCTTTTAGCTTCTTAGAAACTCTCCTCTTTGATGGTTGGGCGTGGTGGCTCACGCTTGTAATCCCAGCACTTTGGGAGGCTGAGGTGGGCAGATCACCTGAGGTCAGGAGTTCGAGACCAGCCTGACCAACATGGAGAAACCCCATCTCTACTAAAAATACAAAAAAAATTAGCCAGGCGTCATGGCGCATGCCTGTAATCCCAGCTACTCAGGAGGCTGAGGCGGGAGAATTGCTTGAACCTGGGAGGCAGAGGTTGCGGTGAGCCGAGATTGCGCCATTGCACTCCAGCCTGTGCAACAAGAGCAAAAGTCCGTCTCAAAAAAAAAAAAAAACTCTACTCTTTGATTAAAATAATCTGTAAGTCACACCTTTAAAATCTTTAGGAGGCCTTTTGTCTAATTGAATAGTACTCAGAGGCATGATCTGGGATCTCACCAAGGTTGAATTTTATAGCTGTGTCCTCAACCACATCTTTTAGATCGTTTTCTTGACAGTACTTGGGATTTGAATTTTGCTGGGAAGCCATTTTTTGTTTTAGTATTTTTTGCGTGTGAGAGACTGGGAATCTTCAAAACCAGCAAGTTCTGGCTCCTTTTTGTTCAACTGCTCTTGAGATATTTATTAGGAGTTTGGAAATTTGAGTCTTTGTTACAGTGGTGTAGACTTGGCAAAATGAGAGGTCTGGGAGTCTTCAGCATTTGTTCAGTGGAATTGAAGAGATTGAGGAGCAGAAGGAAAGCTAAGGGTGGAGCTTTGAGAAATGTGTATCTTTAATAAGCAAATGAAAAAAGACTGAGAGAGACAAAGTTGGAGGGGGTCAAAGACAGATTGGAGAAATGGAAAGTACAGGATCAGAGAAGTATTGACAGTGGCCTGGCCTCCTCACTTTCTTAACATGGTTGGTTTGGTGGAAAGTTTTCCAGTTTCTCTTCATAATAAACTCTTTGAGTCAAGCAGATTAATACCTTTTATATCTTAATGTTTATATCATTAGCTTTTGTATTAAGCTGAAGAATGGAAACACCACTCCAGAGGCAAAGTTGGAGGGCAAGTCTATATAACTTTGCCCTGTATAACCATAAAGAATACCATGGAAAAGAATATTACATGCTTAAAGTCATACATGCTTTCAAAAATTGGCTTGTCTTTTTGTTGTTGAAGTTTCACAGTGTTTTAATCACTGTGTTTTTAACATCAGGGTTAAACTCTCTAACAGATACTTGATTTGTGTTTTCTTCTGTAGAATGTCTTTTCACTTTCTCGATAATGCTCTTTGATGTACAAAGGTTTTTAATTTTTATAAACTCCTATTTTTTTTTGTTTGTGCTTTGGCATCAAATCTAAGAATCCATTGCCAAATCTGATTCATGAAGATTTACCCCTATGTAGATCTTATATTTAGATTGTTGATCTACTTGGAATCAGTTTTTATATAGGGAGTAAGGTAGGGGTTGAATGAATTTTCTTGTTTCATTTTATTTTAGAGTGTGGGAATCCCAACTGGTGAATATATGTCTGTTCTTATACATTGAGGGCAGATAGTATACAATCGTATACAATACAGGTTTTAGGAGATTTTCTATAATGTAGTTTTTAACTCCTCTGTCAGACTCTTAAGAAAATTGCTTGACCCTAGTTCCTGGAATTTGGTTTTGCTCCTTTTTTTTTTTCTTTTGAATTTTGATTATAAAGAAGGATAGTTCTAGAAACTATAAGTTAGATATTTTAGCATGAGTCTTCTAATATTATTTACCGGCGCTTCTTTTTTTTTTTTTTTTTTTTTTACATGAAGCCGAGGCCAGTGTATGTTGAGGCACTTGGTAAACAAACAAATCATAAGGGTAAAGTATTTTTAACAATGTTTGGATGTTGTCTTTGGAATGTGTTTTAATTCTAGTTTCACCATTTTTTTTTTTTTGGCCAAATCAATAGCTGCATATCACTTTTTTTTTAAAACAATTAATTGGAAATACTTCTGAATAAAATGATTTTTGTAAATTCATACTTTGCACCCCCTCTACTTTAGTAGAAATGATAGATAAATGTAGAAATTGAAAAGACTTAGCCACATTAAGGAAAGATCAACATGTCTGTGAACCTGAAATGGAATCAAAAGAGTGAGGTGATGAGTGAGGCTTAAAGCCAGGGATCGTTTAGAGTCCAATGTAAGTGCTAGTCGCTGAGTTTCATTCCTAAGTAGTAAGGGAAGTAAATGTACTTCATGGACACCATTTATATAAAGCTTTTCAGAATATCCAGTTCACTTTAAAAATCTCACACCTGTAATCCCAGCACTTTGGGAGGCCGAGGTGGGCAGATCACCTGAGGTCAGGAGTTCGAGACCAGCCTGACCAACATGGTGAAACCTCGACTCTACTAAAAATATAAAATTAGCTGGGCATGGTGGCACATGCCTGTAATCCCAGCTATTTAGGAGGCTGAGACAGGAGAATCGCTTGAACCTGGAAGGTGGAGGTTGCAATGAGCTGAGATCGTGCCATTGTACTCCAGCCTGGGCAACAAGAGCAAAACTCTGTCTCAAAAAAAAAAAAAAGCATGAGAATGCAAACACAAAATTTAGAATAGTAGGTACCCCTGAGGAGTGGAAAATGGAAAATGGAATAAGGGAAGACATAGTAGCCTTTAACACTGTATGTAAACATTTGTTAAACTTAAATCCAAAACAAAGAGAAAAACTGAATGTGTGTATTGTGAGGAAGAAGAGGTACCCACAGGAATTTAGCCTAAAGAAACAACCCAAGATTCTACAAATATTTATATATGCAAATATTTACTGTGGATTTTTTTTTTTTTAATACAGAATTTCTCTCTTGTCACCCAGGCTGGAGTGCAGTGGAGCAATCTTGGTTCACTGCAAGCTTCACCTCCTGGGTTCAAGCGATTCTCCTGCCTCAGCATCCTGAGTAGCTGGGAGTACAGGTGCACGCCACCACGCTTGGCTAATTTTTTGTATTTTTAGTAGAGACGGGGTTTCACCATGTTGGCCAGGCTGGTATCAAACTCTTGACCTTGGGTGTTCCGCCCGCCTTGGCCTCCCAAAGTGCTGGGATTACAGGCATGAGCCACGGCGCTTGGCCTATTGTGGAATTTATGTGGTAGAAAATTAGAAACAACTGAATGTCCAATAATAGGGAATGAATGGGAGGAAAGGGAAGAACAGGAGAATACAATGGTTATATCTACTCTATGGAATACTCTACAGTCATTTAAAAAAAATCAGTGTTGTTACAGACCAATATTGGAAAATGTTTATGAAATAATGTTCAGTGGAAGTAAAAGCAAGATACAGAATTGCATACATAGTATAATCTAAATTTTAAAAAAATGTTAATTGTGGTAAACTACATATAATACCATTAAAAACATTTTGGTATATTCACAATGTTGTTCAACCATCATAATCCAAATTTAATAAATAAATATTTTGCATAGGAAAAAGTACCAAAAGAAAATACATGAAAAGTGTTCACGGTGATGAAAGGTGTTCACGGTGATGATTTTTTTGTTTTTTGTTTTTGTTTTTTGTGGAGACAGGGTCTCCCTCTGTAACTCATGCTGGAGTGCAGTGGTGCTATCTCAGCTCACTGTAACCTCTGCCTCCCGGGTTCAAGCAATTCTCCCACCTCAGCCTACTGAGTAGCTGGGACTACAGGCGCGCACCACCATGCTGGCTAATTGTGTGTGTGTGTTAATTGCAAGCCTAGTAAATTCCATTATAATATATGTGATTATACTCTGTAGAGTAGTATACTATATATACATCCTTTGCTATTGATAGTTACATTCCAACAAAGTTAAACTGGAATTTTGTATTGAATCTTTCAGGAGGAACTTTGAAGTTGTTTATGAATATCTCCAAATATCTTTTTTGGGGCTTATATAAATTAAAAGTTACACAAGACCTTTTCGACCTAGTTAGTCTCTTAAGAGTGTTCTTTGTTTATAGGCTTCTGTAAATATGTAATGTAATGTTACCTTATGTAATTAATGTAAGCTACCTTATTTTGAAAATTCAGAATATTTGCCTTATAAGATTTTTTTTCTATACAAATTTATCTGATGCCATCGGACCTGTAATTTCTTTTTCTCTCCACTCAGGTTTAAAAATTCAAAATAATTGGTACATATAGGTAGTTTACAAGAAGCAGTCATTAATGCTATTATAAGTTCTGTTCTTTATTTCTTAGTGAACTAGAATTTTCCTGTTTCCTGTGCAATCTTGATGCTTAAAAGAAAAGGCCAGGCGAGGTGGCTCACGCCTGTAATACTAGCACTTTAGGAGGCTGAGGCGGGCAGATCACCTGAGGTCAGGAGTTCAAGACCAGCCTGGCCAAGAACCCTGTCTCTGCCAAAAATGCAAAAATTAGCCAGGCATGGTGGTGCACACCTGTAATGCCAGCTACTTGGGTGGCTGAGGCAAGAGAATCGCTTCAACCCGGGAGGTGGAGGTTGCAATGAGCCAAGATTGCACCACTGCACTCCAGCCTGGGGGACAGAGCGAGACTCTGCCTCAAAAAACAAACAAACAAATAAAAAAAAACCAGGCTGGGTACGGTGGTTCACACCCCAGTGCTTTGGGAGGTTGAGGCAGGAGGATCATGTTAGGCCAGGAGTTCAAGACCAGCCTGGGCAACATAGCAACACCCCATCTCTACAAAAAAATTCTTAAAAGGTTAGCTGAACATGGTGGTGCACACCTGTAGTCCCAGCTACTTGGAAGGCTGAAGTGAGGGCATTGCTTAAGCCCAGGAGTTAGAGGCTGCAGTGAGCTCTGATTGTGCCACTGCATTCCAGCCTGGGGAACAGAGCAAGGCCCTGTCTCTTTAAAAAAAACAAACAAAATCAAACAAACTCAACCCCAAAGGCAGAAAGTAGAGAACGGATGCTAAGTCAATAATAAAAAAATACTAATGTCATTTGCTTTCTGACAGGTAAGTAAAAGATGACTGGGGATACACTGTTTTTTTGTGTGTCTGTGTTTTAAATTATTTTGTTTTTGGAGTCAGAGTGTCGCTCTGTCACCCAGGCTGGAATACAGTGGCATGATCTTGGCTCACTGCAACCTCCACCTCCAGGGTTCAAGCCATTCTTCCACCTCAGCCTTCTGAGTAGCTGGGATTACAGACATGTGCTACCATGCCCGGCTAATTTTTTTTTTATAGTTTTGATAGAGGTGGGGTTTCGCCATGTTGGCCAGCCTGGTCTCAAACTCCTGGCCTCAAGTGATCTGCCTGCCTTGGCCTCCCAAAGTGGTGGGATTACGGGTGTGAGCTACTGTGCCTGGCCAGGATACACTGTTCTTCTACCTACTTTGCACTTAGGGAAACGGGCATGGAGAGGTGAATTATCATACAACTAGTAGAAGGTAGAGCCAGAATTCAGACACAGGCCTCTCTGATTCCAGTCAGACTTTATATAAAACTCAGCAACCCATCCAGCTACCTGTTGCTGTATGTATTAGGCCGTTCTTTCTTTGCTATAAAGAAATACCTGAGACTGGGTACTTTATAAAGAAAAGCAGTTTAATTGGCCTACAGTTCTGCAGGCTGTACAGGAAGCATGGTGCTAGCATTTGCTTGGCTTCTAGGGAGGCTTCAGGGAGTTTTTACTCATGGTGGAAGGCAGAGGAAGAGCAGGCACTTCACATGGCGATAGCAAGAACTAAAGAAAAGGGTGGGTGGTGCCACACACTTTTAAATGACCAGATCTCTTGAGAATTCACTCACTATGGTGAGGACTGCACCAAGCCATAAAGGATCTGCCCCCTCGACCCAAACACCTCCCACCATGCCCCACCTCCAACATTGGAGATTACATGTTAACATGAGATTTGGGTGGGGACAAATACCCAAACTATATCACTGTGTGATTAGTAATCTCTCTCACTTTTAGCTGTTCCTCTCTTGGAACTATATCTTACCCCTTGATACCAAAGCCACTGTATTCTTTAGGGAGATGACATTGTCACAAAAGGTATAGGACAAAGATGGTGGATTCTGGATCCTGACATTGCTAGACTTAAATCCCACTTCTGATAGTAATCAGCCATGTCTCCCCACCATTATGATCCTCAGATTTCTCATTCCTAAGGCAGTGTAGTAACATATACTGTTAAAGATTGTTCTGAAAATTAAAGATAATATATATTATGTGTATAAACATATGTATATGTGTATTCAGTCTTTCCAAAGCTTATCTAATATCATTGTAACTTATGATTCCTTTTAATTTTAATCATGATTCTTTTTTGGGTTTCTAATTTCATATTTTCTCTTTTGCTACTTATTTTGATACCACCTGGTTTTGTATATACTTGAATCCTTTTTGTATTTATTTAGTGATAACCATTGTCTTAGTACTATTGAGATATCATGTGAAATTTTTATTCACTTTTGTCAAAAAATCACTAGCCTAAAAGTGTAAATCCCAATCATTGATGTGGGATAGTGTAGCAGTTTCTTTCTTAATATTGCTTATTATATCTTGCCTAAGTTCTGAATTATGTGGACTGTATAGGTGTAGCATTCTATATTATGAGCTTGTGTTTCTCTTCTGGCTAATACAAAAATCAAGAGCTGTAAGAGTTTATAAAATCATGGTTCTAATATTTACCATCTCTGTGGTAATTTGATCTAATGAGTTGACTCTGTTATTACTAATGTTTATTACAGCATAGGTAATTATTCTACCAAGAAAAATTGCTTTTAGTAACATGCCCTACATAGGGCTGTTTTCATTCATAATTTTTTTGTCACACTTTCAAGTAGGTAAAAGTTACTGGCAACACTGGAACACCTCTTTTAGAACTGTATTGAATATGGGCATTACTCTGCATATTTTGGAGACATTTAAATCTTCAGTATAATTTTGTGACAGAAAAGGACAGCAATGCCTGCAAGTCCCTATGCCTTAATTTATGTTATGTTATGTTATGTTATGTTATGTTATGTTGTGTTATGTTATGTTATGTTATGTTATTTTTTTGAGACAAGGTCTCGCTCTGTCACCCAGGCTGGAGTACAGTGGTACTATCTCGGCTCACTGCAGCCTCCACCTGCCTGGCTCAAGCGATCCTCCCACCTCAGTCTCATGAGTAGCTGGGACTAAGCACACTTGGCTAATTTTTGTTATTTTTTTGAAGAGACAATTTCTTGCTATGTTGCTCAAACTCTTAGGCTCAAGTGATCTGCCCACCTTGACCTCCCAAAGTGCTGGAATTACAGCCATAAGCCACCGTGCCTGGCCTTCTATGCCTTATTTTAAAAATGGGTAATAATAGCAACTAAATTTAGTTCCTGATTTTTATAGTCCATGTTAGCCTGTTCAGTGCATTAAAGAAAACAGTGGAGTAGAAAGTCCTCTTCACATTAGAATTGAAACTCAGTGACTACTGTATTTAGGAAGAATAGAGTAGCAACTAACTGCCACCATGGAGATTTCTGCTACCCAGCTGACTTCAGTAATTGTGGCTTTTTTTAAGAATCTTTGCAGAGGACAGGTTGTCAGCATGATTACTCTGTCTTTAAGCTTCTGCATAGGTTTGCAGTAAGGTCTTCTTTTTTCAATATAAAAGGAAAGTGTGTTGTTTTCTGAGAGAAGATAGATGATAGCTTTCTCTGAACTATCACTGGGTAGGGGTAAGTCTTGATACACTTTAATATTTTGTAATAATTTAGCAAAACATTATTTTTTAAAAAAATAGTTTTTAATGCTTTATCCAAACTGTAACTATGTCTTTTGTAATTCAAAAGCAGTACTATTTTCCTTCTAACTGAAGATTTTGACAAAAACTTGAGTCTGGGAGGTCATGAGCCATGACTGTGTCACTGCACTCCAGCCTAGGCGACAGAGTGAGAGCCTTTCTCCAAAAAAAAGGAAAATAAAAAGGATTAAAATAATGATGCCAATAAAACTATTGGATAGGTTTTTTTTCCCCAAAAGGGTGTTATATTCTACTACATTGGATGGATTATAAAATTTAATATTACAGTTGTCTTTAGTGACTCTTCTTTGAATACATTTCATTAATGAGATATAGTCAAATTATTTTATTATAGTCACTTAAAATATTTCCTGATTTTGTTCTAAATGTATGAACACTTGCTTGATGAATACTTCATTTCAGTTATTTAAGTTCATTTTTATTGTGAGAGTACTGATGTCCTAAAAACTGCCAGTTTTTGTCCCTAGGCTGCTTTTATCTAAATGGTCTTTCTTACTAGTAGCATTCTGGTTGCCAGAAAATAAAGGAAATTGGCTTCACCATCAATTTATGAGATAGGTAGGAAGATATGGTTGACTCTCCAAAGGGATGCTAGAATTCTATTTAGCTACCATATGATTATTTTGTAATGATTCTTAATGGTTATAGATAGAAGATTCATATATATGAGATACTGCTAGATATCCACTGTACCTAAGAATAGAAATGCTAATAATGTTATGAGATGTACATACTGTTTTTTAAATTCATATTGTTTTTTTAAATTAGATATCCAAATCTAATTGTTATACTCTTTGGGCACAGTTACCAATTGGTATCAAATTACAAGCCCAAGAATACAACAGGATATGTGTATGCATAAAGTTCACAAATTTAGATAAATCTAATTTCACTTTATTAGATTCCAATTTTGTCTTGATATATGGAGTCTTTTTTTACCCCCTTTAAAATTTTTTATTATGGAAACTTAAAACAGAAAAAATATATATAATGTATCCATTATATGGGCATAAATAAAATAATATAATGTACCTATATTCCTATTACCCAGCTTCAATGGTTATTAACCCATATCCCTTCTTGTTTTCATCTATATTTCTTTGCCCATTGGATTATTTTGAAGCAAATTCCAAAAATTATTTATTTAATCATTTAAAGAGAAACTTTGTTTCTTTACATATATAACCATGATATAGTAATCATTATCACATTTGAAAAGAAAATTAGAGTTTCCTGTGTTCTGGATTTTGCTGATTGCATCCCCATGAAGTTCTGTAGCATGTTTCTCTGACACCTGTATTTCCTGTTAGACCTAGAAAAGGTTCTCTCAACTTCTCACTGTTGGAATTTTGTACTGGATAATTTTTTTGTTGTAGAAGACTGTCCTGTGCCTTGCAGAATGTGTGGGAGCCAAGCCCTTCGGCCCCAGTGGTTTGCTGAAAAATTACCGACAAGAAGCAGATTGATTAATAGGAAAAAAGGCATACACATTTGTTTAACGTGTATACACGAGAGCCTTCAGAACAAAGATCCAAAGATATAGGGAAATTGTTCATTTTCATGCTTAGGTCCAGCAAAGTATGGACAGCCATGTAGAAACATGATTGGACAAAAAGAGTATGATCTAATGCTAATAGACTTAATGGGGAAACCCAGCAAAGCCTGTCTGTTGAGATTCTTCTTGCCCTCTCAGAGCATGCATTTCGTCCTTCTGGGTGTGGGCAGGGCTCTCTCTGGGATGGGGGTCTTATGGCCCACAGTGAAACAAGGTAGGTCATTTCATTTCTTTA
Source organism: Homo sapiens (assembly GCF_000001405.40). Lineage (NCBI taxonomy): Eukaryota > Metazoa > Chordata > Mammalia > Primates > Hominidae > Homo > Homo sapiens. The sequence goes on from NC_000002.12 coordinate 62,030,221, forward strand.
TGGCCAGTTTTTACACAGGGTATTGTTAGGCTTTCTGGTTGGTTTTTGAGGAAAGGGGTTCTGATTTCTATGACCCACCTTGGGGAAGGGGGATTCTAGTTTCTGTGGCTGACCTCGGGGGAGAATGGGACTAAGAGACAGGAGAGCAGAAGTCAGAAAAAAACTTAGCTTCTGCGGCTGCTTCTGAAGCCTACAGTTTGGGGATTGTTTTCTGAGCTCCAGTAGATGTTTAGCAGCATCGCAGGTCTCTAGCCACTAGTCAACAGCACCCCCTCCACCAATTGTGACAACCAAAAGTGTTCCAGACATTGCCAAGTGTCTCCTGGGGGCAAAAATTGCCCCTATTGGGAACTCTGCTAATCTAGAGGCTGATGAGATTCAGGTTCATTTTCTTGGAAAGAATTCTTCATATGTTGTTGTGGTATTTTCTACCTTTTCTAAACATCACTTTTTATCTCTTTTGTCATATACGGTCTCTTAATAGACTATATACTTAAAATATTTGCTGAAGCTTTAGAAGCCTCAGTTTTAACATTTATTTGAGTATTTATATGATAATATCCAAAATGTATTAGTTATTTTACCATTTATTTTGAATTTTAGAAAAAAACAATATATTTTACAATTTGGTAAAAATACAGTACTCTAGGTGACTGTGTAACCTCTTAAATTTTTTTCATTTACACCCCCCAGGTTTGGATTTAGGTTTACAGTTTATAGATACAGGTGCTTCTTGTTTTAGTATTAGTTTGATAAAGTACCAATTATTTTTAAAAGGGATGATACTTAGTATCATTAAATAGAATTCCAAATGACTAATAAGAGAGAGAATGCAGGCAAAGTAAACCTTTGAGATTTTGTGAAACATCCTCTGAATTCTCTATATTCTGGCCATACTGATCATTGCCTCACTACTCTTTTATCTGTGTTGGCAATTGACCTTATTCTCTAGCCCCTTAACCAACTATTCCTTAAGTCCTCACATTAGTTAGACACAACCAGCCCCAATACTAGTGAGCTAGGCCTCTGTATAACAGAAGACAAAATATAATTAAATCCTAAATAAATGATACTATGTTTATTGAGTACTTTTTCTTTTTAAATTAGGTTTACTTAGGAATTCAAATGCATTCAGTAGTTACTGTTTTGTGTTTGATCTTTTAAGCACCCAACTCTGTTGCTACAGAGCATAGATACTTTTTCTATCCCATTAATTGGCTTGATTGAAGCTGTTAAGAAGCATAATACTCATTGGTAGGATACTGACTAAAAATACTGCTTGTTTCTAACTGTGCTTCACCAGTGAAAGTTGTTGGTAATTAAAATGGATTAACTCATATCTGGTTTTTTGTTTCACATTAAACTGAGGAGCCAGGGTATCTGTCATCTTACATTGGGCTCGTCTTTTCTCTGGGGGCCTGTTGTTTATGTTAAAGTAAATTTTGTTTGATTACTTGTTTTCATGATGCTAGATTTGCATGAATTTCATTTTGAAGACCTTTGTGGTTATCAGTGGCTTTTAAAATAAAAATAGCTCCACATTCTCAGGAGGAGTTGGAATTTGATCTCTAACGAATTATACAGGGAAAGGCTTGTGTGGTGGGATTCCAGTGATCTTTACTCAGATTATCTCTGTCTGACATCTCAGAAACTGGGTTATTTTAGCTCCCTTTAAATTTGCTTTTGAGAACATCCACTATCACATTAACAATACTTAGTTGATTGTTGCTTCTGTGAAATGCTCTTTTCTGCTACATTGGTCTACCTTGTCTTTATATGCCTTTAACACTTTAGTATGTATAACACAATCTAACACTTCATACAATTTATTATTTCCCTAGTTAAATTTTTGAAAAGTTTTGAGTATAAAATTGTGTGTTATATATCTTGTACTGAACATGTAGAAAAGACTCAGAATATGCTTGTGATTGATTGTCAGGTTATTAAGAACTATCCAGCATGTATGAATTTTGTAAATATGCTCACAGGAAGAGTTACTTCAAATCTGACTGTGCCAGAAACCACTGACTCATGACCAGGTGTGGTGGCTCACACCTGTAACCCCAGCACTCTGGGAAGCTGAGGCAGGAGCATCACGTGAGCCCAGGTGGCCGAGATCTCCCTGGGCAATGAAGCAAGACCTTGTTTCTACAAAAAATGTAAAAATTAGCCAAGCGTGGTGGCATGCGCCTGTAATCCTAGCTACAGAGGAGGCTCGGGTGGGAGGATCACTTGAGCCCCAGAGTTCCTGGCTGCAGTGAGCTATGATCATGCCACCGCACTCCAGCATGGATGACAGAGCGAGACCCTGTCTCTAAAACAAAATAAAATTAAGGAAAAAACCTACAAACCATTGACTCATGGAAATAAAAAATCATATCTGCTGTTCAAAGCTTCAGGCATGTTCTTTGAAATTAATAATTGTTTACTTTGGTGGAACCTCATACATCCCTATAGATTTCCCCCTTGCTGCTCTTTTTCTGTTGGTTTAGCTTCTTTCTCTCCTTCTCTCCTCTCTCTCTTTCTCTCTTTCACTCCTTCCTTCCTTCATTCATTCATTATTTTTTTGAGACACAGTCTCACTCTGTTGTCTAGGCTGGAGTGCAATGGCGTGATCTTGGCTCACTGCATCCTCCACCCTCCAGGTTCAAGCGATTCTCCTGCCTCAGCCTCCTGAGTAGCTGGGATTATAGGCATGTGCCACCATGCCCAGCTAATTTTTGTATTTTTGTAGAGATGAGGTTTCTCCATGTTGGTGAGGCTGGTCTTGAACTCCTGACCTCAGGTGATCTGCCCACCTTGGCCTCCCAAAGTGCTGGGATTACAGGCGTGAGCCATGTTGCCTGGCCAGTTTAGCTTCTTTAAAACAGACATAAATAAATGTACCTTAACTTACATCTTAGGTTTAGATTTTTGAACGATTTATGACTTAGCTGTATTTGGTTACTATTTTGTACTAGCTTAAAAAAAAAGAAATTAATTTTACCAGACCTGATTTACTTCTTTTTTCTTTGGAAACAGGAATATCTGGTATAAAGGGTAATATCCTACTAGAGATGAATGAGGAAACCATAGTTTTAAGATGACTTCTGCTGATACAGGATATGCTTTCATTATGCTTTTACTTACCTTTCTCCTCAGTTAATGAACAAAGGCAAGTCTGAAATATTTTTTGGAATGAAAATGTTGAATTAGGATAGCCTTGGGAGAGAACAGAAAAATATCTTTTTTAAAAGTTACTTTTTGGACACAGTGGTTCACGCCTGTAATCCTAGCACTTCAGGAGGCTGAGGCAGGTAGACTGCTTGAGCCCAGGAGTACAAGACCAGGCTGGGCAACACAGCAAGACCCCCATCTGTAAAATTAAAAAAAAAATGTTAAGCTACTTCTTAAAAAGAAGTACCTTAGATATAAATACTTCAAATATTTGTTTGATTTGCCCTGCTCTCAAGCTACTACATTTAGTTGTTAAATTTGAACTCCAGGTTTCAGCTAGTGGTTATATTAGATAGCACATTAGAGAGGGTGAAACTCATCAAATGGTGTGACTGCCCACCTTGTCCTCTACATTTATGATGAAAACTGAAGTTAAAAATATATCAAAAGAGGCTGGACACAGTGGCTTGTGCCTGTGATTTCAGCCCTTTGGGAGACCGAGGCAGGAGGACTGCTTGAGGCCAGGAGTTCAATACCAGCCTGGCCAACATAGGGAGACCCCATTTCTACAAAAATGTAAAAAAAATAGCCAGGCTGGTGGTGTGCACCTGTAGTGCCAACTACTTGGGAGGCTGAGGTGGTAGGATCGCTGGAGCCTAGGAAGTCAAGGCTGCAGTGAGCCAGCCTCAGCAACAGAGCAAGACCCTGTCTCAAAAAAAAAAAAAAAAAAAAAAAGAAATGTATTAAAAGAGGTTACGGATTTGAAATTCAGCCTGTTGGGGTGGAAATGTTAGGTAGGAGACTGTTTTAGTTTGGTTCTTTGTTTCCATTAATAGTCACACTTGGCCGGGCATGGTGGCTCACACCTGTAATCCAGCACTTTGGGAGGCCGAGGTGGGTGGATCACCTGAGGTCAGACGTTCGAGATCAGCCTGGCCAAGTTGGAAATCCCGTCTCTATTAAAAATACAAAAATTAGCCAGGCGTGGTGGCAGGCACCTGTAATCCCAGCTACTCGGGAAGCTGAGGCATTGCTTGAACCCGGGAGGCAGAGGTTGCAGTGAGCCAAGATCGTGCCACTGCCCTCCAGCCTGGGCGATAGAGTGAGACTCAGTCTCAAAAAAGAAAAGAAAAGAAAAATACAGTGAAGACTGGTGTACCTACCACTAATTTCATTACTTGCTAAAATTTTGTCATTTTTGCTTCAACTATTCATGAACATCTAAATGTTTTCAGATGTTTAAGGCTCAACTCATCATTTTGTAATTGGGCCATATCTACCTTGACCAGGAAGTTGTTATAGTATAAAATACACAGTATAGTTGCCAGTCACTATGTGTATGGATGACTGGTAAGGTTTTCTCAATGTACAAAATACCTGACTTGCCTTTGCCCTTTGATTTCTAAGGAGAAACAGTTTTAAAAAAAAAAGTCTCATCCTATGTTTCTGAATACTAGACTGTGAGAGCTTCAGTTTAGACAGACATTAAAGAGAACCAAGCAATAAGTGAAGCTGTTAGCAGCATGAGGCTCAAATTACTTGCTTCATCATCATCTTTGCTCTCATGACAGCCAAAAACTGTTATCCAATGACTATTCTGTGTAAGATAATCATTTCACATGTTTAATTCTTATGTTTCCTTCTGTGAAGCATGTAGGAAGTTTGGGATATGATTTCAGTATTTGATTTAGATAAAAATTTGTGCAGGTCTAAGCTTGAAGATCCACACTACTACAGCACAGACCTCTGCAGCACAGGGCCTTGGATAGAGTGGAGTAGGCATTCATGATAAGTTTAACTGAATAGTATTATTTTGTATACTGATACTTAAAGAAAAGAAATGGCACCTCTCATTTAATGGTTTCTCTAGAAGTTTTCACAATATACTTATTTTCCCTTTATTCCAATACATATTTATTAGGCTAGAATTCAAAGCTCAACTGAAAACTGCTCAGGCAATTGAAATAAGTTTTTATTGATAGTGACCTCTGATTGGTGAGGATTCCCAGTTCTATGTTTGTGTGTTGAGAGAGAGCCAGAGTATGTGTATAAGCTGTAGCAATCAAGGTAGAATGGTTTTTTGGCCAGACGTGGTGGCTCATGCCTATAATCCCAGCACTTTGGGAGACCTAGGCAAGTGGATCACTTGAGCCCAGGAGTTCAAGACCAGCCTGGCCAACATGGTGTAACACTCTCTACAAAAAATACAAAAATTAGCTGGGCATGGTGGTGCATGCCTGCAGCCCCAACTACTTGGGAGGCTTGGGTGGGAGGATCTCTTGAGCCCAGGAGGTTGTGGCTGCAGTGAGATGTGATCATGCCAACTGCACTCCAGCCTGTGCAACAGAGTGAGACTCTGTCTCAATTAAAAAAAAAAAAAAAAAAAAAAGCAGGGCTGGCATGGTGGCTCATGCCTGTAATTCCAGCACTTTGGGGGGCTGAGGTGGGCAGACCACCTGAGCCTCAGGGGTTCAAGACCAGCCTGGGCAACATGCTAAAACCCTGTCTCTAAAAAAAAATACAAAAAATTAGCCGTGTGTTGTGGCATGTGCCTGTAGTCCCAGCTACCCAGGAGGCTGAGGTGGGAGGATGTCTGGATCCTGGGAGGCGGAGGCTGCATTGAGTCAAGATTACTCCATTGTACTCCAGCCTGGGTGATAGAGTGAGACCCTGTCTCTCACACACACACACACACACACACACACACACACACAAAGTTAGGATGGTTTCTTAGAAAAAAGGTGTAGGGATTTTTTTCTTCTTGAGACAACAATGCTAAATTAATATGGAATCTTTTCAAGTTTAGTAAACAAAGATAAACCTTCTATTTGCTATGATTGGTTGGTAAAATGAGTATCTTTCACACTGACAAGTTACATAATAATACTTTAAATAGTGTTTTATGGACATTGTTTTATCATATCCTTACAATGATACTGTGAAATAAGTAGGGCAGCTGTTAAAATCCTTTTTAACAAATGAAAAGGCTTGAGAAAAAAATTACTTGCTTTTTAGCTCACATGAGTAATTTGTAACATAGGCAAGGAGAAAACAAACTTACATTCCAGTTTGCTGTTCTTTTTGAAGACCACATAGTCTTCGTAGTCTTTAAATTATTGTGTATTACAACTGCAGGATATGGTATTAGGTATAACAGCTAATGTATTGGATGGTATGTCTTTGGAAGTTAGAAAGAAGTGCAGCTGATAGTGGCTCCTCTGGAGCTGATGTAAGGGGCTTTGTTTTGTTTTGTTTGTTGTTGTTGTTTCCTGACCTTATATGATTTAAACTTTGACATCAGTTCTAATGTTCGTGATGCTTTGTAGACATAGCCTGTCATTGGTGGTTGTATACATAGACCATCCATCACTTCCACCTTGGTTTTATTCTGAATTTAAGATTTATTTTCAAAGATAAACTAAAATTTACTTTCTGTTTGGCCCCTAGGATTAGTAAACTTAACCTGCTTTTTGATTACTGCTCATACTCTTGTGGTAGGACTTTTTAAAATAATACTTTCTTCTTGTTGTTTTACGAGCCATTTGTAGATGAGTGATATATAGTGGTTTATTGGGGTGATTGGGGACAATGAGTTTTTGTTGTACCTTGCATTCAAGTATATTTACTTATGCCTATAAATCAGGTATTATCACCTCTCCTTTTTCAGATGTCAGTCCATCAACAGTGTATGCTCTTTACCATTTGCATTTCAAGAACCACTTGGAAACTTGGAAATAATCCTTTATTTTTGCTAGTCATGCCTCTGTCGTAATGTTCCAAGAGGCCTGGGCTGCTTTGGAGAGGCTTGTCTGGCTTTGCCTGCCCCCTGCCTCATTTAACTACAATAGAATAGCTCATAAGATGCTCTCTGCATAAGATTTTATTTGAAGGAAGGTATCTATATTTAACTTGGGAAACAAATAGCTTAGGTAGAATTATAAACGAGATGGTAATATTGCCAAATAAATGGGATACACCCTGCCCAGCTCCTTCCCATTCTGTCACACAGTGCATAGGAGCAGTTTTGTAATTAGTAAACTCTATGTGGCCATGATCTTTGGAATGGTATGTATGGGATATAACTTTTATTTCCATTAATATATATTTATGATTATGAAAGTCTTAGATATGGTAGCTGCGAGAGGTATCATTTTACTGGTTATTAGTCTTATTCATATTTGGATTAGAACTTTATGGATTTCCTTGGGCAATTAGGGAGATAACTTTTAATGGTTTACATTTTGCTCCTTGGAGTTATGATGTTACCCAGAAGTCTCAAAGCCCATCATGGGGGAGGGAGAAGCCAACTGAAATATACATGGCTCTGGCCCTAATAGCCATTTTAGTTGGAGGAGCTCCAGTTTTATCTGTTAAATTAGTGGGATTCTACAAAAAATTAGTTTGAAAGAAGATTCTGGGGGTAAAATAAAATTTGAAACCACTGGATTAGTAGAAAGATCTAGGAGTTAGAAGACTTATGTTCCAGTTTTGGCTGTCACATTAACTAGTTTTGTACTGTTAGATAAGTCACTTAACATATTTTTCTCAGTTTTTCACATATAAAACAGAACTAATTCGGTCTGCCTCACAGAGTTGTCCTTGGATAGTGGTCTTAAAAACTGGTGAATCAGTCTGGGCATGGTGGCTCACTCCTGTAATCCCAGCACTTTGAGAGGCCGAGATGGGAGGATCACCTGAGGTTAGGAGTTCAAGACCAGCCTGGCCAACATGGTGAAACCCCATCTCTACTAAAAATACAAAACTAGTCGGGCGTGGTGGCATGCACCTGTAATCCCAGCTACTTGGGAGGCTAAGGCAGGAGAATTGCTTGAATCCAGGAGGCGGAGGTTGCAGTCAGCCGAGATGGCGCCATTGCACTCCAGCCTGGGTGACGGAGTGAGACTCTGTCTCAAACAGCAACAGCAACAAACAACAACAACAACAAAAATAACCAAAAAACGATGAATCAAAATGTATTAAGTAATGAAGATATTGTTAATAATAGCAGCAATACTCCAATAACTGAGAAATTGAAAATGGCTTTGAATTTTGTTGTAGAATTTATCACAATAACGTATGGCTTTCTTTTTTCCAATTTTCTGTTATCTAGGCATGATTGTTTCTTTTTTAAATGTTTTATTTTTTGATATTTTATTTTTTATCATTTATTTATTTATTTATTTATTTTTGAGACGGAGTCTTGCTCTGTTGCCCAGGCTGGAGTACAGTGGCACGATCTTGGCTTATTGCAACCTCAGCCTCCTGGATTCAAGCAAATTCTCATGCCTCAGCTTCCCAAGTAGCTGGACTTACAGGCATACATCACCACGCCTGGCTAATTTTTGTATTGTTAGTAGAGCCGGGGTTTCACCATGTTGCCCAGGCTGATCTTGAACTCCTGACCTCAAGTGATTTGCCTGCCTTGGCTTCCCAAAGTGCTAAGATTACAGGTGTGAGGCATCACTCCTAGCCTGTTTCCTTATTTTTTTAATGTTAGATTTGTTGGCCACCTTCCTTAAAATTTCATTTCTAATGAAAGACAGTTTATGTATACTCATATACACAGCATATATAGTTGTGTGTATGTATTTTGAAAAACTTATATTGATTTTCTTTTACAGTTTCTAAGAACGTAAGTAGATAAATGAAGCTTAATTTGGAGAAAACTTTAACTTTCTCTGCCATTCCCAAGAGAAATCAAGCTCAGAATGCTTGCATTTATTTCCAGCCTTTGAAGGGCCAGAAAATTGTGCCTGAAAATTGGGTTAGCACATTTTCTGAATCTGACTGCTGTTAAGTTACTCTGTAGTTGGGTTGGATGCTATTTCCTGTCTTCTTTCCTTCAAGCAGAGAATATGCACTTCACATTTTTTAAGGAAACCATTCCTAGCTTGTATATTCATTTACATTCTACATCTTATGATTGCAAGGATACACATAAAGAGTAGGTCTTATTCAGAAAAGTCCTGGCAGTTGTCCCAGCCTTAAAGAGAACAAGCCTGTGCTCTTCCCTTTTACCTGATGGAATATCACTATGGCCTTTCTTTGAGGAGTTGATTAGCAAACTTGACTCAGAGAGGAAGTGAGAATAGCACATTGTGGTTAGGTGGTGCTGGCTGATTTTCTAGCTCTTGCACAGCATATGCCTCTTAAATATCAGGGGGAGTAAGCTGCTCTTGCATCATACCACCATGGTTGGATAGCCCAAGTTGCAATTTCAAGTATTGCTGGCCAGTTTCTGGTACGTAGTTATGGAAATATAGGAAAGCACAATTCTGTCTGACGAAGGAACATATATATCTGCTTGTGGAGTATTAAGTGTGAGATATGCCAGGTAGTATTTTCTATCTTTTGGAAGTTAAGAAAATTAAATACCTGAAAAGAAGTGTTCTTTTTTCTTATTTAAAGCTCTTTCTACTAAACACAAATATCCTTAGAACCAAGAATTCCATAGGAACTATGAAACCTAACTGGTCAAGTATTTTCTGGCATAGTAACATGTAGTTTTATTGCCCAAAGGCCCTCCTGGGAAAAATTTATATAGCTAGCAATCCCTTTGATAATCATACCAATAGCCATTTGTTAAGAGTACCGCTTAGCTGGGCACGGTGGCTTATGCCTGTAATCCCAGCACTTTGGGAGGCCAAGACTTGGGGGATTGCGTGAGGCCAGGAATTTGAGATTAGCCTAGTCAACATAGAGACCCTGTCTACAAAAATTACAATAATTAGCTGGGCATGGTGGCATGTACCTGTAGTCCCAGCTACTTGGGAGGCTGAGGTGGGAGGATTACTTGAGCCTAGGGAGTTGAGGCTGTAGTTGGCCATGATTGCATCACTGGCACTCCAGCCTACGTGACAGAGTGAGACTCTGTCTCAAAAAATAAAAATAGAAAAAGTACCTATTATATGCCAGTTCTTAAAAAATGTATTTTAAGGTAAATAAATGAAGACAAAGGTCATACAAGTTAGTAGCAGGGCCAGAGGGTTGAGTACAATTCTCCCTGGTGTAAAACTCATTTTCTTTCCCTATGTTCTCAGTGAAAAATCATTTATAAAATATATCTTTTACTTTTCAGAGTATAGTTTCTCTTGAAAACAATTTATGTGAAGTGAAACCTACTTGTATTTTTCATGGTGAAATTAGACATAATATCCCTAAAAATGAAAACCCAAAAGACAAAATATTTCAGGAAGAAAATTAAGGTTGGAGTTCTTGGAATTATATATCACCAAGATCAATTTGCCTTGCTTGAGGATTTTAGTATACACCTGTCAGTTTACTTTTTGGTTGTGTCATAGTCTTTAGTACAGGAATTTTTCTTTGCCCCCTTCCCCCCTCCCTTTTATTTTTGGAGACAGTCTTGCTCTGTCACCCAAGCTAGAGTGCAGTGGCGCGATCTCGACTCACTGCAACTTCTGCCTCCTGGGTTCAAGCAGTTCTCGTGCTTCAGCCTCTTGAGTAGCTGGGATTATAGGTGTGCACCACCACACCTGGCTAGTTTTTGTACTTTTAGTAGAGATGGGGTTTTGCCATGTTGGCCAGGCTGGTCTCAAACTCCTGGCCTCAAGTGGCCTGCCCACCTTGCCTCCCAAAGTGCTGGGATTACAGACATGAGCCACTGTGCCTGGCCTTTTTCTTGCCCATTGGTCACTGTTTTCCTCTTCACACTGCTGTACTCTACCCCCAGAACATTACGAGGATCTTATCAGTCCATGCCACCAGAAACTTTGCTCTTCCTCTAGATATTCATGACTTATACAGGAATGCAATATTACATTTAGTCAGTAGATGCCATCATCTAACATATAATATGTTTCAGACTGGAACTTCTTTAATTCGTGGCTTTAGTTTATTTTAAATTAATCCATTTCTACTCTCTAGATTAAAAATCATGAATCTCTTGATTTGTTAATAATGAAAACTACTTGTGGTTTTTTTTTCGCTCAATAAATTACATTTGTAAAGTTGATGTGTGTTTTCTTTTGCCAGTTTTATTAATAGAAAAGTAATCATTGAGCTGTTTTTATGCATTTTGTTAGTATTTTGAGATAGGGTCTCACTCTGTCACCACGTTGGAGTACAGTGGTGCTATCATAGCTCACTGCAGCCTTGACCTTCCAGGCCCAAGCAATCCTCCTACCTTAGCCTCCCAAGTAGCTGGGCAAACTTGGCCAATTCTTTCTGTGTTTTGTGTGGAGATGAGGTTTCACCATGTTGCCCAAGCTGGTCTTGAGCTCCTGAGCTCAAGCCATCTGCCTCCCTGTCCTCCCAAAGTGCTAGTGTGTCCGGAATTGGTGGGTTCTTGGTCTCGCTGACTTCAAGAATGAAGCCGCGGACCCTCACGGGTGAGTGTTACAGTTCTTAAAGATGGTGTGTCTGGAGTTCGTTCCTTCAGATGTTCAGATGTGTCCGGAGTTTCTTCCTTCCGGTGGGTTCGTGGTCTCGCTGGCTTCAGGAGTCAAGCTGCAGACTTTTGCTGTGAGTGTTGCAGCTCATAAAGGCGATGCAGACCCAAAGAGTGAGCAGCAGCAAGATTTATTGTGAAGAGTGAAAGAACTAAGCTTCCACACTGTGGAAGAGGACCTCAGCGGCTTGCCGCTGCTGGCTCTGGTGGCCTGCTTTTTATTCCCTTATCTGGCCCCACCCACATCCTACTGATTGGCCCATTTTACAGAGAGCTGATTGGTCCATTTTACAGAGCACCGATTGGTCCATTTTACAGAGAGCTGATTGGTCTGTTTGACAGAGCGCTGATTGGTGCATTTGCAAACCTTTAGCTAGACACACAGCGCTGATTGGTGCACTTACAATCCCTTAGCTAGACACAAAAGTTCTCCAAGTCCCCTACCCGATTAGCTAGACACAGAGTGCTGATTGGTGCATTTACAAACCTTTAGCTAGACACAGAGTGCTGATTGGTGCGTTTGCAAACCTTTTGCTAGACACTGAGTACTGATTGGTGCATTTACAATTCTTTAGCTAGACAGAAAAGTTCTCCAAGTCCCTACCCAACCCAGAAGCCCAGCCGGCTTTACCTCTCAATGGCACTCTCCGGGGGACTTTGTGGCACCTAGCCTGGGCACTCCGGCAACCCAGAAGGAGCTTGTGCCCCGATCAAGCCCAGCAGGTGCTGGCGGGCCGTGCCGAGTGCAGGGCCCACTGAGCCCGTGCCCACCCGGAACCCGCGAGCGCCGAGCGCAGCCCCGGCTCCCGCCCGTGCCTCTCCCTCCACACCTCCCCGCGAGCAGGGGGAGCCGGCTCTGGCCTCAGCCAGCCCCGGCGACGGGCTGAAGGGCTCCTCGAGCGCAGCCAGAGCGGATGCCGAGGCTGAGGAGGTGCCGAGAGCGAATGAGGGCTGCTAGCAAGTTGTCAACTCTCACTAGGACTACAAGCATAAGCCACCACACACCCGGCCTCTTTTGTGCATTTTGTATGCTGCCATTGAGGTAATGGTGCCACTAGTAAAAGCAACCCTTTGATGTAGATGAGATAGTAGGTCAGTTACAGCCTTTGTCTCTGAAGGTATTTACAAGAAATTGAAATAACGTCTTTTATTTTTAAGGCCAAACAATACTTCAAACCTATTTTTTCTGTGACGTTTTAAACAGTTGAGAAGATTGTCTAGTATCCACTAACTTTGGACTAAGGAACTCTGAGTCTACAGTCTTTCACCCGCTAAATACACATTGTTTTATTCAAAGATGCCAAGTCCTATCATCATCTTGAGATTTGTCCATGAGTCAGACTTTGGAAATACCAGCTAAGCCAGTGACACTGGATATAGCTTCAGGCAAAGGGAATAGCTTGTACCTTGGCCAGGTGGAGATTAAACAAGAACAGCAGTTACTATTCACTGAAGATACTTCTACTTAACTAATGGCTAGGGAGTCTAGGGGTGTCTCTTTAAAATATCAGACTTGAGTTCATTGCTATTTCATATTTCTTTGTTAGCTGCCCTTCCTTCAGTTCTTTACATTTTTATTTTTTAGGACTAAACCTTGTTGGGAGTCATTTTTCAGTCTCATAAGGAAGAAGGAAAAGTCTTTAAATTTTTGTTGTTGTTGTTACAGGTATGAGCCACCAAGCCCAGCCAGGTCTTATTCCTTTTTGCATCACAGGTGCTTATGACAGTATTAGGCTTAGTGGTGCCATACATAAACTTGTCGCATTAATGGACAAACTGAGGATCAGGTGTTAGGAGAGGCAACTAATTCTGGGTAAGGATTTGCCTAACTGATTCTCTCCAGAATATTAGTTCCCTAAACTAATAACTCTCCTCTAAAATCTTGCTAACTACCTTGACTAAGTACAGATTGAAAGAAGAATATTAATGATGAATATGAAGAAAGTTAGCTGTTCTGAGAGAGGATCTTGTATAAATTTACAAGATCAGTGGTAATTTGCTTTTTGGTAACCATGAGAACATTAAGCCATTTGTTTCTGAATTTATCGTGCTGGTGTTTTTGGTATGTGTATTTCATTCTTTCTGGTTAGGCTCTATATCTGTTTTTTCCTGATGCTATGTCAGTTTATAATAGTCCTGTATCACTCACTGTGGCATTGAGGAATATCTGTCATAGGATTTTTGTTATATTTTTGTTTTTTAGTGAGGTGGGGGAGAGGGGGAATCCAAACATTTTCCACACAAAAATCATGATCCTCATGTAGTAAAGTTTTATACTTTGCTGTTTTCATGGCCTTCTTGCTGCTAATCTCCAGGTGGTGTTTTTGCCTTTTGGCTTCCCTCTTGTTTATGTTAAATATGTCAGTAATTGAATTCCAAAACCCTTGCAAACTTTGGCAGCCAATTTATAATCAATTTGTTTATTCTTTTTCTTCATTATGATTAACCAAGACTAGATTTTACTTTGCAGATTTACTTAAATTTGTGGCTGTTTAACAACTCTTCATTCTGCTCAGTTAGTCTTCGTAACATTAGGTTAGAAGAGAGATGTCATTTTCAAGGAGAGATCTTTATGTTATGTCTGATAACCTAATCTGCCTCCTGGTTTATCTCTTGCATTTGCTGTTTGTGTATTCTGTGTTCTGCCTTGATCCTTTTACTGATTTCTGTGTTGACCTCTGTTTTTTAAGCTACCAATTTAAGCTGGAAGTTAGGCACAGAATTTAGAATGGTTGAAAATAGTTCTTTAATATATTTTGCTTTTATAGTGCCTTTCCTCCAAAAAAGCTTCCTGCTTTTATAAGTAGCTTATTTGTCTTCCTGGCATCTTTGCAGAATAGATTTAAGGATTGGGATTAGTGTTTCTTTTTTTACATTTGTTTTCTGAAAAGGTGAACCTAACATTGTGGGCTAGCAGCCAGTGTCAAAGAAAATTGAAAAGTTACATTAATGGGATGCATTCCATTCCTTCTCCCTTCACCTACCAAAGAAACAGGTGAGAATGAGATTCTGATCATTTGTATGTAGAATCTTCAAGGAGCAAGCTCCTAACTTAAAAAAAAAAAAAAAAAAAGACCTGTTTTCTTCCTGAATAAACTATCAAAGAGCTTCTATCATCATAGTTTTATTAATTTGATCTGTGTTACAGACATTGGGGAACTAAGATTGTAATTGCCCGATGGGTTCTTCCCTGCCTGCTGCACAGACAAAAATCAATTCACTGAGATCATGGCATTGCAGTAGGGAAAGGGTTTAATTGACATGAGGCTGGCCATGTGGGAAAACCAGAGTTATCACTCAAGTCAGTCTCCCCAAAGGCCTGCAGGTTAGGGTTTTTATGGACAGTTTGGTGGATGGGGGCTAGGGAATGGGTGCTGCTGATTGGTTAGGGATGAAATCACAGGGGTGTGGAAAAACTGTCCTTACGTGCTGAGTCTGTCTCTGGTGGAGCCACAGGACCAGTTGAGCCATGAATCACAGGTCTGGGTGGGGTAGATCTGAAAAACATCTTTAAAAAATTAATCTTAGATTGTATAGTAGTGATGTTATCTGTAGGAGCACTTGGGGAAGTTGTAAATCTTGTGACCTCCAGCCACATGGCTGCTGAGCAGTAAAGATTTATAGAAACTATACCTATATCTTAGCAGAGTTCAGGCCCCTCCCATAATCCTATTCTTGTGGCCTTTGATTAGTCTTACAAAGGCGGTTTTTGGTCCCTGAGCAAGGTGGGGATTCGTTTTAGAGAGGGACTATTATCATGCTTACTTTCCTTCTTCTTTTTTTTTTTTTTGTATTTTTAGTAGAGACAGGGTTTCACTATGTTGGCCAGGCTGGTCTCAAACTCCCGACCTCAAGGGATCTGCCTGCCTCAGCCTCCCAAAGTGCTGGCATTGCAGGTGTGAGCCACCAAATCTGGCCTCCTATTATCATCTTTACTTTCAAGTTAATTTTTTTTTTTTTTTTTTTTTTTTTGAGACAGAGTCTTGCTCTGTCTCCCAGGCTGGAGTGCAGTGGCGCCATCTCGGCCCACTGCAACCTCTGCCTCCTGGTTCAAGCAATTCTCCTGCCTCAGCCTCCCGAGTAGCTGGGATTACCAGTGACCACCACCATGCCTGGCTAATTTTTGTATTTTCAGTAGAGACGGGGTTTCACCATGTTGGCCAGGCTGGTCTCAAACTCCTCATCTCAGGTGATCTGCCTGTCTTGGCCTCCCAAAGTGCTGGGATTCCAGGCATGAGCCACTGCTCCTGGCCTCAGGTTAAATTATAAATTCCTCCCAATGTCAGCTTGGCCTATGTCCAGGAATGACCAAGGACAGCTTGGAGGTCAGAAGCAAGATGGAGTCAACTCTGTCAGATTTCCCTTACTGTCATAATTTTGCAAAGGTGGTTTCAAGATTATTAGTATAGTTTTTACAGATAAAGAAATCGAGTCCTGGTTAAGTCATATAACTTTATTCTAACTATCCTTCAGCAAGTGCTAAAAATAGTTCTATGCTATAAAGGTACAGAAAAGTAAAGAATTTGGTCTGGCTATGGATAAGACAGGTGTTTGTATGTGTAATTCTGACCAATAAAATTTTATGATAGTGTGAACAAAAGTGCTAAGTAACTAAAAGTCAAGGTAAATGTGACTAGTCAAACAAAAGAGTTCATGAAATCATGACTTGAGATGGGTAGAATTTATCCAGAGCCCTATGACTTGTAAGAGAATTGGGATTTGTGTACATCATGGTGTTCATTATATACTACTATTTTCTGCCTGAAAATTAAAATTAGAGTAGAACGTACGATGAAGCATTCATTGAAGAAGTAAAGAGAAGACCTTATGAATCCTTATGCCTACTATATTGTCTTGATCTTCTGAACACAGTTTATTTTCCTTCAATGAATTTTGACAAGATGATTCAGAGAATTTAGCAGATGGCAGTTTTGAGGAAAGAACAGATGCATTTCTTTTTTCTCTCTCCAGTTTGTGATTTATAAAGCAGTCACATTATTCAGTTGTTTCACTCTCTGCAATAGCTACAGCATTGGAGTAGGTGAACTAATACATGATTTACAAAGATAAGACTAAGCAAATGAAGTTCTTGTGAAGCAAATAAAATGTTTGGTTTCTCTCCGGTATCTTTGGATGCAAAGTAGTGGTGGTTATTCCTACCACCACCCCAAACTGCAGACACGAGCCAGAGTTCCTTGCTTGAGGAAGAAGACATTAAGAAACATTTATTTGTTTTGCCAGATACCAAAAAGTATTCAGGAGAGTTACGTGGTCCCTACCCCCGAGTCCCTTACAATCTGGTTGGGAAGACAGAAATGAAGAACATACCTTAAGTCTGCATATTGCTAGTACTTTACAATTTATGAGCACTTTTCTCATACACAGTCATGTATCCCATAATGATCTTTTAGTCAATGACAGACTGCATATATGATGCTGGTCCCATAAGACTGTAATGGAGTTGAAAAATTCTCACTGCCTAGTGACATTGTAGCTGTTGTAATGTCATAGTACAATTACTTTATTTAGTGTAGTCTAAGTGTAGAATATTTATAAATTCTACAGTAGTATACAGTAATGTCCTAGGCCTTCACGTTCACGGACCACTGACAGACTCACCTGAGCATCCTCCAGTCCTGCAAGCTCCATTTATGGTAACTGCCCTTTCTTTTCTTTCTTTCTTCCTTTCTTTTTTTTTTTGAGACGGAGTCTTTAGGCTGGAGTACAATGGTGAGGTCTTGGCTCACTGCAACCTCCGCCTCCTGGGTTCAAATGATTTTCCTGCCTCAGCCTCCTGAGTAGCTGGGACTACAGCTGTGTGCCACCACACTGGGCTAATTTTTGTATTTTTAGGAGAGATGGGGTTTCACTGTGTTGGCCAGGCTGGTCTCGAACTCCTGACCTCGTGATCCACTTGCCTCGGCCTCCCAAGGTGCTGGGATTACAGGTGTGAGCCACTTCGCCTGGCCGGTAAATGCCCTTTTACCATTTCAAAATCTTTTTATACTGTATTTTTACACTGTATATTTTTTGTATTTTTATACTGTATTATACCTTTTCTATGTTTAGATACATAAAATACTTACCATTGTGCTATAGTTGCTCAAAGTGTTCAGTACAGTAACATGCTGTACAGGTTTATACCCTAGGAGCAATAGGCCATACCATGTAGCTTAGGTGTATAGTAGGCTATACCATCTAGGTTTGTGTAAATACACTCTATGATGTTAACATAACAATAAAATTGCTTAACAAATGATTTCTCAGAATGTGTACCTGCAAGTGACACATGACTGTATTCTGTTTCAAGAGAGTCTTGGAGTCACCATCCAAGCTGCCCAGTTGACAGACTAGAAGCCACATGATTTTTAAGTTGATGTGAATGAGGAACTAAATTTCTTTTTTTTTTTTTTTTTTGAGATGGAGTCTCGCTCTGTCGCCCAGGCTGGAGTGCAGTGGCGCGATCTCGGCTCACTGCAACCTCCGCCTCCTGGGTTCACGCCATTCTCCTGCCTCAGCCTTCAGAGTAGCTGGGACTATAGGCGCCCGCCACCACACCCGGCTAATATTTTTTTGTATTTTTTTTAGTAGAGACGGGGTTTCACTGTGTTTGTCAGGATAGTCTTGATCTCCTGACCTCGTGATCCGCCCGCCTCGCCCTCCCAAAGTGCTGGGATTACAGGCATGAGCCACCGTGCTGGCCAGGAACTAAATTTCAGTACTTGAATTGCTAAATGTTATGCTATGGACTATGGACAGTAAAATATTAATGGTCATGCAAGAATGAGGTGACCATTGTTCATTGAGAGATTTTAGGGGGTTTACAAACTCCCTCAAATTGTATGGTAAAGTTTATACGTGTGTGTTTCTAGAACGTTCATAGTTTTCAGCAGATTTTTTTCTCGTTTTTTTTTTTAATTGATGTATAATTGGCATTCATATCATCAGATTTTGAAAGTAAGTCCCTGGCCTTGGAAAAAGGTTTTAAAACTACTTGTCTTGAGTATTTGGAAAACATTTCTTAGAGCATGAGGCCTTGGGGTGAGTTCTGAAAAATAAGCAAAGAGAGAGCAACCTGGACATATACAGGTGACAGCACCTCTACTTTTCATAAAGTATCCCTTCTTCCCTTTACTGTGCCTCCTGTTACAAGAGTCCTAATTGATTTGGATATAGTGGTTACTGGTCACATCATAGTCTTAATAATTTTTAGATGTTATTGAACTAGTAGAGTATTTTTCTAGTTAAAATGGGTGAGGGAAATACATTTAAGAAATCACATTACATGCAATAGAAATGCAAGTTTAACCAGAAAATTGAATAATAATTAATTGCCCAATACTAAGGATATGGTATCTACATATTTTAACCCAGAAGCTTATCATGGACCAGAAATTTCTGAGAATATAATTACCAGGAAAAAAAAAAAAAAGACCTAGCCCTTGCTCTCCTGGAGCTTTCAAAAGGAATCCCACAAATGTGTGTATAATTTTAAAAACTCAGCTATGCTCTTAGATGTCTCTTTTTGGGAAAATCCCAAATAAGATTATTGACATATATTGGCAGGCCCCCTTTCAGATAGTTGTTCTTTTATTAGATGAGTGGATTATCCTGGGGGTTTGGGAGGAGGGATTGTCCCCCAGGGGACATTTGGCAATGTCTGGAGACATCTTTGGTTGTTTCACCTCGGGGCATGCTACTGATATCTAGTGGATAGAGGACAGGGATGCTGCTAAACCTCCCCTAATGCACAGGACAGCCCCACAACAAAGAATTTTCCAGCTCAAAATGTCAGTCTTACCATGGTTGAGAAACTCTGCCCTAGGTGAACATTTCAAAGTAACTGAAAAGTTAATATTGCTGAACAGGCCTTTATAAGGTAGAGGCAGCACTTACTCAGGTATTCCAGTACTGCAATATCGTACCATCTTATGGTTCTAGTGTTTCCTCATTAGTAGGTTTCAGACTTTATTAAAAGTTCCTCTGGTATACTGAATTTATATTCTGCTTTTGGTCCATTTCAATGGAGTGATTAATGTAGTAGGGGATAATGGCTAAGGTTGGAAGTTGGAACTCTGCTTTTAAAAGAAAAAATGCCCTAAATTTAGTGATATGATTAATATATTGTTATTATTATCTGTTGTCAGTTTTACTGTAATTGCATGAATATATCTGACAGATAAATCAAAAAAACATGATCAGTTTGGACTGACATACAGGAAGGACTTAGAAAGTAATCAAGATAGGTATTTCTGGATGAATCTCTATAACAGCGCTTCACTGGCTTTAACATGCAGATGAAACACCTGGGAATCTTAATTAAAATATAAGCTACTGATTCCATACGTCTGAGGGGAGGTCTGAGAGTATGCCTTTTTATGAAGCTTCTGGGTGGCAAGTCCAGATGAAGCATTAGATCATTGCAAAAATAAGTATGCTTTAAGTATCACTTTAACCAAAAAGAAGACAATAATTTTTAAAAGACTTTCTGGCTTTTTATTTATTTGTAATTTCATTTTTTAATTATAAAAGTGACATAACTAATGTTGGAGAAAATTTGAAAAACAGAATAGAAATCTCTAGTACTAATAATGTCTGCCATCTCAATGAAGTTGCTAGTATTTTGTGTATCTTTCAGTTATTTTATCCTAAGCGCCAATTAAAAATGTTCTTAAAACACTGTATGCATTATACAACTTTTCATTTGCTTTTGTTAGGGAAAAAGGGAAGAAAAACATTCTCCTTTATAGTTTTCTCACTTGTCTTCTCTGCTACTATGTTTTGTTATTCAGCCTTGAATAATTCTTTTCAGGAAAGAATTTTTTACTCCTTTAAGGAAGAGGCTTGCTGAGAGAGATCAAGGATCACATGCCTTGCTGTAGAAACTTCATTTTGTAAGCTGACTTATGTCATGTGGTAGTTAAAAATATATTTCTCATCACTGGGAAAACTAAAATGAGAAAAGTCTGTCCCTTTAAATTTGATTTTGTTTCTCCTTGAAGATGCGTGACTGATGTTCTGAAACTTGACCTAGTCGAAGAACATGAACTTTTTTTTTCTTAAAGAAATACCTTTTCAGAAGATCAGGACTTGTGAATCAAAAACAAAAACAGAAACAAACAGAACCCCTTTTCTTCCTTAAAATTGGCAGCTTTTTGACAAATATGTGGTTAAAGTACAAGTTTACCTTGATATGTACAGGTACTTAAAATCTGTAGGTGAAATTGTTATTATGAATCTTATTTTCCATTTACTTGTATTAGTTCAGAAATGCCCTCTAATGAGAAGACTATAAAGAAGTTTACAGATTGTTAGAGAAAATTACCCTTTGCTCTATGCTTTTAATGCAGCTTATTTACCTATATTTTATTTAATTATATTTTATTTATTTACCTGCTCACCTTAGATAGGCTCAGTATATTTCATGATAGGCTTCTAGACTGACAAGAAATTAACTTACACTCTGGAGGGGTTACTATTATTATTTTAAAACTCCATGTAACTTATAAGCCATCTGAGATCTCTGAGGGTTCAGTAAACCATACATAGTTCTTTAATCTCAACTCATAATTTGTAGAAAGCATCGTGTTTAAAGAAAAATTGTAGAGTCATTTTATAAAGTTGTAAGAAATGTTATTGCTGTTCTGAAAACTAATATTTTTTCATATATGCATCTTAATTGTCAATCTGAAAGGTCAGTGACTGATGACAAACTTTCTTCTCCTCATCTTTGGTCTTTGTCTTCTGATACTACTCTTTCAAGCCTCTTGATAGTTTCTTTAATTTGACAAATTTCTGAGGTAGATTACATAATGTATCCCATTGGTTAGTTAGCCCTGTTGCACTGCTGAGTGATTGTTTTCTGGATTTTCTTAGGTCTGACTCTTTCAGGAATGAATTTTTAAGTTTCCTATAGTTATATCATAATCGGTTCCATTGGGACCTCCTGGAATTGATTGAAAGCAACACTGTAAATAGTCCAAAGGTTTTAAAAGCTGTATGTTCAGTAAAGCATGTTAATGGTTTAGTAAGCTCATGTATTCTGTACAGTTACCAATGTGATTAGGCTTTATAGCAACTATTAGCATTCGGTGACTATGCCAAGGACTTAGCTCATTTACTAAGCTGAGTTCACTCTTTATACAAATGGCTCTTCAGACATGCCACATTATATTGGAAGAATAGTAATAAAAAGTTCCTCATCTCCTTTCTCAGAGAATTACCATCCACTCTTTCAGTCTTCTTCAATGAGATGACTCTACAGCTCACTCAAAAGGAATCTCTTAACCATCCTGTTGCTCCTTACCTATTGTATCAGTTGGGATTAAGTTCAGCTGCAAATAATAGAGAGCCAAATTAACACAGGCTTTAAAAAGATAGAAATTGGCCCAGCACGGTGGCTCATGCCTGTAATCCCAGCACTTTGGGAAGCTGACACTGGTGGATTGCTTGACCCCAGGAGTTCGAGACCAGCCTTGGCAACATGGTGAAACCCTGTTTCTACCAAAAATACAAAAATTAGCCAGTCTTATAACCTGGTATTTAAATAAATAAATAAATAGATTAAAATTAAAAGAAAAATAGAGGAAGTTTATTTCTCTTTTATGTAAAAGTCCGGAGATAGGCTCTGTCCCACGTATCTTCAGGGTCCTAGACTTTTCCATCAGATTATTCCATTGTTGCTTGGGTATGATCCTTGTCCTTGTAGCCCAAGACACCATTATATCCACATCACACATCAGGTAATAGGATGCAGGAAGGTTCAAAGAAGAAAAGGTAAAGGTACATATCTCCTGACATGAGCTATTTGTTAACATATTCACATAATCTCTCTTCTCTTTTTGAATTTCCATATACCACTACAGAGTTTATTTTTTCACTAATCACTGCAGTTTTTTATCATTTGGGCCAAAGGGACAGCTAACTAGTGGTCATGTTTATGGAAAATTCTTCCAGTCTTCAGAGTCCTAAGTATAAAACCCACGCTGATCAAAAAAATATCATTCTTGGCCTGGATGTGGTGGCTCACGCCTATAATCCCATCACTTTGGGAGGTTAAGGTGGGTGAATCTCTTGAGCCCTAGAGACCAGCCTGGGCAACATGACAAAACTCCGTCTCTACCAAAAGTACAAAAGTTAACTGGGTGTGGTGGCATGCACCTGTAGTCCCAGCTACTCGGGAGGCTGAAGTGGGAAGATCACTTCAGCCTTCACTGAGCCCAGGAGGTTGAGGCTGCAGTGAGCTGTGATCACACCACTGCACTCCAGCCTAGGTGACAGAGAGATCCTGTCTCAAAAACAGAAAACAAAAAGTATCATTCTCATACTTTTTGTAATTCTGATGCCTATCTCACCCTTTGAATACATCAGAGTATTAAAATGTGAGTCACAAAATAATGAGAGGAAGATGAGTGTAGGAGCAGGATACTATCCATAGAAACAGAACTTGGAACTTTAAGAAATTGGGGTCTCTGGAAAATAAATGAAGACCAAGACCAACTAATAGGAAATAATTTGCTCATATATTTTTGGAGGTACTCGTCGTATTTATTTGTGGGGTTTTTTTAGTGTCAAATTTTTATTAATAGGGTTTTGTGCAATGAAAAAAAAATAGGGCAATACTTCCACCTTGCTTTCTTAGTGGATAGAAGAAACAATATTACTTCTCAACTTTGACTGATCTACATATGTTTTTGAGGCTAATGAGCTGAGGTCTAAGGTTAGAACTGTAAGAAAAAAGAATGAAGAGAGCCAGTTCCTTCTTCTGAGGTGTTCAGATGAGCTCAAAATTAGGGCTGACTTACCTCAGCAGTGAGATTTTAGGGATGACTGTAATGATTGAATTGACGATAATCATCCAGCAGAACATCTGGAAACACATTTGGCCAAATTCTAAGGATCAGTGGCCATAGAATACCACATTGATGTCACACCAGTTACCCCAGAGAAGAAGGGCTTTTGTGCATGATGTATTACAGTTGGTATAGGTACATGGAGTATTTACATATGGCTGAATGTTTCATTTTGTTTTTGTCAATTTAAAATGAGGCCTGGAAACAGCCCCAAAAATAGACAAATGGAACTTAAACTTTCTGCACAGCGAAAGAAATAACCCACAGAGTAAAGAGACAACCTGTTGAATGGAAGAAAATATTTGCAAAGTATTCATCCAATAGGGGTCTAACATCAAAAATACACAAAGAACTTAAACAGCTCAACAACAAGATCCAAATAATCCTACTAAAAAGTGGGCAAAGGACATGAATAGACATTTTTCAAAAGAAGACATATAAATGGCCAACAGGTATATGAAAAAAATGCTGAACATTACTAATTATCAGAGAAATGCAAATCGAAACCACAATGAGATATCATCTTACCCCAGTCAGAGTGCCTATTACTACAAAGACAAAAAATAGCAGATGTTGGCAAGGGACTCTTGAGCACTGTTGGTAAGAATGTAAATTAGCACATCCTTGGAGATAATGCCAAGATAGTATGAAGTTATCTCAAAGAACTAAAAATGGAACTACCATTTGACCCAGCAGTGCCACTACTGGGTATCTAACCGCCAGAAAAGAAGTCAGCATATAAAAAAAGTACCTCTACTCGTATGTTTATCACAGCACCATTCATAATAGCAAGGATATGGAATCAATCTAAGTGTGCACCAATAGATAAATGGATAAAGAAAATGTAGTACATATATACAATTGGATACTATTTAAGCCAGAAAGAAGAATGAAATCATGTCAGGGACAGCTGACTAATGGTCATTTGCAGCAAGAACTGGAGGTCATTAAGTGAAACAAGCCAGGCACAGAAAGACAAGTAGCACATGTTCTCACTCATAAATAGGTGCTGAAAAAAATGTGTTCAGGTGAATGTAGAGAGGTGGATAGATAATGGAGACCTGGAAGGGAAAGGAAGTCGCAGTGGAGGAGGGGAGGATGATCTGAAATTGGTTAGTGGGTACAATTTACCTTATTTGGGTGATGGATACCCTAAAAGCCGTGACTTGACCTCTATGCAATCTATGTATATAACAAAATTGCACATGTACTTCATAAATTGGTACAAATAAAAAGGAAAAAAATAGCTCATAGGAGCACAAACCCTATTGTGAACTGTGCATGCAAGGGATCTAGGTTGCACACTCCTTAGGAGAACCTAATGCCTGATGATCTGAGGTGGAGCTGAGATGGTGATGCTACTAGCACTGGGGAGCGGCTACAAATACAGATTAACATTGGCAGAGAAGTTTGCACAGAGACCATAATCAGTTGCTTGCATACTCATATCAAAACCCTATCAGTGAGTGGCAAGTGACAATTAAGCTGCATCTGGTGGCAGGCTTTATAGTGGCAAGTGAGCTGCATCTGGTGGGAAGCTTTAAGTCGGGCTTTATTTTAGCCTGCGCATGGCCTGCCCACTATTTACCACTTCCATCTGGGCCTCTTTTCCTGCACTGTGCACTTGTCTCACTGACAGTTTTGTTAGCCCACAAGCTAACCCTAGCCAAAATAAGTAAAAAGGAAGAGTTTATTTGAAAAGGGGGAAAGACCCAATGATGAGACAGCAGAAGACTCTAAGACTGCCAGCAAAAAAGAAAGCTGCATTGAAAAGAAAATACCAAGAGTTCTACTTAAATTACAGGTTCATTGCAACCAGTGATTCACATTCTCCAAGCCCACTTTGTATATGTGGCGACCGGCTATCCATTGAAGCCATGAAACCTTCAAAACTGCTTTGCCACATGGAGACCAAGCACCCTGCATTAAAAGACAAGCCTTTGGAGTTTTTCAAAAGAAGAAAATGTGAATACAAAGAACAGAAGCAATTATTGAAGGCCACCACTTCAAATGTGTCTGCATTGAGAGCATCATTCTTAGTAGCTAACCACATTGCTAAAGCTAAGAAGCCCTTTACTATTGGTAAGAGTTGATCCTAAGGACATTTGTTTTGAACCTTCAGGAGAGGACACAGTTCAGAAGGTGGAACGTGTTCCTCTCAGCTAGCACCATAAGTAGTTGAATTGATTGAATAGAGGATATTGAGGCACAATTGATAGAGAGCATTAATGAGTCACTGTGGCACGCAGTCCAGGTTGATGAGTCTACTGGTGTTGACAAGGCAACAATGCTTGTTTTTGTGCACTGTATTTTTCAGGAGGATGTGCATGAGGATGTGTTATGTGCACTTTTGTTGCCAACCAACACCATAGCTGCAGAACTATTCAAGTCTTTGAATGATTACATATCAGGAAAACGGAATTGGTCATTTTGTGTCAGTATATGCACAGACAGAGTGGCTGCCATGACTGGACAGCTTTCTGATTTCACTACTTGGGTCAAAGAGTTTGCTTCTGAATGTGAGTCTATGTACTGTGTCATCCATAGAGAAAGGCTAGCTAGCTGAAAAATGTCACCTGAACTTAACATTTTGCAGGATGTGATTAAAATTAGCATCCACATTTAAGTACATGCTTTTACATGTTCACACAGCTCTGTGAGGAGATAGATGCAGAGCACACACATCTTCTCTTATGCACAGAAGTGAAGTGGCTTTCTAAAGGTCCATTGCTGGCCAGAGTTTTTGAGTTATGAGAGCCACTCCAGAGATTTCTTTTAGAAAAACAGTCACCACTGGCAGCACATTTCAGTGACACAGAATGGGTGGCAAAACTTGCTTGTGTGACATATTCAACCTGTTCAGCGAACTCAATCTGTCACTTCAGAGGAGAATGACGACTGTGTTTAAGTCGGCAGATAAAGTGGCTGCGTTCAAAGCCAAACTGGAATTATGGGGGCGATGAGTGAACATTAGGATTTCTGACATGTTTCAAACATTTGCAGAGATTTTGAGAGGGATTGAGCCAAGGCCTTCTTTCTCCCAGCTGGTGCATGATCACCAATCTCAGCTTTCAAAAGAGTTTGAGCATTACTTTCCAACCACAAAAGACCCATGAGTTGGGAAGGAATGGATCTACCACCCATTTGTGAATAAGCCAGTGGAATCGACTTTGTCCATGCTAGAAGAGGATTAACTGCTTGACATCACAAATGACGGAGGCCTTGAAAGTATGTTTGAGGCAACTTCAAATCTCCATACATTCTGGGTTAAAGTCAAGGTGGAATATTCTGAGATTGCCACAAATGCACTCAAAAGCCTTCCGTTTCCAACATTCTTTGTGAAGCAGCGTTTTCTGCAGTGACAGCAACCAAAACAAGATTGTTACAGAGTAGACTGGACATAAGCAACACACTTCGAGTATCACTGTCTCCCACCACCCCCAATCCTGCAACTAAATGGGACCATCTAGTTGCAGGAAAACAAGTTCAGGGCTCCCACTGATTATGCATTATGGTGAGTTGTGTAATTATTTCATTATATATTACAGTGTGATAATAATAGAAATAAAGTACACAATAAATGTAATGCACTTGAATCATCCTGAAACCAGTCCCTGGTGCCAAAAAGGTTGGGGACCACTGACCTGGATTATGTATATAATCTCATAGCCAAAAACGATAATGTAATATCCATATATATGTGCATATATCTGTGTGTGTGTGATGTTATAATATTAAACTACCTTGCATTCCTGGGATAAACCCTATTAGCTCAAGATTTATAATCTTTTTGATATATTAATGGATTTGATTTGCTAATGTTCTATTAAGATTGTGTGTTTATGAAGAATTTTGTTTAAAGCTTTTCTCTTTGAGTACTGTTTTAAAATTTAGCACAAAAATTTTGATGTGTTGCATTTCGTCATTCAGTTCAAAATATTTTATTTATTTTTATTTATATTTAAGTTTTTTTAGAGATAGAGTCTTACTCTGTTGCCCAGGCTAGAGTGCAGTGGCCTCAACTCCTGGGTTTGAGCTATCCTCCTGCTTCAGCCTCCCGAGTAGCTGGGATTACAGGCATGCACCACCATACCTGGCTAATTTTTTTTTTTTCTCTGTAGAGGCACATTCTCCCTATGTTGCCCAGACTGGTCTCAAACTCCTGGGCTCAGGCGATCCTCCCACCTTGGTCTCCCAAAGTGCTGGGATTACAGGTTTGAGCCACCCCACTCAGTCCAAAATATTTTCTAATTAATTTCATGGTTTCTTCTTGACCCATGGTTTATTTTGTTTTTATTTTTATTTTTTTTCCAAACCCTGCATGTGGCATTTGAGCATGGTTTATTTTAAAATATTACGTTAAATTTCCAAATACTTGGGGCTCTTCTAGGTATCTTACTGATGGTTTCTGATTTAATTTCATTATGCTCAGAGAACATACTCTATATAAGTTTACAATAAATCTTTTGAGATTTATTGAGACTTACCTTCTGATTTAGCATTTGATCTGTATTGGTGAATAGACCATGCACACTTGAAAAGAATATATTTTGTGAAGTTGTTAGTGTAGTATTTACAAATGTCAATTAGATTAAGTTGGTTAATAGTGCTGTTCACATGATCTATGTCCATACTGATTCTTTTTTCATCTATTTATTATTTCAGTTACTGTGAGAAGGATGTTAGTTCACAATCATAGTTAGAGATTTTTAAAAAATCTGTTTCTCCCTTTAATTCTCTCAAATTTTCTTCGTTTTGTTTTGTTTTGAGACAAGGGTCTCACTGTGTTGCCTAGGCTAGTCTCAAACTCCTGCACTCACACAGTCCTCTCACTTCAGCCTTCAAATTTTCTTCTTAAGACCAGGCATGGTGGCTTATACCTGTAATTGCAGCACTGGGAGGCTGAGGTGGGAGGATTGCTTGAGCCCAGGAGTTTGAGACCAGCCTGGGCAACATAGCCAGGCATGATGGTGCACTCGTGTGGTCCCAGCTACTTGAGAGGCTGAGGTAAGAGGATTGCTTGGGCCTGGAAGGTCAAGGCTGCAGTGAGCCATTATCGTGCTACTACACTCAGCCTAGGTGAGAGAGCAAAACCCTGTCTCAAAAAAAAAAGGTGGGAGGTATTAAATAACAACACATTTTCTTTCTTTCTGTTTTTTTTTGAGATGGAGTTTTGCTCTTTTTGTCCAGGCTGGAGTGCAATGGCGCAATCTCAGTTCACCTCAACCTCTGCCTCCCGGATTCAAGCGATTCTCCTGCCTCAGCCTCCCGAGTAGCTGGGATTACAGGCATGTGCTGCCATGCCCAGCTAATTTTGTATTTTTAGTAGAGACGGGGTTTCTCCATGTTAGTCAGGCCGGTCTCGAACTCCTGACCTCGTGATCCACCCACCTTATCCTCCCAAAGTGTTGGGATTGCAGGCGTGAGCCACCGCACCTGGCCACAAATTTTCTTCTTAAGGTTGAAGCTTTATATCAGACATATATACATTTCTGATTATGTTTTTCTGATAAGTTATCTGTTTTATTATTTTTTTTTGGAGACAAGGTCTTGCTTTGTCACCTAACAGGAGTGCAGTAGTGTGATCACAGCTCACTGCAGCCTCTACCTCCTGGGCTAAGTGATCCTCCCACCTCAGCCTCCCTAGTAGCTGGGACCACAAGTGCAAGCCATGGCACCTGGCTAATTTAAAAAAAAATTTTTTTGTTTTTTGTCTCACTATGTTGCCCAGGCTGGTCTCCAACTTCTGGACTCAAGCGATCCTCCCACCTTGGCCTCCCAAGGTGCTGGGTTTACAGTCATGAGCCACTATGCCTGTCCTGTTGTATCATTATGAAATGTCAGTCTTTATTTCTGGTAATACTCTATCTTGGAGTCTATAACTGAAAATAATATAGCCTCTCCCCATTTTTTCCCCCTTAAACATTACGCCATAAGAAGCTTTTCAAAAGGAGCTAAGTTGCCTGGCTGGAGTGCAGTGGCTATTCACAGGTGTGATTATAACCCACTACAGCCTTGAACTCCTGGGCTCAAGAGAGCTTCCTGCCTCAGCCACCCCAGTAGCTAGGACTATAGACACAAGCTAGCCTTTTTATACTTACTGTTTTCATCAAATGTCTTTTTCCAACTAGTTTCCAACCTGTCTTTGTATTTGAAGTGCATCTATTGTAGATAGTTCAGTGTTGCTTTTAAAGTGCTTACTCCATTTGTGTTTAGTATGTTGACATGGTTGGATTTAGATCTACTATTTTGCTTTCTGTTTTTATTCCTGTTTATCCTTTTTTACTTCTTACAGCTTAATGAATTTTGGGGGGGGAATTCCATTTTAATTTCTCTCTTGGGTTTTTAGCTACATCTTTCTTTAGGATTGCACTAGAGATTACAATATACATTCTTAACGTCTCACCCTTTTGCCTGGGGCGGTGGCTCATGCCTGTAATCCCAGCACTTTGGGAGGCTGAGGTGGGTGGATTGCCTGAGCTCAGGAGTTCCAGACCGGCTTAGGCAACATGGTGAAACCCTGTCTCTATGAAAAATACAGAAACATTAGCTGGTTGTGGTGGCACACACCTGTAGTCCCAGCTACTTGGGAGGCTGAGGTGGGAGGATCCCTTGAGCCTGGGAGGTTGAGGCTGCAGTGAGCTGAGATCATACCACTGCATTCTAGCCTGGGTGACAGAGTGAGATGCTGTCTCCAAAAATAAATAAATAAATAAAACAATACCATTTCATTTAAATTTCAGGAATTATACAACCACAGAATTCTGTTTATGACTCTTCTTTTATGCAGTAGTTGTCATGGTTTTTTCTTAATGTGGTAACCCGTATTTCAATATTATAACTTTTGCTTTAAGTAGTCCTATGTATTTCCAGTAGATGAGGAGATAATAAAACTTAGTCTTATATATTTAACCATATATTTGTCCGTTCCACTGATCTTCATTTCTTTCTGAAGATCTGTTCTGCCATCTAGTTTTGTTTCCTATTAGTTTGAAGAATTTCCTTTAGCATTTCTTGTTGTGCAGGTATGTTGGGCAGGGAGTTGGCTTAGTTTTCACTTATCTGAAAATCTTGTTATTTCATCTTTATTCTTGATGGATATTTTTGATGAATATGGAGTTTCAGCCAAACAACAGTTTTGTTGTTTGTCTTCAGCAAAAGACAGTTTTTGCTCTTCCCCTTTTTCTTATGAGAATCCAATTATGCAGATGTTAATTTTTTTAATACTGCATCCCATATGTTTCTCAGGCTCTGTTTTTTTCCCCCAATCTTTTTTTCTCTCTTTTCAAACTGGATAATTTCTTTCCATTTATCTTTTAGTTCACTGATCCTTCCGTCATCTCCAATCTGCTGTTTTGACCTTTTAGGGAATTTTTTCTTTTTTACCTCAGATATATTTTTTAGTTTTAGAATATCAATTTGGTTAGTTTATAGTTTATTTCTCTTTTGAGATTTCCTATCTGTGTGTTAATTTTCAAATATCCTTTTTATTTACATCCTTAATCATAGTTATCACTGTAGCTTTCTCTTCTAATTCCGACACCTAGGTAATTTCAAGTTTGGTCTCCAACTGTTTCTTTTGAGTGTGTCATATTTTCCTGTTTATTCATATAGCTAATAATTTTGTTTTGTATACTGGACATTGGGAATGCTGCATTGTAGATATATGGATTCTGTTATGATTCTCTGAGAAATGTTGATTTTTTTGTGTTCGGAGGCAGTTAACTTGACTGAGTCTAACACCAGCCCCTCTCTTGCCTTCAGTGGGTACCTGCTGAAACTTCTGTTCACATATTTTAGCTTTATCTGGGCTTCTTAGAATCTGTCCTGTACATTCAGAGTTTACTTGTCAGCCAGAAATCTCAGTAGAGTTTATATGCAGAGTGTGGGTTTATGTGTGGCTGTCTTTCTTTCTTTTCTTTTTTTTTTTTTTTTTTTGAGACGGAATCTAGCTCTGTTGCCCAGGCTGGAGTGCAGTGGCACGATCTCAGCTCACTGCAAGCTCTGCCTCCCAGGTTCAAGCGATTCTCCTGCCTCAGCCTCCTGAGTAGCCGGGACTACAGGCGCCCACCACCATGCCCGGCTAATTTTTTGTATTTTCAGTAGACACAGGGTTTCACTGTGTTAGCCAGGATAGGATGGTCTCGATCTCCTGACCTCGTGATCCACCTGCTTTGGCCTCCCAAATGTTGTGTCTTTTTAAAGTATCTACAGTAACCTTGTATCAACTTAGTTTGTCAGTCTATTAATACTAAATTTAGCTCCTTCAAAGCAGTTGGAACTATGTGCTACATAAATTTCAGTTTCACCCAAGGGAAGAAGTGAAATTAGTGAATAGACAGTTACAGCAAAAAAAAAAAAAAAACAGAAACAAAAAAACCATAAAAATTAAATAGCTGGCTCTAGTGAAATGAGCAAGGACTGTGGAGTCAAACTGACCTGGATTTGAATCCTGATCCTACTGTTTGTAGCTGTATGATCTGGACAAATGACATTAACTCTTTCTAACCTTGATTTTCTCATCTGTAAGACGCCAATTGTAACTCCTAAGGATACTGAGGTGGTTGTTTTTGTTTTTCGGTTTTTTTTTGTTTTTTTGTTTTTTTTTGAGATGGAGTTTCGCTCTTGTTGCCCAGGCTGGAGTGCAGTGGCATGATCTCAGCTCACTGCAACCTGCCACTCCCAGGTTCAAGCGATTCTCCTGCCTCAGCCTCCCGAGTAGCTGGGATTACAGGTGCACGCCACCATGCCTGGCTAATTTTTTGTATTTTTAATAGAGACGGGGTTTCACCATGTTGGCCAGGCTGGTCGCCAACTCCTTTCCTCAGGTGATCCACTCAGCTCGGCCTCCCAAAGTGCTGGGATTACAGGTGTGAGCCACCATGCCCGGCCTAGATACTGAGGATTTTTTAAAATGCATATACAGTTCCTGACCAGTGGTTTTTGCCTAATAAATAACTTATTACAAATTGTTACCCAGTAAAAACCCTGAGACGAGTGAAAAAATAAAGCTAATTAATCCATTACTTGCTAGTAAGAAAATAAAAAAAAAATCTCTGTTCATTTATGTCTTAAGATTTATCAGTATCTCCATATAGCTTTGCATAGTATTACTATTATAGGAGGTGCTTTTTATAAAATGTCAGATGTTAGGCCAGACACAGTGGCTCACACCTGTAATCTTACCACTTTCGGAGGCCAAGGCAGGAGGACTGCTTGAGCCCAGGAGTTCGTGACCAGCCTGGGCAACGTAGGGACACCCTGTCTCTACCAAAAAAAAAACTTTAAATATTAGTAGGCTGGCCAGGCATGGTGGCTCATGCCTGTAATCCTAGCACTTTGGGAGGCCGAGGCGGGTGGATAATGAGGTCAGGAGATCGAGACCAGCCTGGCTAACATGGTGAAACCCCATCTCTACTAAAAATACAAAAATTAGCTGGGTGTGGTGGCAGGTGCCTGTAATCCCAGCTACTCAGGAGGCTGAAGCAGGAGAATCGCTTGAACCCAGGAGGCGGAGATTGCAGTGAGCCGAGATCGCACCACTGCACTCCAGCCTGGTGACACAGCAGGACTCCGTCTCAAAAATAAAAATAAAATAAAATAAAAGAAAATATTAGCAGGTTGTGGTGGTGCACGCCTGTAGTCTCAGCTACTAGGGAGCCTGAGGTGGGAGGATCACTTGAGTCCAGGAAGTTGAGGCATGTGCCACCACGCCCGGCTAATTTTTTGTATTTTTAGTAGAGACAGGGTTTCACCCTGTTAGCCAGGATGGTCTTAATCTCCTGACCTCATGATCCGCCCGCCTCAGCCTCCCAAAGTGCTGGGATTACAGGCGTGAGCCACCGCACCTGGCTTAATATTTCTTAAATGAGTGAATGAGTGAACAAGACAGATTTTCTTATAGTGTAATCAAAATACAAATTCCAGAGCATGGGACTGTATTTCTTAGAGTAGCGTTGCTACATTAACTACTGTAATTACTTTTCGGTAAAAAATTACTTTTGGGTACTTTTGACCTGCATGTTTCTATAATGTTCTATGCAGAAATTAAACTCTTTTGTATAAACAAAAACAGTGTGGGCCTTTTTAGCATTTTTCTTTGAGATTGGAGACTTCAATATAGTGATTATATTTTCATTTCAAGAAATTCTATTTCGCTTTTTTTTCATATCTGGTCATTTAAAGTAATATATTCTTCCAGACTGGACAACATAGTGACACTGTCTCTACAAAATATATATATATATATATATATATATATATTAGCCAGGCATGGTGGCATATGTCTGTAATCCTAGCTACTCAGGAGGCTGAGGTAGGACAATCATTTGAACCTGGGAGGTTGAGGCTGAAGTGAGTGGTGATCACACCACTGTATGCCAGCTTGAGTGACAGAGTGAGACCCTGTCTCAAAAAATAGAACAAAATAATTTTTATTCTGTATCTGATTATTC
Source organism: Homo sapiens (assembly GCF_000001405.40). Classification (NCBI taxonomy): domain Eukaryota; kingdom Metazoa; phylum Chordata; class Mammalia; order Primates; family Hominidae; genus Homo; species Homo sapiens. The sequence goes on from NC_000002.12 coordinate 62,064,090, forward strand.
CATTTTGTAAAGTTCTTACAGGTCTAAATGCTGTTATTTGTTTCTGCTGATTATCACACATAGTAGATTTTTTATTCTTATTTTTTAACTTTTTATTTATTTTGAGACAGAGTTTCACTCTGTCGCCAGGCTGTAGTGCAGTGGCGTGATCTCAGCTCACTGCAACCTCCACCTCCTGGGTTCAAGTGATTCTCCTGCTTCAGCTTCCCAAGTAGCAGGGATTACAGGTATGTGCCACAACGCCTGGCTAATTTTTGTATTTTTAGTAGAGATGGGTTTGCACCATTTTGGCCAGGCTGGTCTCGAATGCCTGACCTCGAGGGATCCACCCACCTTGGCCTCCCAAAGTGCTGGGATTATAGGCATGTGCCACCATGCCGGGTCCATAGTAGCTTTTTTATTCCTGTGTTTTATAATTTTTGATTGAGAGCTCATGTGATCTCTTTGTTATCTTCTAAGTAGATTTTTGACTTGTTCATTCTTTTGCTGAGGAGAAAGCTCTCTGAAGGTTACAGTTTCATACAGAAGTCTCAATTCCCTCTCTGGCTTGTATAGCCCTCAGGTATTGTCTTCTGTCTTGTGTAATCAGTAAAATCCATTGATTTTCAACTCCCTCTTTGTTCTTGGCCCTCTTGCTTTTTTTGTGAGTTTAGCCATTTATTTCAAAAGAGGTATTTATTTATCTAACCTTTCTAAATTTTTAAAAGTTTTTTAAAAAGAATATTTGTGTACCATGTTCTTAGAAACCATTTAGCCTTTTTGTATCAATATTTGGCATCATAAAAATCTATGCTGTGCCAGGTGCAGTAGCTCATGCCTGTAATTCCAGCATTTTTGGAGGCCGAGGCAGATAGATTGCTTGAATCCAGGAGTTCCAGACCAGCCTGGGCAACATGGCGAAACCCCATCTCTACTAAAAAATACAAAAATTAGCTGGGCATGGCGGCAAGCACCTGTAATCCCAGCTACTTGTGGGATTACAGGTGCTGAGGCAGGAGAATGGCTTGAGCCCAGGAGGTTGAGGCTGTGGTGAGCCAAGATTGTGCCACTGCACTCCAGCCTGGGTGTCAGAGCAAGACCCTGTCTCTCAAAAATATGTATATGATATATTTTCCTGGGTAAGTAGGCGATGAAGCTTGAAATTCTATCAATAGCCTGCAGAGATTCAGAACATATGAACAAAACTAATTATAACTCCAGGTCACCATGACTCAGTAAAGTACAATAGTGACATTTTATATGTACTTACTTTTTTTTTTTTTTTTTTTTTTTTTTAGATAGGGTCTTGCTCTGTTACCCAGGCTAAAGTGCAGTGGTGTGACCTCCTGGGCTCAAGCAAGTCTCCCATCTCAGCCTCCTGAGTGGCTGGAACAACAGCCATGCACCACCACACCTGACTACTTTTTTTATGTGTGTGTAGAGACACAGTCTCATATGTTGCCCAGCATTGTCTCTCCTGGGCTCAAGCCATCCCCCTGCCTCAGCCTCCCAAACTGATGGGATTACAGGCATGAGCCACCACACCTGGCCCTTATATATACTTACTTTAAAGGTAACTGGAAATTTAATTGTTGCTTTCATTTCAAATGCTTTACCAGAAATAGTACCATTTAGATCATGAAGGTATGATGTTTATTATAATCGTTCATTTGTTTTTAGTAAAAGTCTTCAGGGTGAAACTTTTGATAGATTATACCTCAAAGCAAAAATTAATGTAGATGTTTCTGTGTAATTTAGGAGGAACCATTTAATTGGAAACCTCTGTGATGATTTGAATTGTTATGCAGTTTAATTGTTAAATTAGAATCTTGAAAGCTATGAAAGAAAAATAAGAGAAAAAGAGAGAAATAAGAGTGGGAAATAGCTAGTCACAATGGAAGGAGTGTGAGACAGACTCAGGTGTAGAAATTGGGTCTTTCCACTTAGCACCCTAGAGGTATATTAGAATTTCCCACTCAATCTGGCTGATTTTACGCAGTGAAACTGGCATTACTGGGGTTTAATTTGAATTGACTAAGGGTACTTGTCCTTATTTCTTCTGAAAGATAAAATTGGAGAGAGGACAACTGGATTCTTGAATTATTTGTCATTTCTAATCTTACCGTTATTTCCTAAAATGACCCACAGATACTCCCTACCCCACTTTTTTTTTCCCCCACTACTGTGCTCTAGCCCTTAAAATGATCTTTGTTTAGCATTCAGATACCTATACTTAGGTTGAGGGAGGAGAAGAGGGCAAAGTGATAATGAAAATGCCTAAACTCCCAGGGAAAAATGAGGGGAAATTTTGACTACAGCCGCTTCACTTCTGTAATGACTGATCAGGGATGCAAAGCAAGATCAAATCTTTTTTTTTTTTTTTTTGAGATGGAGTCTCGCTCTGTCACCCAGGCTGGAGTGCAGTGGTGCGATCTCGGCTCACGGCAAGCTCTGCCTCCCAGGTTCATGACTACAGGTGGCTGCCACCATGCCTGGCTAATTTTTTGTATTTTTAGTAGAGACAGGGTTTCACCATGTTAGCCAGGATGGTCTCCATCTCCTGACCTCGTGATCTGCCCGCCTTGGCCTCCCAAAGTGCTGGGATTACAGGTGTGAGCCACCGCGCCTGGCCTAAAGCAAGATCAAATGTATATAGATTTTTTTTTTTGGTTTTTGAGACACAGTCTTGCTCTGTCACCCAGGCTGGAGTGCAGAGGTGGGATTGCGGCTCACTGCAACCTCCACCTCCTGGGTTCTAGCAGTTCTTGTGCCTCAGCCTCCCGAGTAGTTGGGATTACAGATGTGCACCACCATGCCTGGCTAAGTTTTGTATTTTTAGTAGAGACAGGGTTTCACCATGTTGGCCAGGCTGATCACAAACTCCTGGTCTCATGTGATCTGCCCGCCTTGGCCTCCCAAAATGCTGGGATTACAGGCTTGAGCCACCGTGCCCAGCCCAAATCTATATAGATTGATGGGCTATTTGTTATTGTTAAAATCCTAGGTTCCGGCCGGGCATGGTGGCTCATGCCTGTAATCCCAGCTACTAAAGAGGCTGAGGCAGGAGAATCGCTTGAACCCGGAAGGCGGAGGTTGCGGTGAGCAGAGATGGTGCCACTGCATTCCACCCTGGGTGGCAAGAGCGAAACTCCATCTCAAAAAAAAAAAGGAAAAAAAAAATCCTAGGTTCAAGTTTCAATGTTAGATGTGGAAAAAAGTACGGAACTTGGTCCTTATAAGTACTTAAAATTAGTTTTCTAAATGAAAAATCGGAACAAATCTTCTATTTGTATAGTTCATTCTAGGTATTTTCCTGTTTGCTTACTTGATCTTTAACACTCTTTTGTTGTTAGACATTATTTTCCCCAAGCCCCATAGAGTTGTATGACTTCAAGTTAAAGGGGAGAAAAAAGTTTATGGCTGATGCTTCATAACAAGACAGAGTAACAAGAGAAAAGCTTGCAAATTTATTTAATATTAGTTTTACATGACATGGAAGCCTTCAAAAATGAAGACACAGAGACCCAGGGAAAACTATTTTTTATGCCTAGTTTTGATGAAGAATGGACAGTTATTTAGAAGTATGATTGGACAAAAGTAGGGATATGATCCTATGGTAATAAACTGAGGGTAACTAAGCAAGGCCTGTTTGCTCGGATTCTTCTTGGCCTTTCTCTGTAAGATTCCTTTCCTTTGCATATAGGGCAGGACACCTGTCACTTTGAGGATCTTCTAGAGAGAGATCAGAGACCTTTCTGCTTCTAAGCTTTTCACAGTTTCTTTCAGCTTAAAATACTCAGTATGCCAAGGTGCCGTATTTTGAGGTACAGTGTTCTGTGCCCTGACAAGGTCATTGTTGATGGGACTTTTACTAGAATTGATTTTTATTAATTGTTAATCCCATTTTCTATTTATAGAATGCTGATTACCCTATCAAATTCCCACTAATGAAGAAACACACTGATCACAGTGTAGCCACCAGATAAAGCCATTCAGTTCGTGGTCCCAGTTAACTGAGAAAGGATAAATACCTAGGTCACTATAATACTATATAGAGTCCAGAGCTAGACCTACAGATATTTGGTCAATTGATTCTCAACCAAGATGATTCCACGAGGAAAGGATATATTTCTTTCAAGAAATAGAGTTGGGACAATTAGACATCTGTATGTGTTGAGGGGAGCAGGAGACCTTGAACCACATACGAACATTGACTCAAAATGGATCATAAAACTATAAAACCTCTCCCAGATATTTTCTCCCAGTGTCTGGCTTTTCATTCTTTTAACAGTGTGCTTTGCAGAACAAAATAAGAAAGCAGAAAATGTTTGTGATTTGGAGTTAGGCAAAGAATTCTTAGATATAACACCAAAAACATGATCCATAAAAGAAAAGTAATAAATTAGACTTCATCAAAATTAAAAACTTCTGCTGGAGTTCAAAATGACTGCTGAAAGTTACTACAAGGATAGTAGTTACCTCTAAGGATAAGATTGGAGAATGCAATTGGGAAGGAAGGTGCAGGGGCTTCAAAGATAGTAGTAGTATAATCTTTTTTTTTTTTTTTTTTTTTTTTGACCGAGTCTCACTCTGTCTCCCAAGCTGGAGTGCAGTGGCGCGATCTCGGCTCACTGTAACCTCCGTCTCCTGGGTTCAAGTGATTCTCCTGTCTCGCCTTCCTGAGTAACTGGTACTATAGGTGCATGCCAGCACACCCGGCTGATTTTTTATTTTATTTTATTTTTTATTTTTTTTAGTAGAGATGGGTTTCACCATGTTAGCCAGAATGGTCTCGATCTCCTGACCTCGTGATTCACCCGCCTCGGCCTCCCAAAGTCCTGGGATTACAGGCGTGAGCCACCAGGCCTAGCAGTGGTATTATAATCTTAAGATAGGTGAAAAGATACTAAAGACCTTTTTGGAGAATGAGAATACCACTGTCAATCAATAAATCCAACTATATTAAATAGTTTTGTCTAGAGCTATAATATAGAGGATTTACGAAAACTTTGCTTTGTATAACAAAGGCAGATATTTTATATTCTGGTTCTATTTTTACTTTTTCTGATATTAACTTCAGATTTTTTATTTTGGCTTTTTTTTTGTTTTGTAGAGACAAGGTCTCACTGTGTTTCCCAGGCTGGTCTCAAACTCCTGGGCTCAAGCTATCCTCCTGCCTTGGCCTCTCAAAGTGTTGGGATTACAGGCTTGAGCCACCATGCCTGGTCAACATCAAGTTTTAACATGATGTTAATTCTATGTGTTTTAGGACTTTGTAGAATAAGGAAAGAGGCAAATATGGGAGATTTGAAGATTTTCAGTGAGACAGGCAAAGTAAGTTAACAATCTGATAGGAAATAATGTGACAGAAGGAGAAGTTTTCATTGATTAGGGCCAGGCACTTTATTTGACTTAAAATAATTAGAGCTCAGATAGTATTAGGAGTAGCAACTCAGGTAGGATATTAATTGAAGGGGACAGAATTGATGTGGGTGGTGGGTAGGGCAAGGACTTAAAATTGACCAAAAATACGTAACAATACGTATTTCTGGGGCCTGAAGGACAAACCCTCACTGGTTGTATTTCTTGGCTGGCAGGCTTATAACAAGAAGTTTTCAAGGGAGACTACATGTTAGTTTTTTATTTTGCTTGAAGAGAGAGATCATTTCCAAGTTGACTTTTGTCTTCTCAGTGTAACATTTGGCACTTCTTTTCCTAAAATTATCACTTGTGGCTGAGATACAAGCTGTTGAATTCAGACTATAAGCTAAATTGTTGGCTCTCGATTATTCTTGAGATTGAAAATCTTTCTGGCATCAACAATTTAGATCTATCAAAATGTGTTAATAGCAGTAAATCTTCAACTTAGAGACTTAGAATATACTGCAATATTTCAATTCTGATGCTAACCACTCAAAAGTTAGCATAGACCCCACAAGTTAGAGGCACAGTTCCCAAAAAGACTGCCCTCACTTCAGATGCCTGTTGCAAGTTGGGGTTGGGGGTCCCAGGCCATCTTCATTTCTGACCAACTGGCTATAAATTGGAGGGATCCCTTAAGCCTCCTTCAGGCTCTATAATTAGAACAACTCACAGAACTCAGGAAAGTACTATACATTTGACCCTTGAACAACACGGGTTTGAACTGCACAGGTCCACTTACTAGTGATTTTTTCCCAACAAAAAGTAAATCAGAAATATAGTTGGCTGGGTGCAGTTGCTCACGCTTGTAATCTCAGTACTTTGAGAGGCCGAGGAAAGAGGATCGCTTGAGGTCAGGAGTTTGAGGCCAGCTTGCACAACATAGCGAGACCCTGTCACCAAAAAAAATATTTAAAAATTAGCCAGGCATGGTGATGCTTTCCTGTAATCCCAGTTACTGTGGAGGCTGATCACTTGAGCTCAGGAGTTTGAGGCTTCAGTGAGCTATGATCATGCCACTGCAACCTAGCCTGAATGACAGAGCAAGACCCTGTCTCTAAAAAAAAAAAAAAAACAACTAAAAGATAAAAGAAAAGGAAACAAAGTATTTGCAGGATGTGAAACCCATGTATATGTGTTACCAGAAAGGGCTCCTGATCCAGACCCCAAAAGGGTTCTTGGATCCCACGCAAGAAAGAATTCAGGATGAGTCCATAGAATAAAGTGAAAACAGGTTTATTAAGAAAGTAAAGAAATAGGCCAGGTGCAGTGGCTCACGCCTATAATCCCAGCACTTTGGGAGGCCAAGGCGTGCAGATCAGTTGAGGTCAGGAGTTAAAGACCAGCCTGGCTAACTTGGTGAAACCCTGTCTCTACCAAAAATACAAAAAATTAGCTGGGTGTGGTGGTGCATGCCTGTAGTCCCACCTGCTTGGGAGGCTGAGGCAGGAGAATCACTTGAACCTGGGACATGGAGGTTGCAGTGAGCTGAGATTGTGCCATTGCACTCCAGCCTGGATGATAGAGCAAGACTCCATCTCAAAAAAAGAGAAAGTAAAGGAATAAAAAATGGCGACTACATAGGCAGAGCAGAGGCATGGGCTGCTTATTCTTATTGTTACTTCTTGATTATATGCTAAACAAGGAGTGGATTATTCGTGAGTTTTCCGGGAAAGGGGTGGGCAATTCCTGGAACTGAGGGTTCCTCCCCCTTTTATACCATAGATGGTAATTTCCTGACGTTGCCATGGGATTTGTAAGCTGTAGTGTTGCTGGTGAGAGTGTCTTTTAGTATGCTAATACATTATAATTAGCACATAATAAGCAGTGAGGATGACCAGAGGTCACTTTTATCACCATCTTGGACTTGGAGGGATTTGTCTGGCTTTTTCACCACATGCTGTTTTGTCAGCAAGGTCTTTACGACCTGTATGTCCTGCCAACTTTTTATTTCATCTCTATTTCATCTCGTGACTAACAATGCCTTAACTTCCTAGGAATGCAGCCTGGTAGGTCTCAGCCTTATTTTACCCAGGCCGTATTCAAGATGGAGTCACTCTGGTTCAAATGCCTCTGACATATGGAGGGGCCAGTTCTACTTATGATTACAGTTTAAACTACTGTGTTCCATTCACTGGAAGAAAACTTTTTAAAAAAGAAAAAATAATTATAAAAATAAACTATTATAAATCAAAAATAAAATCCTAAGCCTCCCTCACCCCATGATCGACTGAGCAGACCCTCTTTTGGCCATGGGAACCCCAGAGCCACCTGAAAAACTAAATTCCCAGCCATGATAGGAAGGAAGGTTGAACACACCTCATTATACCCCCTCCCTTTTGGAGTTTAGGCACAACTGATTAGCATTAAGTTTAAAATGGAGATCATAAGACTGACCAAACAGACTCTTTATGGCAGTAAGATACCAAATTATAAATAAGACCTAAGCCCATGCAAGGCAAGTGTTAAGTCACACCCTCAAACTGTAAAAATCTTGTTAAATTGTTTTTTTTTTTAATTAACCCAGTATAATGTGGCTTATTTTCCAGCCTCACTCTAGTATAGTATCACATGACAGGTAGTAGACCCTGAAGAAAATAAAAATATTTTACTACACTATATATATTTATATGTATATATTCTTTTATGAGCCACCTCCCCATGCTGCTGATAGTGACAGGAGGTAGACAAATTCCTAGGCAGACAGGGGCGGGTCCCTGGTGAAACCCAACCTTCAAACCAAAGACAAATTAAAGCCTGAAAACCAAGCTGCCAGTTCTGGGTAAAGTCCCTGACCAGAGTGAGAACTTCCTCGATGCCTTTTAACCAATCAAATGGTGCTGTTCTAGGCCCACCCATGGACCAATCAGCACTCACTCCCCCATTCTGAGCCCATAAAAACCCTGGACTCAGCCACACATTGGGACTACCTGCCTTCAGGTAGGGGTTACCCACTTAAAGTCCCTCTCTGCTGAGAGCTGTTCTGTCACTCAGTAAAACTCTTCTCCACCTTGCTAACCCTCCGGTTGTCCACATAACCTGATTCTTCTTGGACACGGGACAAGAACCTGGGACGTGCCGAAGGGTGGGTATGAAAAGCGCTGTAACATGTTCCTGGCCAGCTCACCAAGCTGCAGGCAGTGACACACTCTTGTCTGCCAGACCACAGGAGTGAAGACTGGCAATGCTTCTGCTCCCTTGGGGCTCCATGTTTGCTGGCATCTCTGAGTTTTCGGGCACCACCGCATTCCCCACATCTAGATGCTGGTGCCCAAGGCAGAAGCTGCTTGAGGCACACCTGGTCCAGCCACACCCTTGTACGGGGCTCATGCCTGTGCCAGAGTCTGGAGCTGTCTGCCCTGCCACAGCAGCCGGTGTGCCTGGCTGTGCACCATGGATGGACCCTGTGCTTACTTGCTCACACACCCCTTGCCACTCCATGTCTGGCTTACTTGTGGTGGGCATGGGATCCAGGCTGATAGTGCTAGCTGAGTGCAGTCCGCCAGGCCGAGTGGGGAAAGCAAGCCCAGTGGTAAGCCCAGCTGGCAAAGTGGCACTGAAAGAATTCTGTGTCACTGCCCTGTGTGGACCGCCACATGGGTTCCCACCCAGCAGCACAGACAGGAAACAGCCCCACAGTATATTTCTTTGACGTATTTTCAGATGGCTGCCACAGTGCTAACCTATTGAAATGGCCCTGCAAAGCCATCTTTTGTGGGGGAAATTTGCATTTGTAGAGAATCTCTGTTAATGCAACTGGGCCTTCCCTTTCTAGGCCTTTCCTGCATCTAGGAGAGATTAATTGAGAGTCTGATGACTTTAAGTTCTAAAAAGAGACATTTACCATCATTCTCTCTGAGGCCTGCTACCCATGAGGCTTTATGTATATAACAAGAACCTTGACCTCCACCATCCTCTAATCTTCACCTAAGCATTCCTTTCTACCAACCTCGTCTTTAGACAGTAGTTTTACTCTTTCAACTAATTGGCAACTAAAGAATTCCTAAAACATACCCATGACTTGTAAGCCCTTACTTCAAGATGTCCTGCCTTTTTGGGCTGAACCAATGTATACCTTACCTGTAATTTCTATTTCCCTAAAATGCTTAAAACCAAACTGTAACCTGACTGCCTTGGGCATACTTTCTCAGGATCTCTTGAGACTGTACCCTGAGCCATGGTCACTCAAATCGGCCCAGAATAAACCTATTTATTTATTTATTTATGAGACAAAATTTCACTTTTGTTGCCCAGGCTGGAGTGCAGTGGTGCGATCTCGGCTCACTGCAACCTCTGCTTCCTGGGTTCAAGTGATTCTCCTGCCTCAGCCTCCGAAGTAGCTGGCATCACAGGTGCCGCCACCATGCTTGGCTAATTTTTGTATTTTTAGTAGAGTCAGGATTTCACCTTGTTGGCCAGGCTGGTCTTTAACCCTGACCTCAGGTGATCCACCCGCCTTGGCCTCCTAAAGTGTTAGGATTAAAGGCATGAGCCACCGTGCTAAGCTAGAATAAACATCTTCAAAATACTTTACAGTTTATTTTTTCTCTTAACACTATACAAACCAGGGCCAGCCAAATGAGGAAACAGGTAGGGTGAAGTCTAGAAGGATTCCACAGAGCTTCCATGCACTCTTCCTTTGGAATCAGGGCACATCACCCTCCCATCACATCAATGTGTTAATTAACCAGGAAGCTCCATTGAGACTCTCATGTCCAAAGATTTTTATTGAGATTTCATTACATAGGCATGATTGATTGAAGGTTGGCCACATGATTGAACTCAGTCTTCAGCTCTCCTCTGTCCCGAGGTTGGGCTAATATTAACTGGCTCAAAGCCCCATCCCTGTAATCACATGGTTGGTCTTTCTGGCTTGGCCCACCCCTCATCCTGAGTTATCTCATTAGCATGAGCTCCCTGGGGGCCCACAATGAATTGCCTCATTAGTTTAAACTACCAGGGCCCACCATGAATAACAAACACACTCGTGGTCACTTGGGAAATTCCAAGGTTTAGATGCCTTCTACCAGGAACTTGGGACAAACCAGTCAAATTCTGTATTATACAACACTCTGAACCCAGGAGGCTAAACAGTATGCAGGGTTTCTGCTTTCTGTGTTTGGGATGGTCTCTGAACAGCAGTGTCTAGTTTGTCTTCTCTATCTTGTCTATTATCATTTTCACAGCACAGGAAAAACAAAAACTAAGTGGTAAAATCATAACTAGGCATTAACTTCCACTCTAACCAAGTCTTTGGAGCTTCTAGCAGGGGAACTATTAATATATTTGCCATTTCTCCTTTCCCTCTTAGCCATTAAGGCATAGATTGCAAGCTGATGGCTTACAAATTTAGGCTGACAGATGTTTCATTTGGTGCACATTTTGTTTGTGTGGTTTTTTTTTTTTTTTTTTTTTTTGAGGCAAAGTCTCGCTCTTGTTGTCCAGGCTGGAGTGCAATGGCGCAATCTCGGCTCACTTCAACTACTGCCTCCCGGGTTCAAGCGATTCTCCTGCCTCAGCCTCCCTAGTAGCTGGAACTACAGGTGCACGCCACCACACCCAGCTAATTTTGTATTTTTAGTAGAGACAGGGTTTCGCCATGTAGACCAGGCTGGTCTCAAACCCCTGACCTCAGGTGATCCACCCACCTCGGCCTCCCAAAGTGCCAGGATTACAGGCATAAGCCACCATGCCTGGCCTGGTGCACATGTTTTTTAAAAATTTCAATTACATGTCAGTGTTCAAAAAAACAGAATTCATATTAATGTGAACTTTCTGACTTCTCTTTAAAAAAAATAAAAACATCACTGGGCCTGTGTTCCTCTATAGCAGTAATTGGCTAAGGTGGAATAGTGGCTCTTCCCTTTTAAAGGCAATTTAGAATGTCTCCAGTTTATCACAGTCGCTACCCCCACTTCCTCACTCCCATCCTGCAACTTGATCTTTAAGGAATCTCTGAGTTTAAGAGTAAAATTTTAAAAGCCCATCTATAATGTATCACCCTCTGGCTAGAGCCTCTTATTTATGCTGTCTCAATTATCTCTGGATATAATCATATGAGGTAAGCATTGTAACTCCTCTTTTGTAGTTGAACAGAATGAAACTGGATTCATGAGTTTCCCAAATGAATTTCCCAAGGCTTCATAATTCATGAGGAACTAGAACTCAAATCCCATTCATAGTTCCGCTACCCTGGCCCTAGACCTCTGGCTCCCACCCCGTTCTGAGAGCTACAACTCACAATTCAGACACTAACAACACATGTTTTAAGTGTGTGGCACAACTTCTTGCTCAGTATAGCAGCTCAATAAATGCTAACTGACATAAAAATTAAGCACATTTCTTGACATCTGATTTGTATGAACCATATGTTGTCACATGGCAATATAATGGTTTGGAAGTCTTAGAGAAAGAGGTTTTCCAGCAGAATTGCAAGAATATCTCAGTCTGAGACCACTCTGTTGTAAGTTCCTAGACCTTTTTCTCTGAATTCTGTAGGGGGAGAACATAATAAAGGGAATGGAAAAGACCTTGCTGTTGCAATATTCCTTTCCCAGTGTCTTAGCCACCCTGGCTGCATTTGGGAGCTTTGCAAAAGGACTCAGCTTCTCTCATTTTCTCTGACTCTGCCTGACTGTGGTACAAAGTCTCATCCTTTCATCCCTTAACAGATCAGTAATTTGTTGAATGCTTACTATGTTCAAAACACTGTGTAGATGCAATAATGAATCAGATTCCTGTTGGAGGAAAAGAGCTGTGATGTACATAATGTTGTCTTTGTTAGGAAAGGATGATTGTCAGACGAGTGGACAGATAAAGTGCTGAGAGGGACCAAGATGAGGCAAGAGGTGGTGAGGTTGGCATCTGAGAGGGATGCATAAAAGAGGATGTCTTTGGCCTAAGCCTTGAAGAATAGGTAGATAGGAGACAACAGAGATGGGAAAGAGGTCAAGTTGAAAGAACAGTAAAAACAGCGGCCGTCTGCAGTGGCTTACGCCTGTAATCCCAACACTTTAGGAGGCCAAAGCGGCTGGATCGCTTGAGCCCTGGAGTTCGAGACCAGCCTTGGCAACATGGTGAAACCCCGTCGCTACTAAAAACACAAAAACTAGCCGGGCATGGTGGTGGGCACCTGTAATCCTAGCTACTCAGGAGGCTGAGGCATGAGAATCATTTGAACCCCGGAGGCGGAGGTTGCAGTGAGCCGAGATCACACCACTGCACTCCAGTCTGGGCAAAAGAGCAAGACTCCATCTCAAAAATAAAGAAAGAGTAGTAAAAACAAAGGAAAGGAAGGAGAAAGCAGGGGCATATACCAAGACAAACAAGTGGCTTGTTGAGTATTTATTAAGAGTATTTAGGTCAGGCACAGTGGCTCCTGCCTGTAATCCCAGCACTTTGGGAGGCCAAGGCGGGAGGATCATTTGAGCCCAAGAGTTTGAGACTAGCCTGAGCAACATGGCGAGACCCTGTCTCCATAAAAAATAAAAAATTAGCCTGGCATCGTGGCTCATGCCTGTGGCCCCAGCTACTTGGGAGGCTGAGGTGGCAAGATCGTTTGAGCCTGGGAGGTTGAGGCTGCAGTGTGCTATGATTGCACCACTGCCCTCCAGCCTGGGTGACCGAGTGAGACCCTGTCTGAAAAAAAATAATTATTAGAAGAGATTGATGTAACTTGGCAGAGTCAAATGGAAAGTGTTCAGTTACTTACTGTAAACAGACTTGCTCTGTTAAATTTGGTTTAAGAGAAGGAAGAAATAGTATTTATTGTTCCAATTTATAATAAAATTACACATTTATTTTGTTAGGTATACTTGTTAGAATTAATATTATAAAAGGAACAAATAGTGAATTTTAAACACAGGGTTAACCACATTAGTTGCCTCCTTCTATTTTGAGAAGTGACTGATGGAAGGGAAAAACACGTCATTTGAAGGTATTTTTATCTCTCAAATTGGGATTTTCTTTTTCTAGAGTCTGCCAACCAAACAGCGTTGACATTGTTACGCATGTCATAGGCAACTTGTATAGCCTCCCACACATCCCTATTATCATACTTTACTTCACATTGTGGACAGGATCTATTTATATTTCTCTCTCTTCTATGGGATTGCAAATTTCAGGACAGGGACCTAATCTTTGTAACAAAAAGAGCCAAACTCTGTAAAATATTTTAAGAGATTTATAAATAAATAAATAAATATATTTATTCTGAGCCAAATGAGAGTGGTCATGGCCCGTGACACAGCTCTCAGAAGGTCCTGAGAACCCAAGGTGGTCGGGGTGCAGCTTGGTTTTATACATTTTAGGGAGACATGAAGCTTCAAGGAAATACATTTCAGAAATACATTGGTTTGGTACAGAAAGATGGGACAACTTGAAGTGGGGTGGGGCTTCCAGCTTATAGGTAGATTTAAAATTCTTCTGTTTGACAATTGGTTGAGTTTATATAAAGACCTGGGATCAACAGAAAGGAATATCTGGGTTAAGATAAAGAATTGTGGGACTGGGCATAGTGGCTCAGGCCTATAATCACAGAACTTTGGGAGGCCGAAGCAGGCGGATCACGAGGTCAGGAGATCGAGACTATCCTGACTAACACGGTGAAACCCTGTCTGTACTAAAAATACAAAAAATTAGCTGGGCGTGGTGGCAGGCACCTGTAGTCCCTGCTACTCGGGAGGCTGAGGCAGGAGAATGGCGTGAACCCAGGAAGCGGAGCTTGCAGTGAGCGGAGATCACACCAATGCAAAAAAAAAAAAAAAAAAAAAAAAAAAGGTGGAGCCGGGCACGGTAGCTCATGCCTGTAATCCCAGCACTTTGGGAGGCCGAGGTGGGTAGATCATGAGGTCAAGAGTTCGAGACCAGCCTGGCCAGCATGGTGAAACTCTGTCTCTATTAAAAATAAAAAAAATTAGCCGGGCATGGTGGCACATGCCTGTAATCCCAGCCACTCGGGAGGCTGAGGCAGGAGAATGGCGTGAACCCAGGAGGTGGAGCTTGCAGTGAGCTGAAATCGCGCCACTGCACTCTAGCCTGGGCTACAGAGCGAGACTCCGTCTCAAAAAAAAAAAAAAAAGAAAAGAAAAAATGGTGGGGCCAGGCACGGTGGCTCATGCTTGTAATCCGAGCACTTTGGGAGGCCGAGGTGGGTGGATCACAAGGTCAGGAGTTTGAGACCAGCGTGGCCAGCATGGTGAAACTCTATCTCTATTAAAAATTAAAAAATAAAATAAAAGTAGCCGGGCATGGTGGCACATGCCTGTAATCCCAGCCACTCGGTAGGCTGAGGCAGGAGAATGGCGTGAACCCGGGAGGCGGAGGTTGCAGTGAGCCAAGATTGCGCCACTGCACTCCAGCCTGGGCAACAGAGTGAGACTCCATCTCAGAAAAAAAAAAAAAAAAGAATTGTGGTGACCAAAGTTTTTATTTGCAGAGGAAGCCTTCAGGTGGTAGGCTTTAGAGAGAATAGGTTGTAAAATGTTTCTTTTCAGGCTTAAAGTCTGTGTTGATGTTAATATCAGAGAGGTATAATGAGGCATGTCTGACCCCCACCTCCCATCATGTCCTAAACCAGTCTTTCACGTTAAATTTTAAAAGTGCCCTTGTTACAGGAAAGGGGTCCCGAACCAGACCCCAAGAGAGGGTTCTCAGATCTTGTGCAAGAAAGAATTCAGGGTGAGTCCACAGCGCAAAGTAAAAGCAGGTTTATTAAGAAAGCAAAGTAGTGAAAGTACAGCTACTCCATAGACACAGTAGGGCGTTCCTGAAAGAGAAGGAAAGCATCCACCCTGGGTACAGTGCTTGTTTATATACAGGATAAAAAGATCATGGGGGGATGTGCTCTGCTACAAGCATTCGTTCTTAATTACTGTATTTTGCAAGAATCAATATTATTATCTTTAAAGCAAAATTAGGAATGCCTTTGCTCTCCATATATTGGGATATTAGGACAGTCCCAAGTCTGGGTCTGTTTAGTAAATATTATCAATCTGTTCCCTTCACCGGAAACATCTAGAGGCTAGATGCTGGGAAGGCAGCCCAGCAAGTCCCAGCCTCATTTTCCTTGCCCTCACTCAAGATGGAGTTGCTCTGGTTTGAACACCTCTGACACCCTGGCTGAGAAGGAAGTCCATTCAGATGGTTGGAGAGGTGTTAGAAGTTTATTTTGGGTTTACATTTTTTGTGTTTTTTTGGGTAGCATAGTTAATGGACATAGTACGTACTTAGAAACAAACCATTTTTCCTTCAGACTTTATTCCTGGAGACATCACTTTAAACAACATCTTTCCAAGCTCAAGGCAAAATTCTCTCTGCTGGTGTCTGTCAGATGTCAACAGAAAAAAAATGGATTGAACTGGAAATTCACTAAGAATTGGTATAATAAGGCTTTTATGTAGCATTTAAATAAATAGGGAGAGGTGGACTGTGAAGCACTGGAAAGTATTATCTCTGAATATAATCTTTCCAAAAGGTCTGGATATAATCTTTCCAAAAGTTAGCACCCAAAGAATTATACTTCCTGGAAAATGTAAATAGTTTTGCACCTCAGATTTCCTCCTGTAGTAATGACTGGCATTCTGTGTGACTTGCTCTTGTACCTACCTATGGTAAGAATCATATAAACAATATGCTTCCGAAGAATGTCCACAAAGAAAACCAGAATGAAGATGAAGACTTGGGCCAGGAGTAGTGGCTCATGCCTGTAATCCCAGTACTTTGGGAGGCTAAGGCAGGAGAATGATTTGAGCCCAAGAGGTTGAGACCAGCTTGGACAACATAGGGAGACCCTGTCTCTACAAAAATAAAAAATAAAAAAAGAGATGAATACTGGCAATGTGCCTGCCTTATTCACTGCCCTGTTCCTAGTACCCAGTAGAGTTGGCTGAAAATAAGTATACTTTGAGTAAGTGGATAACATTATCTGTTCTGTATACTTGGTGTTTGTTCGTTGGTGCCTGAGATGTACATTTGGGCCATGTTGTGGTCAGGGGAGAAATCACTGGGGGAGTTGTTGAATGTAATTGACTTCCAGCAGAGAAACAGGAGTTCATAGTCCCAATTCTCTTTAAACAGTCACTAAATGGGATAAAGAACTCTCAAGTAAATTTTATTTGTCAAGCTCCTTTTCAAAAATTACAAAAGACTGCTACTGATAAAACTACTGAAAAATACAAAAATATACAAAACTTAAATAAGAGATCCCCATTTCTACCAATATTAGTATTCTTTGACATCATTTCTCCTGCAAATACAAACATAATCATACTTATGGAGTTCTGGATGATAGTTGGAATTTTTTTTTTTTTTTTTACCAAAATTGGCTATATTATATATATTACTCAGGCAAGTTGCTTTACTGAATAGATCATGGCCAACTCTCTGGCTCAACAGATACAAATATAACATTGTTTCTTTTTTAATAGCTGCATAATACTTATTCCATATTCTGGGGAAGGTTCTGTTAATGACATTTAAGATGTTTCTACTTTGTTGTTTTTATTGGTGTTTTTGCTACTACAAACCAGAAAAAAAAAATTCTATATGTATATATACCCTTAGATACTGGTGCTTTTGTTTTTTGATTTTAGGATTAGGATTTCTGTTGCAAAAGGTATACATGCATTAATTTTAATAGCTACTGCTGGATCACTTTTCAGAAGGTTGTAATAGTTCACACTTCTGCCAGCAACATATCAGATTTTTCCTTTGTCTACATCTCTACCATCCCTGAATGTTACCCTCTAGTTTTTCTCAATCTAGATTTTTTTTTTTTTTTTGAGACAGAGTCTCACTGTGTTGCCCAGGCTGGAGTGCAATGGCGTGATCTCGGCTCACTGCAACCTCCGCCTCCCGGGTTCAAGCAATTCTCCTGCCTCAGCCTCCCAAATAGCTAGGATTACAGGAATGTGCCACCACACCCGGCTAATTTTGTATTTTTAGTAGAGACGGGGTTTCTCCATGTTGTCAGGTTGGTCTTGAACTCCCGACCTCAGGTGATCTGCCTGCCTCAGCCTCCCAAAGTGCTGGGATTACAGGTGTGAGCCACCGTGCCTGGCCCAATCTAGATTTTTTTTTTAAATGATATCCCTTGTTGCTTTACTCTACATTTCCTTGTCCACCAGTGAGGTTGAGTCTGTTGTCATGTCTACTAGCTATCTAGATTTCCTCTTAGTAATTGCCTGTGCACATCCTGTACCTCCTTTTTCTCTCGGATGATTTATGATTTCCTTATCGATTTATAAAAGCTTTTTGAATTACAGGAATTTAAAATCTATTATGTATTGTAGTTGATTGCTTTTTTTACTTTGTTAATGATTTTTTTCTTCAGAAAAAATTTCAATTTGTATATATTCAAATATGTCAATCTTATGCTTTTATTTGAGGTTTCCTGCTTTTTTTAGATCTCTAAAACCATTCTGTTTTGGGTTTTTATGTTTGTTTTGGCATTAACATTAAATTTGTAACCTACTAGGAATTTGTACAGAGTGTAAGTCGGGAATCTAATTTCCCTTTTTTGGTAGTTAGAAAATGTCATTGAAATATATATACTACATTTATCGTTGGACCACAGAATTAACCTTGTATCCATTAGTTTGACATTTATCACTGGATGGAGGGTTAGGAATTAGATATAGGACCTCTCTCACCTGAAAAGTGACCAAATTACAAAAGCTTGTATACATTTCTGATTTGTGATGCTGAATTTTTTATGTCTCTGTGATGCTGAACAACAGAACATAGACTTTTTCCAGTTCTAAATGCATACATACTTTGCTGATACCTGAACCAGAATCTCGTAAATGTTCTCATACTGCATTATTTCTGTATCCTTTTAATCTCTGTTAATTTGAAGCAGGGAGACCTTAGAACACTCAAGTGGTAATCCTGGCACTAGCAGGAAGTAGGAGCTGCTGGAGGACCTGGAGCCAGGTTGTCCCCCACACCTCTGTCTTTCCCTTAGATGACGCACCCCATGGTCTGTGGGCAGTGACTAGCTCTCCCAGCGACGTTGGAAGCTTTCATTTCTTCACTTTCTATTCCTGTCCAGCTTTGTAACCAAAACAGTTTTAAAATTTTAGGCTGTCTTGGCCGGGTGCGGTGGCTCACACCTGTAATCCCAGCACTTTGGGAGGCCGAGGCAGGCGGATCACAAGGTCAGGAGTTCAAGACCAGCCTGACCAACATGGTGAAACATCGTCTCTACTAAAAATACAAAAATTAGCTGAGCGTGGTGGCACGTGCCTGTAGTCCCAGCTACTCAGGAGGCTGAGGCAGAAGAATTTTTTTGTTTTGATTTTGAACATAGATTGGTTGGTTTTAAGCTTTAGCTTTTTAAATAGGTAACATATATGCACATGTAAAAAAATCAACAATTAGAAAACCATATACAGTAAAAAAACAAGTTTCCTTCCCTTCCTTGATATCAGCTATCCAATTCCCCTTTTTAGCATCTCTCATTTTTAGGAGACATCTTTGTTAAATTTGGCCAGGCACAGTGGCTCACACCTGTTATTCCAGCACTTTGAGAGGCTGAGGCAGGAAAATGGCTTGAGCCCAGGAGTTTGAGACCAGCCTGGGCAACATACTGAGACCCCATCTCTACAAAAAATTTAAAAATTAGCTAGGTGTGCTGGCACATGCCAGTAGTCCCATCTACTCGACATAATGCCTAACGTGGGAGGTTTGCTTGAGCCTAGGAGGTTGAGTTTGCAGTGAGCCATGATTGTGCCACTGTGCTGCAGCCTGGGTGACAGAATAAGACCCTGTCTCAATTGAGAAAAAAAAAAAAGTCCTGGATAATAAATATTTCAGGCTTTGTGTGCCACATTGCCTCTGCCACAGCTATGCAACTTTGCCATTGTAGCCTGAAAGCAGCCACAGATTACGTGAAAATGAATGAGCCTCTCTATATTCTGATAAAGCTTTAATGAAGAAGAAGATAGGAGCAAGCCAGACTTGCCCATGGGCTGAAGTTTGCCACGCACTTCTGATCTAGAATAGTCCTGCTCATTTACAGTAGTCTTTTCTCTCTGTCTCTCTCTTTCTCTCTCTCTGTCTCTCTCGAAGTGTCTAAGTCAGTGTTCTTATAGAATGCCTTACTTCCTACTTATTCATTTTGTCATTCAACTTTTTTTGTTCCTCTGTTTCCTGTAAGATGAAAGGTAAGTCTAGAGATCTCATTAGATTCACATTAAACATTTTTGGCAAGAATTGTTTGTAGGTGAATTTTTTAACAAGTTTTGCCCAAGGGGCAGAAGGAGAGATTTTTAGAGGATAGAGATTTATGGATGATACTCAAGTGTATAGTATAAGGGATCCAACATCTGAGAAAGGTGTGACCAAAACAAAGGGAGTGACAGAAAATATTCTTAGTTCCTAGAGACTAGAAGAATTTTAGTTTTCATGGAGCAGTGCCTGTCTGTTGACCACTCATCAATGAACACATTGCACTCAGAGTACTCAGTCTGATTGGCTACTGAAATTCTGGCTTCTAAAAAATTTAACTAAACATCTTTCTGTTTTCTCCTAAATAAAGCAATTCTTAAAACTCTGGTTCCTGGGTTGTTTTTGTATTGTTTTGTTTTTCTTCATAGGGTCAGCTCTAAACACAACTTCCATTGATAAGTCAGGGGAGCACATGGCTTACACAATGACTTCTCAATTCATTATTAAATACAGTTGACCTTTGAGCAACAAAGGGGTTAAGGGACACCAACTCCCCCACGCCCAGCATAGTCAAAAATCTACATATAATTTTGACTTCTCAAAAACTTAACTACTAATAGCCAGAAGTAGTTAAGTTCTAACCAGAAGCCTTACATAACAGTTGATTAACACATATCTTTTATGTATTATGTATTATATACTATATTATAATAAAGTGAGTTAAAGAAAATGTTATTAAGAAGATCATAAGGAAGATAAAATATATTTACTATTCATTAACTAGAAGTAGATCCTCATAAAGCTCTTCATCCTTATCCTTTACACTGAGGAGGAAGAAGCGTTGATCTTGCTGTTGTAGGGGTGGCAGAGGGGGAAGAAAATTTGCGTGTAAATGGACCCATGCAGTTCACACTCATATTGTTCAAGGGTCAACTGTATTCTGTTTTATGATTTCTGAAAAAGGCTCATTTGGTCTTTTTTTGTAATGAGGTAAAAATATGTCACCATCAGTTGCTTTCTGAATGGTTTTTTGTTCTCTACATGGGGACTATTATTTTTATAACATGTCTAGTCTTAGTAGTATTCTTTTAAATGCTCTACATAGGCTCCATCACTGTTATAACTGGCCTACATCTAGATTAAACAAGCTGAGACTTACATTTAAAGGGTTGTTTTTTTGGTATCCTTTTCCAAGCACAGACTTTAGGGAAACCTAAGTAGGAAAAATGACATCAGAATAATTCCACTAGTCACCTGCCAGAACACAAAAGAAAAAGGAATAAGTCTACTGGTCATTGGTAATTAGGGCCTTTCATCTGTGCAGTTAAAAGAGCTATAAAAACATTATCTCATAATTCTCACATGGCCCTCTGAAGTGAGCAGGCAAATAACTATAACCCTAATTATAGAAGTAGTTTGTGGTCTTTAAAGAGGTTAGAATCTCTTTCACATAGAGTTAAAATCAAAGGTGGGGACGAATTTTAAAAACTGTTTCTGAATCTTTCTAACTCTCTTAAGTCCACAGTTGCTGTTTTAGAACTATAAGGATTGTTACAGTTTGAATTTTTTTTTTTTTTGAGACGGAGCCTTGCTCTGTCACCCAGGCTGGAGTGCAGTGGCGCGATCTCTGCTCACTGTAAGCTCCACCTCCTGGGTTCACACCATTCCTCTGCCTCAGCCTCCCCAGCAGCTGGAACTACAGGCGCCCACCGCCACACCCGGCTAATTTTTTGTATTTTTAGTAGAGACGGGGTTTCACCATATTAGCCAGAATGGTCTCAATCTCCTGACCTCGTGATCCACTTGCCTCGGCCTCTGAAAGTGCTAGGATTACAGGCGTGAGCCACCATGCCTGGCTTATAGTTTGAAACTTTTTCTAGACGAAAGATAAAAACATGGCTGGGCATGGTGGCTCATGCCTATAATGCCAAAACTTTGGGAGGCCAAGGTGAGAGGATCATTTGAGCCTAGGAGTTTGAGACCAGCCTGGGCAATAGAGTGAGACCCCATGTCTCTATAAAAAATTTTTAAGAAAATGAGGCTGGGCGTGGTGGCTCACGCCTGTAATCCCAGCACTTTGGGAGGCCGAGGCGGGCAGATCACGAGGTCAGGAGATCGAGACCATCCTGGCTAACATGGTGAAACCCCGTCTCTACTAAAAAAATACAAAAAATTAGCGGGGCATGGTGGCGGGCGCCTGTCCCAGCTACTCAGGACGCTGAGGCAGGAGAATGGCGTGAACCCGGGAGGCGGAGCTTGCAGTGAGCCCAGATCGTGCCACTGCACTCCAGCCTGGGCGACAGAGCAAGACTCTGTCTCAAAACAAAACAAAACAAAAACAAAAAAATTTTTAAGAAAATGAGCCAGGCGTGGTGGCACACACCTAGTCGCATCTACTGGGGAGGGAAAAGGTGTGTGGGGGTTGAGGTGGGAGGAGCGCTTGAGCCCAGGAGGTGGAGGCTGCAGTGAGCCATGATCACACTGCTGCACTCCAGCCTGGGATACAGAGCAAGATTCTGTCTCAGAAAACAAAAAAGATAAAAACATGAAATTAAAATTTCTCTTCTGTGGCCGGGCGCGGTGGCTCAAGCCTGTAAACCCAGCACTTTGGGAGGCCGAGGCGGGCGGATCACGAGGTCAGGAGATGGAGACAATCCTGGCTAACACGGTGAAACCCTGTCTCTACTAAAAATACAAAAAAAATTAGCCAGGCCTGGCGGCGTGCGCCTGTAGTCCCAGCTGCTGGGAAGGCTGAGGCAGGAGAATCGCGTGAACCCGGGAGGCGGAGCTTGCAGTGAGCAGAGATCGCGCCACTGCACTCCAGCCTGTATGACTGAGCAAGACTCCGTCTCAAAAAAAAAAAAAAAAATTGTCTTCTGTTTCTGTTAGTGCCTTTCATGTTCGACTAAGCATTTCTGGTAGGTGCTTAATAAATACTTAATGATAATGGCCCCTCTCATCAAAAATATTTAAGACTTTACAAAAAACAATGGACACACTACCATTTATTATTTATAACCTAAATGTCCTCAATGTGAATAGTGCTTTGTTCTTAAATGTTCCCCAGAACTAGACAGTGAACCTAGGATCCAGAACTTATTTTGGGTGCAGTTTACTTATACTGTTAACTCTTTAATAAAGACAATTTCTATATGCAAAACAGCAATATAATATTGGAAGAATTTCTTTTTTGTTTTTGTTTTTTTTTTTAATTTGAGATGGAGTCTCCCTCTGTTGCCCAGGCTGGAGTGCGGTAGTGCGATCTCAGCTCACTGCAGCCTCTGCCTCTCAAGTAGCTGGGATTACAAGCATGTGCCACCATGCCTGGCTAATTTTTGTATTTTTAGTAGAGACAGGGTTTCACCATGTAGGCCAGGCTGGTCTCAAACTCCTGACCTCAAATGACCTGCCTGCCTTCGCCTCCCAAAGTGCTGAATTACAGGTGTGAGTCACTGCACCTGGCTGATATTGGAAGAATTTCTGAATAATGTTCTCCAAACAGCAAAATGTGTTTTTAAAGCTTCAACAAAATTATTGAATGATAATAGATTTCAGTTTTTCTGAAATTCTTCATAATTTTTGTTCATATACCCTAAAGTCTTAATGATTTGGAGGTAGAGTCCGTGAGGGTCACATGGCT
This sequence comes from Homo sapiens, assembly GCF_000001405.40. Lineage (NCBI taxonomy): Eukaryota > Metazoa > Chordata > Mammalia > Primates > Hominidae > Homo > Homo sapiens. The sequence continues at coordinate 62,087,299 of NC_000002.12, forward strand.
GCTTCAGGATTTATCAAAGAAAGACCTGAATGCAACTGGAGGGTAGATAACAAATCCTCATATTAGAAAACTCTACTTGGCATACTTTTAGAAAAACAGGACACAATGTTATTTTCAAACAGTCTTCTGAGATAAAGGTATTTTCCTCATTAAAAACCTTGATAAGTGGGGGCATGGTGGCTCATGCCTATAATCCCAGCACTTTGGGAGGCTAAGGCAGGTGGATCACCTGAGGTCAGGAGTTTGAGACCAGCCTGGCCAACATGACGAAACCCCGTCTCTACTAAAAGTACAAAAATTAGTCAGGCATGGGTGGCAGGAGCCTGTAATCCCAGCTACCTGGGAGGCTGAGTCAAAAGAATTGCTTGAACCAGGGAGACGGAAATTGGATTGAGCTGAGATCATGCCATTGCACTCCAGCCTGGGCAACAAGAGTGAAACTCCCTCTCAAACAACAACAAAAACCTTGATAAATTTCATAAAAATGCCTTCTGATGCATCCACCATGTGTTAGTCCATATGTTAGTAGGGAGATAATATCCATGTTTTCTAATAAGAAATTGGAGACGCTTTGCCTTACCCTCAAAATTCATTAAAATGTAGTCTATACTCACTGTCTCTACTTTTTCACTTCCATTTACTCCTGAGTCTCAGGGGTAACCATCTTCTTCCTCACACTGTTTTTCTTGAACTGTTCTGGCAAAAGTCATGAATAACATTTTAACTACCAGAGTCCGCATCCTCTTTTATTTCTCATCCAATTCACTTACATTTGAAACTTTGACCTCTCCTTCCTACTTTGACTTTGATACTACTCTCTCCTGTTTCCTCTTCCTTTCTTTTTTTCTGTCTCCTTCATTGATGTCTTCCTCAGTACTTCATTACTTGTCTTATAAATATACTTCCAGCCTTAGCTTTCTTCTTTTTTCTCTGGACTTTCACTTGAAAATCGTATCCATCCTCCATCCCCCACTATCTTTGCTTTCAGTTCCTTGTGAGCTGCTTCCAGATTCATGTCTTTAGCTCTCCCTTTTTCTCAAAAACTCAGATCTACATGTTTTAACTGCATCGTAAGCACTGATGAATAAATGTACTGTGGGCACTTTCAGCTCAATATGACATTTTTACTTCAAATATGTTTTTCCCCATTTCTTGTTTCAGTTAATGGCATTGCGATCAAACTTATAATCCAGGCTGGAAATATAAATGGTCTTCATTACTTCTCTCTCCCTTATCTACAGTCCATTTGATTACCTAGTCCTATATGTCTACAGTATTTTGTGTACCTACCCATTTACTCCCATGGCTACTACCCTAGATCAAGTCCTCTTTTCCTGGTTTCTAATCATTTACCTCTAGTCCTTCACATTGCTTTCTGAAATATATACCTGACCATTTGACAACTCTTTAATGATGTCCACGAAAAGAGCCAAACTCTGTAAAATATTTGAAGAGATTTATTCTGAGCTAAATATGAGTGATCATGGCCCCTGACACAGCCTTCAGGAGGTCCTGAGAACATGTGCCCAAGGTCGTGGGGGTACAGCTTGGATTTATGTATTTTAGGGAGGCATGAGACTTAATCAAATACATTTAAGAAATACATTGGTCTGGTTCAGAAAGGCGGGACAACTCAAAGAGGGGGAGAAGGGGGTTGCAGGCTATAGGTAAATCTAAACATTTTCTGGTTGACAATTGGTTAAGTTTATCTAAGGATCTAGGATCCCTAATAAGGAAATGTTCAGGTTAAGATAAAAGATTGTGGAGACCAAGGTTCCTTTGAAGTCTTATAGTGGCTGCTCTTAGAGACAATAGATGACAAATGTTTCCAAAAGGTACTAGACTTTTAGCTAATCTCTTCAGGATTGGGAGGGCTTGGAAGAAAAAGATCTAGCTATGTTAATAGAGATTCTTTACAGATGCAGATTTTCCCCTACAAGGATGACTTTGCAGGGCCATTTTCTCTTTCTTTTCTTTCTTTCTTTTTTTTTTTTTTTTCTTTTTTTCAGTCGAGTCTCACTCTGTTGCCCAGGCTGGAGTGCAGTGGCGTGATCTTGGCTCGTTGCAACCTAAGCCCCCCGGGTTCAAGTGATTCTCCTGCCTCAGCCTCCCGAGTAGCTGGGATTACAAGCGCGCTACCACATCCGGCTAATTTTTGTATTTTTAGTAAAGATGGGATCTTGCCATGTTGGCCAGGCTGGTCTCGAACTTCTGACCTTAAGTGATCACCTGCCTCGGCCTCTCAAAGTGCTGGGATTACAGGCATGAGCCACTGCACCTGGCCTGCAGGGCTGTTTTCAAGATATGGCAGGGAAACATGTCTTGGGGTTAAATATTTTTTAGGTTTTTCCTTGTCTCATAATGTTATGCCAGAGTCAGATTGGAATTTAAGTCACAATATATAGGGTTAAATAAAACCCATCTGATGAGAATTCATGGTTTGTAGGGCGTGACTCCCAAGACTCCTTTGAAAGGAATTTGGGCAAGATAAAAAAATGAGAGCTTTGTCCTCGGTCTCCCCTCTTGGCCAAAAAGCATTCCTCAGAATGCATATGCAGGCCAACTAACAGCAGCAGGTCCCACAGCGCTAAGAAGGCTCATTCCTAGAGTTGTCTGATTTGGTCATTTGGCAAGGTCCCACAGCACTAGGAAGGCTCATTCCTAGAGTAGTCTGGTTGGTAGCAGTAGTTTTAAATACCTGTGATTTGGATCACTGGGAGAGGACACAGTCTAACCTGATGTAATAGCCAATAGTTTAAGGGGTGAGATGGAGTCAGGCCTAGGGTTTAGTCTAAAAAAAAAATCCCAGGTCATATTTATTTTGTGAGCTACCATGATCCAGTTCTTTAATTGTGCCTTTTCCTTTTGCTATATCTGGCATAACATTTACAAGAGATATATAATCCTAATACAGTGACAAACACCATAAAGATAGCAAAGATTAGGCATCCAAGGTTATAGGTAGAGTCAGAGGGCAGTAAACAACCTGACCAGCCAAAAAAACCACTGCATGCTTTATCATATTCTTTGATTAGACTCACAATGTGATTAGCCTCCTTATCAAGGGTCATTTGAACCCTATGATAGATCTTATTTGAGGATTGTAGGACTGACACTAAATCAGAATCCAATACATTTAATGTCTCTTCTGGCCAATTTGTCTCCATAGATATAACATCCTGAGGAGGGTATAAATCAAATGCAAGGAACGCCTGGTCCTCAATGTCTAAATTGTCACAGGACTTGTTAACAGTGGACAAATCTATTTTTCCAACCACTTTTGTATTGCACCATATACTGGTATTTGGAAGAGAAAAGGAAGTTTTGTTACAGGAGAAGTCATATAATTCTACAATGTTGTTTTTTTGTCCCTCCCAACAGAAGCGGCCCTTCCCCGTATACCAGATGTTATGTCCCGTTGGATATTAGAGGCCAAGTTTGAGAAGAATCAGGGTTCCAGGTAGTTTGAGGGCATAGCCATTCTCCTTTTCTGTTTTCACAATCTGAAAGGGAGATGGGATGCCATGTGTTATTATCGGCTAAAATAGCCCACCTATTTCCCAGGGGGAGTATTCTTGTATTGTTTATAATAGTCCCAATGCCTGCCAGTTGGACAACGGAGTACCTTTGAGCCTCATTTAACTTCGGTGCCTGTGCTCTGAGAATACAATGTTTAAGGTCACATTTACCGTCCAAAAATCTCCATAAGCGTGGTGGACCATATGTTTTCCACAGGTGTTTGGATTGTGCCTCAGAACTGAGGATTGTAGGCCATTGCTTCATAGCCACCTCAGATTCCATTTGTAGTACAATAGACATGAGCCCGTGTTGGGTAAGAGTACATGTTTGTTCCCATCTTTGGGTTTGGAAGTATGTTTTCATGGTTTGTCTGGTTTCTTCTATCCATTTGATGAGTGCTGTATTATCTTTTAAAGCAGCTTCCCATCCTTTTCCCTCTTCCTGGAATAGCATTCCTTCAATGTGGCCTATTTTTGATAGGGAATTTTTTTCTAAAGAATGTCTCTCCTCATTAGTCATGAACTCGGCTTGCCCCAATATGCCTAACCCAGCTCCAACTCCTCCAGTGAGGTCACACTTTAGTTTTTTGGGTGGCCAATTTTGGTGTATCCACCAGGAATGCTGTTGCCATTGTATACTGATGGCATTTGTACAATTTGGATAAATGGAGTCAATCCAGAACTGCTGGGTATCCCAGACAATTGTTAGGTGAGTGGAGGGTACATCTAAGTATGCCCATGTCTGGGTATTCCATAATGCTTCCCAGAGGCGCCCTGGTCTTAGGGTGGAATTTGTGCTGTCAGGGACCTCTGTCCACCACTTGACCATAAATAGTTCTTTAAGGGCAGTGTCAGTGTGGTTGGTGCTGGATAGGAGGATCCAGCCACAAGCACGGGGCTGGTGGTTATTTGGGCAGGCCATGCTATGGCAGTTTATACAGGAGGCAGCTAGATTTTTCCCATTGTAACCAGGCAGTTGTCTCAACTGATAATCCCCAATATCTATTGTTATGCAGTGTTCTACCTGGTTAGACCCCCTCAGTGATCATTTGGGAGGCATTGTTAGGCAAGTATTCCTGCAGGGCATCATATTTGGTTGCAGCCCTATAATAGAGGTACCCTAAAAACTGGACACCTCGGGGAATGTTTAGAATGGTGCTGTTCCATATAACACTCTTCATTACATCCTGATCTGTATCATACCAAATGATATGGGCTTTGCCTGCAGGAAGATTGCTGAGGTTTGCAGGGGACCAGGAGAAATTTTGAGGTCTGAAGAGAGAAGGAGTGTGGGGTAGGCAGACAGAAGAGATTGTGGAAATGAGAATGAACAAGTAAAACAGTTTCCTGGCTTTAGCAAGGGAATGTATAGCTGCACCCATTTAGAAAGTTATACCAAGGAAGAGAGTGCATCGATCCCAAACAGCTTCTTAGGGGTCTCAGTTAAAACATTCAGGGTTTTAGCAATATTCTATAGCAAGGAAAGTAAGAATGGGAGTTATTTGAGGGTTCATGAGGACTGGGCCTGGTCCAGCGTCTCTGGAAGTATGTCTGCTTTCATTGTAGCTCTAGAGACTGGCTGAGCCTCCAGTGTTCTCTTGATTTGCAGGCAGGTGTCAGAGACTGGTTCAGAAGTCCAGGGGCGGTCAGGAAAGTGGTCAAGTGCTTGTTTTAGGAGTGAAATGTGAATCCAAGAAGTGACTCCCTTTAACTTTGCAGTACGAGAGTTGATTGAAAGCCCCTGATAAGGTCCTTTCCAGTGGGGTTGTAGGGAATCCTTCAGTTGAAGTCTTTTCCAATATACAAAGTCACCTGGCTGTAATCCGTGGTCTTTGGGGTCGTCAGCCCCCGGGAGCTCACTATGGAAAGATTGTGTTAACAGCTTTGTTTTATTTGTTAAGGTTTTGAGGAGCCCTTGACAATAATGCAGTATTTCCCCTTTGAGTAAGGCCAGTTTGTATAAGCCCTTAGCCAACCTCATAGGTCTCCCTGTTACGATTTCACAGGGCGATAAATAATGTTTTTGAAAAGGAGCGGATCTAAGACTAAGCAAGACCAGTGGGAGGGGTTTTGGCCAAGGGAGGTTAAAAGCCTCTGTCAACTTAGCTAATTGAGTTTTTATTGTGCTATTTGTCCGTTCCACCAACCCAGAGGATTGGGGATGGTAGGCACAATGGAAATGTTGTATTATAGGCCAGATTTTGCAAATGGATTGAACAACTTGTCCAGTAAAATGAGTCCCATGGTCACTGTGCATTTCAGAAGGAATTCCCCAAACTGGAATGATTCTAACAAAATTTTCCCAACTGTTAAGGTGGTAGCCCTCCAACAAGGAAATCTTTCTACTCAATGAGAAAACATACAAACTAAGACCAGCATGTATTTGAAATTTTGTGATGGCGGCATCTGGATAAACTCCAACTGCCATACTTTAAAAGGTCCTATTGGCAAAGGAAAATGACCTTGGGAGCCATGTAAGGGCTTGCTAGGGTTAGGTTTTGGGCATATAGTACATCAAGCGTATACCTTTTGGGCTACCATGGGGGATGGTTTCCAAAAGTATTGTTTTCCCATGATACTATTTTTTCAGGGGCCCAATGAGTCATTTTGTGAATAAACTGAAGGAAAGGCAATTGTGCACCTATGGGAACTATGGGTTTTTTGTTAGACCCTATCCATAATTACTTACTTGGGTCAAACATAACTCCCTTCTGTTTCTCTTGAGGGGTAGATGCTTACTGATATTGTAAAAAAATGTTAGTGAGGGTATTTGTAGGACGAAAGGTACATTGCCGTACAGGACAGGCCATCTTTCCTAGGGCAGCATTCTTTGCTGCAGCATCAGCTAGATTATTTCATTTTGCTTCTCGAGTGTTATCCTTTGAGTGCCCAGAAACTTTTATGATTGCAAGTTGATTTGGCATCTGAATTGCTTCTAGTAACTCCGAGACTTGGTGCCCATTTCATATGGGTTATTCAGATGAGGTAAGAAATCCTCTCTGTTTCCATAGCATGCCAAAATCATGGGCTACTCCAAAAGCATATTGGCTCTCAGTAAATATATTTGCCACTTTTCCTTTAGCTAATTTACAAGCTCTAGTTAATGCTATTAATTCAGCCATCTGGGCTGGTTTGATTCCTTGGAGTTGGACACTTTTGATTATGTCTGTTATGGAAGTGATGGTGTATCCTGCCCAGTAATGCCCCTGGTTGTCCCTTAAATAAGAACCATCCGTGAACCAAATTAACTCAGCATTCTCTATGGGAGTTTCCTGTAATTTTTCCCTAGGGGAGAGTAAGATATTAGTTAGTAGATTGCAGTCATATTCGTCTTCCTCTTGTTGTTCACCTGGAAGGGGGAGCCGGGTAGCAGGGTCAAGAGTGTTACAGTGCTTTAAAATGATGTTGGGGGCAGAAAGCAGGAGTACCTCATAAGAGGCAAAGCAGCTAACAGAATAGTGTTGAGTGTAGTGAGAGCTTAGAAGAGATTTCACAGAGTTGGGGGCATAGACGGTCAGAGGGGACCCTAGGACAAATTCTTTGATGTTTTTGCATAAGGTGGCTGCAGCCAGTATAGCCCTCAGTCAAGGAGGGTGCCCCCCTTGCAACTGGATCTAACCGTTGACTGAAATAACCAGTTGGTCTGTGATTGTCACCATATTTTGTTGTCGTTGTTGTTTTACAAAAGGAAATTTATTTCAAAAGCATGAGGGGACATTTACATTTAAACAAGGTGATAAACAGGTGTGTTGCAAAAGAAAAAAAATCCACAGCATTAGGTTTTTTATTCAAATTCGGAAGCAAAAATAACCTAAATTGTGCACTATTACCTTAGGAAAGGGAAGGGGAAGAGTGAGGGGTAAGGGAACAGTCAATCAACTGAGTATCAAACTTGAGAGAATAAAGTCACTTCTGCTCAGCTTTGAGTTTACAAATATGCTTATAAAAAGGAAAAGTGGAAAAATGATACTTAATGTTCAAATTTATTTGGCTGTAGTCTCAATACAATTTCTGTACTTGAAATGGCTTTGGGCCACTGGCTGATCTATCTCTGAGGTCCAGATTAGCTGGTCAGTTTTCAAATGGCAATTTTATATTTCTTTTCTGTTCAGATTCCAAGGGAGTTTAGGTTCAGCTCATAGTCTTTTGGATTGTTTAGAGATTATTGCCACCACTCCATAGTCAAGCTGACCAACTTCTTTTGCTCACTTGTATCATTCTAGCCTTTCGGAACTAATTTCCCCATACACATGTGCAATAATTCTCACAAAGGAGTTTTGCTTCTTCTGCAGTGTAGAGGAAATGGTAATGAAGACACCTGCATTGGAATCACAAACTTTTCCTCAAAAAATACATCAAACTACTAGAAATGTCTTTCAGGCATTTGATTTGAATAGCAAACTTGGGAGGGAAGATTAACTGTGAAACAAAAATATGCGAAACATTCAAATGCAGAACAAAGGGTCTATGCTACTAAAAATGCCCATGACATTAAACACTCCACAAACCTCCCATCTGTTGTTTTAACCTAAAAATTCTATTGGCTAACTTATACAATAATTTTGATTAATAACCTGAGAAGTCAAAATCTTGAAAGTAGCAAATGCAAACCGAGAGAGCATCCCGTACTTATTGGTACCATGTTATCAAGTCACTTTTTCTGGGTAGCCCTGGTTATTAAATCTCCAAATTCTAAATTACACTATCCCTGCCTGTAGCAACCTATATGTACATCAGATTCAGTATTTTGGCTGTATGTCATCAATAGCAATCTCCAATTTATCTTTGAAAATGCAGCCTTTATTTTTAGTTTTAAATGACAATAATCGTATAAGTGCAACTGACTCAGAATCCCTTGCTACTGTTAGTGAAAACCTAAATAACAAGATAATAATGGATTCAGCCTCAAAAGGATAATCACCAGATCAGACTACCCATTCCTGGAATTAAAAAAAATGGTTTATGTTGTGTAGTCAAGTTTCACAGCATGCATATATATATATATGCATATCAGGGTTATATATACACACAGGTATATATAACCCTGTGTGTATATATACACATACACACAGGTATATATAATCCTGTGTGTATATATACATATATATATATATGTATACATATATGTGTGTGTATATAAAAATCTGGGTTATATATACACACACATGCTCGTGTATGTATGTATATTATACATGCACATTTCTATTCAAATAGTAAGATTCCATATTCAAAAGTTTGTATCACAATATATGGAAAAGAGTTAAGTAAGTAGTGCAAAGCAACTAACTTTCTCCTAAAAATGTAATGTCATTCCTACATTTTAAGAAAGCTATGTAAGTATTTTGCTTTTATGACATTAGGTAGGAATGCTGCACCGCTGCCTAGCAGCTTTATTAAAAAACAATGAAAACAAAATGTTAAGATTGACTGTTACTCTTCTCCATATATTGGGCAAAAAACTAAGAGGGAAGAGAAAAATCAGTAACCTTTCAAAACTGATGATCTTTATCAGCAGAACTAGACTGAATTTCACTACATTTTAGAATGAACAGCTTTCACCAACAAGTCACCATGTTTTTGAGTTAATATTCCTAGAGCATTCTCATTTATTTCATGTACAAAGAGGGTAAAAGGAAGACTATGATTGGGATGGCCTAGAACAGGTGCTTGGGTGAGAGCCTGTTTTAGATCTTCTGTGTGTTGTTTTTTTCCCCCCTCTTCCCAGTGGATTGGGTCCAGCTGGGTCTGTTTTAGATTTTTATATAGGGGTTGGGCATTAAGGAGTAGTTTGGAATCCAACTCCTGCCTGTCAACTCTAAGAATCCTATTAATTGTTTTTTAGTTTTGGGCAGGGGAAAGGTCGTAATAGCAGAGATTCTCTCAGAGTTTATTAATAGCCCCCTTGGGGAAATCATATGTCCCAAATACTTAACTTGGGGAGGCAAAATTGTAATTTATCTTTTGACACTTTGTGTCCCCTAAAACGAAGCCATTGTAATAGGTGGACAGTGTCTTCTCTGCATTTTGGTAGGGAGGATAAGCACAACAATAAATCACATACTGAATTAGAGTAGATTCATTTGGAAATTCAATGTCATCTAAATCTGGCTTTAGTATTTGAGAAAAATAAGTAGGACTTTCTGAGTAGCCCTGGGGTAAGACTGTCCACATGTATTGGTGATTTGCCCAAGTGAAAGCAAAAAGATACTGGCTATTTTGCTCCACAGGTATACTGAAGAATGCACTACATAAATCAGTAACAGAGAAGTGGCTGGCAGTGATAGGAATATTGGACAGTAAGGTGTGGGGGTTAGGAACAACAGGGTGTCTAGGAATTATTATTTTATTTATAGCTCTTAGGTCTTGAACAAGTCTCCAGCTTGTCCCATTTGGCTTTTTAACTGGGATAATTGGTGTATTCCAAGGGCTGGTGCAGGGTATTATAAGTCCTTTGTCTAAATCGTCCTGAATGACTGATTTGATTCCTAGTAAGGCTTCAGGTCTTCGGGGCTATTGCCTTACGTTTGGCAGGGGTTTGGATTTACTTAGGGTTGGCTCTATAGGGACTGCTGACTGAATTCTACCAGTATCTGTGGAAGAGTTTGCCCATAGGGAGTCTGGTACCTTAGGTAAGAAAGGCTCTAATTCTTCCTGTCCAGAATCTTGATTAACTTTCACAAGCATAATGTACATGTGGGCTTTTGTAAGTCTGCATCTCCCAAGTTGAGAATCATTTCTCCCTTCTGTGAAAATGAGATGTGAGCATTATGGGTCTCTAGGAAATCCTGTTGTAGTAGGTGTATGGGGGTACTATCTACTATAAGAAAAAGGTGATGCCTCACTAGTCCTCCTAATTAAAATTGAAAGGGATTTGATTTAAAGGCTATAATAAGAGAGTTTGAAACCCCTACCATTTGGACTTTTTCTTTACTCCAAGGGAGAGGGTTTTTAATCTAGGTAGGGATGAGGACCGACAGTATAGCGCTGGTGTCGACAAAGGCTCTGGTATTTTCCCCATTTATGGCTATTTCTACTTCTCCTAAAGCATTAGTTAGAAGTAGGGGGGAAACCCTCTCTGTTCCCTCAGAGCATCCCTATTCTGGTTTTTGAGTTGTTCTGGTGCCTTCCTCTGGGGCCCTTTGCCCCCTTTGTGCAAGCACCCGTTTAAGTTTTTTGCATTCTTTTTTTAAAATATTCTTTCTTTTTGCAATAGTGGCAAATTGCTTCCTCTTGGGGTCGCTTAGATCTCTGGGGACCATGGGACCCTTGCAAACTCCCAACTTGGTTTCTAAGTTGTTTTAGTTGTAAACTCATAATTTTAGAGACTGTTTCCTTTCCTTTCTTTCTTTTTTTTTTTTTTTTTTGAGACAGAGTCTCTTGCCTAGGCTGGAGTGCAATGGCGCGATCTTGGCTCACTGCAACTTCTGCCTTCTGGGTTCAAGCAAGATTCTCCTGCCTCAGCCTCCCGAGTAGCTGGGATTACAGGCATGCGCCACCACACCCAGCTAATTTTTTATTTTTAGTAGAGACAGGGTTTCACCATATTGGCCTCCCAAAATGCTGGGATTACAGGTGTGAGCCACCGTGCCTGGCCTCCTTTTCTTTCTTAATGATTGTGACAGCTAGGTCAGCTAGGGTTGATGTCAGCTAGGGTTGACTAAGTGACTGGTGGGCAAGGAAGCCCAAGCCACATTATTCCTCTTTATTAGGGTTGCTAACTCCTTATCTAAACCTTGCATAAACCCAGAATTTAGTAAGATGTCACTTACTTTCCCCAAGGGTATTCCTGAAAACTGTTTGAATGTCTTTTCAAACCTGATATAAAAGTCAGGCACAATTTTGTTTGGGCGTATTTTACATTGTTTCACCTTTGCCCAATCTGTAACCGTGGAGAATATCTGTGGTACAGTTTCACAGAGGCGATTGCAGAGCTCTCCATTTCTGTCTTCCAGCTGCATCTATTTTGTCAAAATCTTCTAAAGGCTGTTTCCAATCTGCTACTCTAAATCATTCTTCAGCTTTGTTCTGGGGACCAGTAACTCAATCAGCTGACACATGTCAGAGAACCCTGGATCATAAGTCTTAAGTGTTAATTGGAATTCCTTAGCAAACTTAAAGGGATCTTCAGTCGGACTGGGGAATCCAGGTACCAGGGCCTTTAACTCTGATTTGGTCCAGGGGCTATACATTATGTTAGGATCCCCTCTGCCTGTAGGTTTTACCCTAAAAGGAGCAACTACTCTATTATTTTATCCAGCTATTTCTGGTCCCCCTGTGGCTTGAGGCAAGGGAGTAGGGGAGGGAGAAGGAAAAATGAAATTGTCTGGACAAGGAAGTTCAGAGAGAGCAGAGGGTCAGGAGGAGCAGAAGGGGAGACAGTTTCTGGAGCCTTCCTGATTTTAGAAGTGGCGAGACAGTTTCAAAATTTTTTTTAACTTCCTAAAGAGAGGCAAGCTTATCGTTTCCTCTTTTTGATGATTCTAGATGCCACCTAAGTACGATTCCCATTCATTTTCTTTGATTCGGGAGCCTCAGTTTTCTAATCTAGCACACAAGAAAACCAATTTAGGGACATCAAAAGTTCCCCATTTTGGAAACCTTAGACCTAGGTCATCTTTAGTAAGATCTTCCTATTTACATAAATACTCGCAAGTCAAGGCACCATAATTATTAAACATAAACCCAGCTGTGGTGCCCACTGGGGACCGCTCTCCTTGCCTTTCCTCTCTTTTGGAGGGTTTATTTGCTATCTCTCTCTTTTTTTTTTTTTTAAGAGCAATTGACCTGTGGCCTAAGGCTTTTGTGTGGTGGATCAATATGTGCTGCTTGTGGGCAGCACTTTACAGTGTTTCAACACTGAGTCGTTTCTACCCTCTTACGTGTCTCAGTTTCTCTCTTCAGAGGTCTGTCACCTCTGAGAGGGCTCAAAACACCAGGCGACCAGCCCTTATATGCGTTTCCTGGACAAGCCTTCTTAATATTTGTTGGGGAGTTTCCTGTAGGGCCGCTGCATGTTGCGGAGAGTCAACCTCCCAGACACTCCCACGAGGCCCCTGGTCACCCAGGGGCGCCTTCCAGCTGGGAGGAGCAAAATGCCCTTTCTCTTCAAAGCTGAGGAACTCACTCTCTCATTTGCTTATGAAAAATAATAGTTCAGTTCCTCACGCAAAGTGCACACAGACAAGCCAATTGAGATTAATTTTGAGAGAAAAGGCAATGGAGAATGACTGTTTTGAATACACCTCTGAAACCAAAATTAAGATTTTAACCAACTTCCTAGGAGAAAAGAGAGAGAGAGAAAAAAAAAACAGCTCAGAATAAATCAAGGACCATCAACCAAAATGGGAGGTCCAGGACTCAGGAGGACTTACCAGTTTCACCAGAGGAGAAGCTAGAACTTGGTGAGGTTTCACTGGGCCCCTGCTAGTACCTTAGCTAGGGTTTTAGGCAACTCCTTCAGGGTCCTGAGTCTTCTCTGTGGCCCCACGTGTTTGGGCACCAGATTATTGTTGAAGAGTCAAACACTGTAAAATATTTGAAGAGATTTATTCTGAGCCAAATATGAGTGACCGTGGCCCGTGGCACAGCCCTCGGGAGGTCCTGAGAACATGTGCCCAAGGTGATCAGGGCACAGCTTGGTTTTATACATTTTAGGGAGGTATGAGACTTCGATCAAATACATTTAAGAAATACATTGGTTTGGTTCAGAAAGGCAGGACAACTCAAAGGCAGGAGGCGGGGAAGGGGACAGTAGGGGCAGGGAGGTACTTCCAGGCTATAGGTAAATTTAAACATTTTCTGGTGACAATTGGTTGAGTTTATCTAAGGACCTAGGATCCACAGAAAGGAAATGTCCAGGTTAAGGTAAAAGATTGTGGAGACCAAGGTTCTTTTGAAGTCTTATAGTAGCTGCCCTCAGAGACAATAGATGAAAAATATTTCCTATTCGGATCTTTAAAAGGTACTAGACTTTAGCTAATCTCTTCAGGATTGGGAGGACCTGGAAGAAAAAGATCTAGCTATGTTAATAGAGATTCTTTACAGATGCAGGTTTTCACCCTACAAAGGATGGCTTTGCAGGGACATTTTCAAGATATGGCAGAGAAACATGTTTTGGGATTAAATATTTTGATTTTTTTGCCTGTCTTATAATGTTATGCCAGAGTCTGATTGGAAAGTAAGTCATGACATATAGGGTTAAATAAAACCCATCTGATGAGAATTTATGGTTTGTAGGACATGACTCCCCAGATCTCTTAGATAGGAATTTGGGCAAGATTTAAAAAAAAAAAAAATGAGAGCTTAGTCCTCAATGGCTTTTCTGGGCTTTTATTCACAACACCTCTGACACCAAAAGTATAGGTTTTTTCTCCCCTGCATGCCAACCAATTCTCTGATTCTCTGAATACCAACTGGATGTTCTACAATTAAATTCTGATACTACCCAGAGTTAGTGGAGACCCCACAGGTCTTAACCCCATTTTGGATGCCAGTCAAAAGTATTGAGTCCCTGCCAGGCATGGTGGCTCACACCTGTAATCCTAGCACTTTGGAAGGCCGAGATGGGAGGATCACTTCAGCCCAAAAGTCAAGACCAGCCTGGGCAACATAGCAAGACCCCATCTCTACAAAAAATTTAAAAAATTAGCTGGGCATAGTGGCAGACACCTGTAGTTCTAGCTATTCAGGAGGCTGAGACAGGAGAATCACTTGAGCTCAGAATGTCTAGGCTGCAGTGATCCCTGATTGCACCACTGCACTCCACCCTGGGTGACAGAACAAGACCCTGTCTCTCTCTCTCTCTATATATATATATATGGTCCCCAGGTTACCCACACTTATATCTAGCTACAAATTGGGTAGTCTCATGATCCCTACCCCCCAGTTCAATAATATGCTAGAATGGCTCATGAAGTAAAGTTCTTTACTTACCAAGGTATGGAGGAGGAACTCCAAAAGCTTCCATGCCCTCTCCAGGTACACCACCCTTTCAGCACCTCAGTGTGCTCGTCACCTTGGTAGCTCTCTAAACACTGTTGTTTGGGGTTTTTATGGTGTCTGTCTCATGTAGGCACCATTGATTAAATCATTGGCCATTGGTGATTAACTTAATCTCCATCTCCTCTCCTCTCCCTGAAGGTCAGCCTATAGTACTGAAATTTCTAACACTCAAATCATGCTTTGGTCTTTCTGACTACCAGCCCCATCTTGAAGCTATCTAGGGGCCCCCAGCCACCACTCATCTCATTAGCGTACAAAAGACACTCTTATCATGAGATTCCAAGGATTTTAGGAGCTGTGTGTGAGAAACCATAAACAAAGACCATACATATTTCCTATTGTATCACAGCTTCCCATCACCTGAAGTATGAAGTCCTAATGCCTTATGACATCTCACGTTGACTATAAATCACCTGGACTCCTCTTCCATGAGACTAGACTTAAATTTATATAAACACCCTCTGTACTATTTTTGTACTTTTGATATTCCCTCTGCTTCAAAATATTCCTATATTTCTTATGAAAATCCTAGTACAGATGCCATTTCCTTCATGAAACTCTTAATTCCTCCTGTCAGACTTAATACGCACTCAAATACCTGAACTAAACATTTTCTCTTTTTTCTGTGTCACTTGGACTGTCTGAATTAAACCTTTTCTATTATATCTTTGACCTTTTACTTCAAATTGTAGTTCATTGTGTATTGCTGGGTCTCAGAAAACAATACCCCAAAATGAAAGCTTCAAAAGCAGAAGTTTTTCTGACCTTCTGCCCCCTGCTCTCCTGTCTCTCAGTCTCATTCTCCCCTAAGGCTAACCATAGCAACTAGAATCCCTCTTCCCCAAGGCAGGTCATAGAAACCAGAACTCCTTGTCCCCAAAGCCAGGCATAAAACCTAAGAGTATTACTCTAACATTCCCTCTGCCTTTGTGTGTAAAAACTGGCCATAAAGAAATTATCTGACCTCCCTTATTTGACTGTAGGCCATAACACCCTGGTTCCACAGAGGGTCCTGTCCCACACCCAGAAGGAAGGAATGCATGCTCAGAGAGGCCAAGAAGAGTTTAGACAGACAGGCCTTGCTGGGTTTCTCCACTTAGTCTATTAGCTTTAGATTCTTTGGTGTTAGACCCTTTTTATCCAATCATATTTCTTTTTCTTTCTTTTTTTTTTTTTTTTGAGACGGAGGCTCGCTCTGTTGCCCAGGCTGGAGTGCAGTGGCGCGATCTCCGCTCACTGCAAGCTGCGCCTCCTGGGTTCAGGCCATTCTCCTGCCTCAGCCTCCAGAGAAGCTGGGACTACAGGTGCCTGCAACCACGCCTGGCTAATTTTTTGTATTTTTAGTAGAGACGGAGTTTCACCATGTTAGCCAGAACGATCTCGATCTCCTGACCTCGTGATCCGCCTGCCGGCCTCCCAAAGTGCTGGGATTACAGGCATGAGCCACTGCGCCCGGCCTCCAATCGTATTTCTATACCTCTTCCATAGTTTGTTGAACCTACACACAAAAATGGAAAATTTCCCCTGTATCTTTGGTTCTCCATTGTAAAGGCTTCTGTGAATACAGGTTAAATAGATTTGTCTGCCTTTTCTTCTATTAATCTGCCCCATGTCAGTGATTTTTTTCAGTGAACTTTCAGAGGGCCCTTGGCCCCTACAGTATGTGGCCCCTACAGTATGTACATCTCTTCCACACTATCATGAGTTTATTTTAGGTGTAGACCGTATATAGAACACAGGCACAATTTTATAACTTAGCATGTAGTCATCTTTGCTTTCAACTTTTAGTTAAATTTTATAATTCACTGGGCAGACCAATTGAGCATTTTCAAAAATTGCTCAGTTCATCTTTATACTACCCCTAAAAAATGACTAGAATAATTTTGCTTCACAGATCATAAAAGCACAGGAAAAAGTTGCTTCTTTATACATGTTTCCTGAAATCAGCAATGTAAACAGAAATGGAACCTTATATCATCTATAGTAAATTATTCTCAATAATTAGAACTGTAATGTGTGCCGTCAGTATTTTTTTTTTTCCAAGACAGGGTCTGGCTCTCTCACCCACGCTGGAGTGCAGTGGCATGATCTCGGCTTACTGCGACCTCTGCCTCCCAGGTTTAAGTGATTCTCCCACCTCAGCCTCCCAAGTAGCTGGGACTGCACACACATGCCACCACACTCGGCTAATATTTGTATTTTTTGTATAGTCAGGGTCTCACTTTGTTGCCCAGGCTGGTCTTGTACTCCTAAGCTCGAGGGATCCACTCGCTTCAGCCTCCCAAAGTGCTAAGATTACAGGCATGAGCCACTGCCCAGCCCATTAGAATTCTTTTTGATGAAGCTTGTTATAGGATAGTAATATGGGTTAGCAATATTCACTGCATCCCTTAGGCTGGGCACAGTGGCTTACGCTTATAATCCCAACACTTTGGGAGACCAAGGCAGAGGATCACTTGAGGCCAGGAGCTCACAGTGAGCCTGGGCAACATAGTGAGACCCCATCTCTACAAAAAGTTTAGAAGAAAACAACAGGCCAGGCGCAGTGGCTCACGCCTGTAATCCCAGCACTTTGGGAGGCGGAGGTGGGCAGATCACCTGAGGTCAGGAGTTCAAGACCAGCCTGACCAACATGGTAAAACCCCATCTCTAATAAAAATGCAAAAATTAGCTGGGCGTGGTGATGGGCACCTGTAATCCCAGCTACTCGGGAAGCTGAGGCAGGAGAATCACTTGAAGCCAGGAGGCAGAGGCAGCAGTGAGTCGAGATCGCGCCACTGTACTCCAGCCTGGGCAACAGAGTGAGACTCCGTCTCAAAAAAAAAAAAAAAAAAAAACAATAACAACAACAAACACATCCCTTACTTTGTTCCATTCTTATGTTCTTCCCACCAGCCAGTAAGTCATCATTTAGAAGTGCCTGTTATGTGCCAGGCACAATGCTAGGTGCTAGAGATAAAACTATAAACAAAACAGAATCTGTCTTCTAGGTTCAAGAAACAGCCATGTAAAGAAAGCAAATTTATGACTGGGCGCAGTAGCTCATGCCTGTAGTCCCAGCACTTTGGGAGGCCGAGGTGGGTGGATCACCCGAGGTCAGGAGTTTGAGACCAGCCTGGCCAACATGGAGAAACCCCATCTCTACTGAAAATACAAAATTAGCCAGGCATGATGGCACCTGCCTGTAATCCCAGCTACTCGGGAGGTTGAGGCAGGAGAATCGCTTGAACCTGGGAGGTGGAGGTTGCGGTAAGCTGAGATCGCACCATTGCACTCCAGCCTGGGCAACAAGAGCAAAACTCTGTCTCAAAAAAAAAAAAAGAAAAAGAAAAAAAAGAAAATTTTATATAACATAATAGTAGATTGAATTATAAACAAATGCTAAGAAAACAGAAAAATCTCTTATTATGGTTGTCAGAATCTGGGCTTAATTGCTTGCTATGAGTTTTAATTTCTATTGAAATCCTTGCTTGTCTGTCACCTTCCTTGCCTATACTAATTTTGTTTGGGGTTCATATTTTGGGTTTCAGATTATTTAGCGATAATATAATTATTAGAAGTAAATAGCATTTATTAAACTTAAATATGATTTATTAAAATATGTTATTAATGCTACATAATATGTAAGTTCTTAGAAAATCATAAGAACATCAGATCTCTGAAACTTCAATTTTTGAGAGTGAGAGGGAGGGGGAGGGATTGCCACTTTTAAATGACCAGATTGGGCTGGGTGCGGTGGCTCACGCCTATAATCCCAGCACTTTGGGAGGCCAAGGCGAGTGGATCACCTGAGGTCAGAAGTTCGAGACAAGCCTGACCAACATGGCAAACCCCCGTGTCTACTAAAAATATGAAAATTAGCTGGGGTGGTGGCAGGCGCTTGTAATCCCAGCTACTTGGGAAGCTGAGGCAGGAGAATCACTTGAACCTGGGAGGCAGAGGTTGCATTGAGTCAAGATTGTGCCACTGCATTCCAGCTTGGGTGACAAGAGTGAAACTCTGTCTCAAAATAAAATAATAAACGACCAGATCTCTCAAGAACTCATTTACTGCCGCAAAGACAGCACCAACCCTCCAACATTGGGGATTACAATTCAACATGAGATTTGGACAGGGACAAATATCCAAACTATGTCAGGGATTATATTTAAAAGACCTGTGAAATCCTTTAGAGAATGAACTTTTTTTTTTCTTCTGAGACAGGGTCTGGCTCTGTCACCCAGGCTGGAGTGCAGTGGTGTGAACATAGCTCACGTCCAGCCTCAAAATCCTGTACTCAAGTGATGCTGTTAACCTCAGACTTCCAATGTGCTGATATTACAGGCATAAGCCATTGTGCCTGGCAGAAAATGAACAATTTTCACTTGGGTGAAACTAATTCTTTATATATGGCACTTTGCTTGGACCAAGGGGCACATGTACATCATTTTTAATCAAATAATCAATTTGTTTATATCAGTACCATTTAATCTTATATGTGTTTGCTAATCTTAAATGGCCATCACTTCTAACATTCTTGGTTTTTAACATTCTCTGTGTTCTACTCAGGGTAGCTTTATTTTCTGCTCTTTCTGAACTACAGCAAAAGATATGTATCTTTGTTTGTCCTACCCTGTCATCTTACCTAAAGGAAGCTACTTTCCCTGTACCCTTGCTGTGTGAATAGTAGAGCATGCCAGCTTTTCAACCCTACCACTGGCCTCAGCTAATTAGATCAGAGGAGACCCTGAATGGGGGTTGACCTATCCACACTCTAAACAAGTATTTTATGGTTTGGTGTGATGAGCTTCACTCAGACAGAGATAATAGTTTTTGAGACGTAGAGTCGTCTCAGGATTTTCAACGTATAGACGTAGGGAAGCTGCCAGGTGGTGATGAGCACCAAAACAGAGGTCGCATAGAATTTGAGTTAGGGTAGTAATTATTGGCCATCTGTATACTGCAGAAGTTTTCTGGAAAGGAGAAAAGAAAAAAATTGGTAAGCAGAAGCAGAGACTGTGTGGAAAGTGCACATCCGTGTGTGTGAGAGACTGTAAATCAAGAAACAAAGGAAGGGTGGAGAAAAATATTAATCTACATGCTTGCAAGAGTAGCAACAGTTCCTGGTGGGTCCCTAGGCCCTATGAGGCCCAGACTTGCCTTCTCACTATTCTGCAGGTCTACCATGCTCATTCATTCCCAGCTCTACATTTGCTTACCTTGGTCTTCCTGCTTCTGATCTTTCTCACCACTTCAAGCCATACTGAGTATTACCACCAGGTTAGTGTTCCTTAAAATCCTTAAAATTTTAAGGATCATGTTATTTACCTAGGCAAAATTCATTAATGGTTCCCTCATTGCCTTATAGGAAAGTTTAAGTTATTTAGCAATCTGTATATTGCTTTTTCAACTCTGTCTTCTAGGATGTTTTCTTTAAAAGAACAAAGTTCATTTAATTTGGTATTTTAGTATTGCAGGTAATGGTGAGGGTCACTAGCTCTATTCTCCTGGCCATTTGTCTCTAGGAATTTTTCCTGAGAGTATCAACTGGACTGGTAGCCCCAGAATCATTTGTTGCAGAAGAAACAAAAATGACTCTGAGGTTGAAACATGAGCTGGTGGAGGCATATCTCCACTTGGTGAATATGGATGGCAGTGCATTCTGGGGCTGTTGTACCTGGTTGAAGACTTTTATGAGGCCAGCCTTCTCCATCCAGCTTCTTGCCAGCTTTCAGGCAGATTGAAGAGAGCTCTGCCTGATGATGAACCTGACAAAATGCCAAACTGTCCAGTAGCCTTTTCTTTGGGGTTTACATTCTAAATGTTTTTATTGATTAGAAAGAAATAGCCTCTTAGAGATCATTTAATTTTTGCTTTGAAAGCCTTGACCACCACATTGCCAACAGAATTTACTTATAATGTGGTTAGTTAAACCGGCATTCATTTGGGAATTTTTTAGAACTCTAAGTTTTATGTGTCAACATTCAGCTTTATCTTCTATTTTTGAAAAAATGGAAAGAACAGTAACATATAACCCTTGACAAGATATGAAATGTAGTGATCCCTTCCTCATAATAGCTCTCCATTATCTACAGACTTTTTCCTTTAAAGGTTATAAAAAACTCTAGAATTCAATGTCTTTCACATTTTTTCCCACCTATGCCCTATTCCTTCTCAAAAGGAATCCTATCTTTCAGCAAAATGAGTCTGTTTATCCCCCAGCATGCCAGCCCATAATTCTACCTCAGTATTTTTGCATATCATGTTTGCCCAGCCTGAACTGTCTTCTCTCCCATCTCTAGCTTGCAAGGCCCTGCTTAATATTTACTTCCCTATATCAGAATGATAAAGTATACATTGGCATCACATATATTGGCATCACAATGCCTAAAAGTATTTTAGGCAAATACTTTTTAAATACATAACTCATCCTTTCACAGGCAGAGAATTCTGCACTATGTTTGTAGGAGAGGAGAAAACTTTTCCCTCTGCCCTCTAGTTTCAGTGTCTGGGGCCCTGTCAATTAAACTGACAGAAGACAGATTAACAGGAGAAACAGTTTATTACATGTGCATATGGAGGACTTCATAGAAAAAAAAATGAAGACCTAAAGTGGTTAGGCCTGAGATCTTATATACCATTTTTAACAAAAAGTGGTAAATTGTAGAGATGTACAAGACAAAAAAGGGGTTTGAGCTTTCTAGGGGTGGTAAATTGTGGGAAGGTAAATATAGGGGTTGTTTTAGGGAGGTTTTTAAGGCAGATTTCTCTCTTGCCATCTATGGGCTAATAATAATAAGACTCTAGAATCATCTCAGGTGATTAAGAGTCATTTTGCCCTTCCTGTATAAAAGGTAGGGACACTTCCACAAAGGAGATTTATGTTCTGCTTTTAGGCAAAGCATTTCTCCTGTTTATCAATTGCCTTCAGTTAAAAAAAATCATTCTGCGAAGGTGGCATATTTTGGGGTGGTGTGCTCTGATATCCTTCCATTTATAGTAGACCTAGATAACTGTAAGCATTGTGCAAATAAAATAAAATTGGGTGTGTGTCACAAAATGTAGTTTCTGTAGTCTTTTGAAATAGCAAAGATCTGGCAACACTGGGCCCACTTTTCTATAAATAACAGGCTAGAGCTGAGAAGTTATTATCCCTTTAGATGATACTGTACTCAGCACTTCAGTCCTACCACTCCTTACTCTCCCCATATTGCCCCAGCAAGCTGTAACTGTCTACTTGGCCTGTCTGCCCCAGAGGCAATTGAATTTAAGATAGAGATACCCAAAAGGGCAGTATTCCAAGAAGAACAGAGATTATCAAGGTGCTTGATAATGACTTAATTGCTGAGAGAAGTGACTTCATACTTATTTCCTATCTCTTAATTGAAAGAATTAGCATACCAAGAAATGAAAACCTTTCAGAAAGTAATTTTCTGATCTGGCTTGGTGAGGTTGAGGGCAATCACTAAAAAGCATTCTGTAAACCCTGATATCGTTTTTTGGGATCCATTTCCTCCAAAGCTCTTGGGGACAATAGAATGGAAGCTAAGGTTTTAAAACAGCTAATATACAGGAGCAGGAACTCATTTTGGTCTTAAATGTAGCTACGCCCATCTCTTCTCTTTTGAGTCTTCTTATAAACATTTTGATTAGGCAGTTATAGTTAGCGTTTGTCCAATGCTTTAAATATTTTCAGGTGCTTTTATTATATCGTCTTCTTAAAACTTTCTAAAAACCCTATGAAGTGGGATAGAATAGATGAAGAAAGTCAGGCTCCAAGAGTTTTAAGTGAATTACGTGAATTCCCATGAGGTGATAGAATTGGAAGTAGATCCTATAACTTCAGTCTTCTGATTTGTGGTCTTGTGCTTTGTAATTTTATACGTCTGGGTCTTCATGATCTCCCTGTAAATGATGTCATCCTGTTGTTGTATGTTATCAAAGGACAGAGGTGACTCCACTAACCCTAACAACTAGATAAGAATGTGAGAATTGAATTTGGAACTGGGTCAGCCTCTATCTGTAATTTATTCAGTTGTCTTTATCCCCTTGAATAAACTACCTGGGAGGTGGCTAATAGTTGTCTCATGACATGAAAAGTATTAATCTACCTTATCTTGATCTTTTTTTTTTTTTTTTTTTTTTTTTGGTAGAGATGTGGTCTTGCTATGTTACCTAGGCTGGTCTTAAACTCCTGACCTCAAGTGATCCTCCTGCCTCCCAAGGTGTTGCGATTATAGGTGTGAGCCACCACATCTAGCCCTACATAATCTACTGAAATTGCCCTTTTCTGGCGGGGGTGGGAGACAGGGTCTCTTGCCCAGGCTGAGTGCAGTGGCACAATCACAGCTCACTGCAGCCTTGACCTCCTGGGGTTAGTCTCCCACCTCAGCCTCCTGAGTATGTGGGACTACAGGGGTGCACCAACATGCCTGGCTAATTTTTGATTTTTTTTATAGGAATGGTGTCTCACTATATTGCCCAGGCTGGTCATCTACTTCTAGGCTCAAGCGATCTTCCTGCCTCAGCCTCCAAAGTGTTGGGATTACAGGCATGAGCCACCACACCCAGCTGAAGGGCAGACACTATTATTTAAAGCTGAATCCCCATTGTCTACAACTATGCCTGGCAGGTATAAGACACTGAATTAGTTTTTTATGCCTAATTCACTGACTTACAGTTCTGTGATTCTTACATTGACAACTGACTGCCCCAAGTCAAACGTTAGCTGCTTTTCTGACATCCCGTTTCTCCTTGAGTTCTGACAGAAGTGAAGAGTGATCAGCTCTGTGAGGCAGTGTGGACACTGACCCTGAGCTACATGAAGTTGAGACAATTATGTTTATGTGATTAAAGTCTCTGTGTTAGATGGCAAATAGGTTTATCTTTGTATACCTTTCTCTCAATTCTGCTTGTACTTTAACCTTTTGTAGTATGAGGGAGGAAAAATAATTTTCTCCTCCACCATTCACAAGTTCTTATCTGGGACACCGTTCAAAAAATACAGATTAACAAGAGAAAAACAGATGGAAATGTAATAAGATACCTCTTGTATATATGAGAAATAACCCAGAGAGATGAGTAAATCTTTAGGGTAGATCTCAAAGGGGTAAACATCAGGCTTAAATACTGTCATTCTCTGAAACAAAAAAAGAGTGGGGAAAGGCCCAGCTAAGATGGCCACGAAAAGCACCATAAAACAAAGGTAAGGTTTATTAATGCAGATTTAAGTTTGTGTATTCCCTATTGATTGAGTCTCTAGTGATTTAGTCATCTTTCTTTACCTGGTGCAGAGAGGGAGATATCTTTACGAATGGAGATTTTCTTTATAGATGTGCATTTCACTTACAAGTTTCTCACAATAATCCTTATGCTAATGAGGCACATTTTGGGGTGGCATGTCCTGAGCCTTGTAAAGGTGGAAAAAGTATAATACCTTTTCTCACCCATCATAAGGGTCACATCTGACACGCCAACAAGGACAGGTTAACAAGAGAAAAGCATAATAAATTTATTTCATCCAAGTTTTATATGACAGGGAAGGCTTCAGAATGAAGATCCCAAGACATAGGGAAAACTGTCTGTTTTTATGCTTAGGTTTGATAAAGAATGGACAGTTGCGTAGAAGTGTACATGGGGTGTATTCTAATGGTAATAGACTGAGGGGGGAAGCCCAGCAAGGCCTTTCGGTTCAGATTCTTATTGGCCTGTCTGTATAGCATTCCTTCCTCCCAGATATGGGGCAGGACCCTCTGGAATAAGGGTTTAGAAGGGAGAGAGTGACCTTTCTAGGTTTTATGGCTTGCTTTGAGGGAGAGGGGTTCTAGTTTCTGTGACCCACCCTGGGGAAGAAGAATTCTGGTTTCTATGACTTGAAACGGGAAAGAGGGGAGGGAGACAGGAAGGCAGGAGAAAGTCAGAGGCTTGGCTTCTGAGGGTACTTCTGGGGCCATCCAGTCTTTTAGTTCAAAGTACTCACCATGCCAAAGTGCCATGCTTTGGGATATTGTTTTTTGAGCCCCAACAGTCCCATTAGTAGTCATCAATACTTTCAAGTCCCTTTAGTTCAGAGCTTTCCAAGAGGTGCCATTTTTCAAGGTCTGTCTGTACCATGAAGTGAGAGAGGTTGGGAAGCACTGCCTTATTAAATTGTAGTCATAGTCTGAGATTCAGGACTTCAGTAAGAAGTCTACGTGGTAAGTTCTTTGGTAATGTAGGTGAGGAAAATACACAGATGTGTTTGAACCAGTACATCAACAAGTCTGCTATTTTCAAGAAAAGCAAGCACAGAAATCCAGATTTTAAAAGGTTAAGAAGGGCTTACTGTTTAGTCCTGAGACTTTGCCAGTTTCTTCATGGTCGAACCTGGCCTTTTCTGATTCCAAATATTTGAGTGCAGTGGGTGGTCATGTTGAATAAAGACCTCTCTTAAGGGAAAAGAGGGCAAACAGTGTGCCTGATCCTTACAGGGAGAAAAAGACTCTTGGAAGAGCACAAAGCTCTCAGGATGTTAAGTAACACTGTAAAAACATGCAGGAAGAGATTTATGTTTTGGGGCTTGTCATAGCCTGAAGCAGTTGGTACTGTTCCCTAACATGAGAACTTTTTTGTTTCTCCGGAACAATGTCAGGCCCCAGGAGTCTTTCACATGACTGTTTGTCACTATTAAGAGCCAAGTGCCTGTTTTGAAGAAAACAGAGCTGGTAGTTAAAATGTTTAGAACTCCTTATAAAGTGTCAAGGGACGGGGTATGTGTAACAAGGTAGGAAGAAGGACTAAACAAACATTTATTGAGAGTCTGTTTCATACCTGACACAATGTTGGGTGCTTGTACATATGCCATCTTATTTAGTCTTTTTAACAGTCCTACAAGATAGGTATTATTTTTCCATTTTTTAGATTTGGAAGCCAAGACTCAAAAAATTAATTTTTTTCCCCAAGGTCACACAGCTAATAGTAGTGGGGACATATCTAAACCTGTATAGTCAGACTCTTAAATCAATGATTTTTTCTCTCTTAATACTGCTTTGGGTTCCATGGGTAATGATGGAGAAGGCTCACTTCCTGATTTTTTTTTTAAGTAAAGAGAAAGGGAAACAGTATAAAATAACAGCATTTACATGCAAAGACTCTTTTCTAACCCTAATCTTCAAAATGTTCTAAATATACTGAACTTTTAAGCATTATATTAAGATCTCATGAGTGATGCGGTGGAGTGAACTGAGAAGAGATTTTTCTCCTTGAATTAAAGATGTCTACAAAAGCATATATGGACTGGGTGGCCCATGCCTGTAGTCCCCCTACTTTGGGAGGCAGAGGTGGGAGGTCGCATGAGTCTGGGAGTTCAAGACTAGCCTGGGCAACATAGCAAGACTCCATCACTACAAAAAAATTAAAAAAAAAAAATTAGCTGGATGTCGTGGTGAGTGCCTGTAGTACTAGCTACTCAGGAGGCTGAGGCAGGAGGATTACTTGAGCCCAGGAGATCGAGGTTATGATGAGCTATGATTGTGCCACTGCACTCCAGCCTGGGCAGCAGAGCAAGACACCGTCTCAAAAAAATATATATATATGTATATGATTTTCTGGAAATTTCTGATAGAGCCATTATGGTTTTTATTTTTATTTTTGAGACAGAGTCTCGCTCTGTCACCCAGGCTCACTGCAACCTCCACCTCCCAGGTTCAAGCGATTCCCCTGCCCCAGCCTCCTGAGTAGCTGGGATCACAGGCACCCACCACCACACCCAGCTAATTTTTGTATTTTTAGTAGAGACGGGGTTTCACCATGTTGGCCAGGCTGGTCTCCAACTCCTGACCTCAGGTCATCCACCTGCCTTGGCCTCCCAAAGTGCTGGGATTACAGGCATGAGCCACTGTGCTGCCTGGCCTGAGCCATTATATTCTAAGAAATAGATGCTAACATACCTTCAGGATATAGTATGTCCATTGTCATCACATTGATTTAGCCTGCAGTTGTTTAATAAGTATTTCTCAGAGGCAGACTAAAACTTAGGGCCTTTGCTCTATAAATGGCAGAATTATTGGAAGTTTCATTTTATATTTGTGTTACAGTATTTTTACTCTTCATTGATGAAGAGAAATATAAAGGCTTTGCTTTAGAATTTTCTTTTCTCTTTTCAGATGGCAAATGTAAATACTCATCACAGCCCATTTATGAGGATACAATTTTCCGTTAGCTTTGCAGGAGGCCTGTCCTCTCAGTTTGAAATGAGGGATTCAGGGATTTTTCTGGTTTGTTTCATTTTATATTTTTATCCATAGGTAGCATTTTACTTTCATTTGAAGTTCTAATTGACAGAAGGAAAAACAGAAAAATGATAGAATATTTGAGTAGTAACATAGAAAACCCCAAATTATATTTGATCCCAAATCTCGAGGTGGGTTTGTACTTCTGTACTTTGAAGAATTGATGCAGCTGCTGTATTTCTTGTTTTGTTTTGTTCTAATCTCTTACACAGAGGATTGACTGGATATAAGTAGAATAATTTTATTGGTATTTTCTCAGAGGTGGAGAGGATGAGATTATTATACTAAAACAATAGATTGGAAATGTTCTGCATACTACCTCCCTTGCTCTTATCAAGAGGGCAAGGGAATTATGGAAATGAAGTATGAATGGCATCTTAACTGTGGACTTCCTGATTTTTCAGTGTTATTTTTGAATATTAAAATTATCTCCCAATTTGATTATAAGAAAATTGCTTGATTTGAGTACTCTCCTCTTCTTTCTTAGGATTGCCAGTGATGGGCAGACAGGAAAGAGAGTTCGCACCTGAGCTCTGGACCCTGCTTTTAGTCAGTGCTCATTAGCAGTCCCCTAAGCAGGCTCATGTTCTTGGCTGCTCCAGACTGGAGTCTTGTTTGTGTTTGGTGCCCTGTCATACTCTTCCACTCTGCTGCACTGGCCAGTGTCACGCCCAGAGCTTGGAGGGAAGGAACACACTTGACTCTGGTGCCTCTGGTATTCTTCCACTAGCCGATGCATGTGTACAAGGCAGCAGCAGGATATCAGGAGGTAGCCATTAGGAAGATCGAGGAAGCAGGATACTGCTGCAGATTTCAGGCTGGCAGCGAGGTTCCTTGGTCAGACTAGATTGCTAGGGGTGCAGTGAGTTACTGTCAGAGTGAAGCACTTTTTTTTCCCTTTGGGAAAGTAAATAGAGATAGTGCTTAACTGGCCAACATTTTTTAATATTGTTGAGTATGAGATATTATGGTAAAAAATCAGAGGTGTAAGACACAGTTTTACCACCAAAAAACTGTGAAGTTGCTTTAAATGCATTATCATTAAATTCTCACAACTACCTTATTTGTTAAATCGGTTAAAACGACTATTTTGCAGATTAGGAAACTAAAACCTAGCCAACCACACAGCTAGAAGGTGGTGGAGTCTTTATTTAGATTTCTGTTTATGTCTGTATGATTTCAAAGCCCATGTTCACTAATCACTGGGGAGAGGAACTAGTCAATAGATTAGGCACACGCACACATAGTGTGCAATATTTCTCACATTTTTAAGATCATTAAATTTTCCACTGATTCAGAGGAGGGAGAGGCCTGTTTGGCTGGAATATCAGGAAAATCTTCATTAAGAAAATGGAACTTAATCTAGGCCTTGAAAGATACATGAGATTTAGAAGTAGTGAGAACATTCAATGTGGGAATAATAGTGTGAGTAAAAGATAAAAGAGTTATGACATCTAAATCCAGTGTGTGATTATAGATTTGATTCTGGGAAAAAGTCTAGTTAGGGTATTACTGGGGCATTTGATAAAATTTGAATATAGACTGTATTAGATAGTATTTATCAATATTATATAACTGTGGCTATGTGAGTTAGGAAATATACACTAAGCTAAATAGAGATAAAGGGGTATGACATCCTGTACTTACAAGTGGTTGTGTGTGAGAGAACGATTGACAAAGCAAATATAGTAAAATGTAAACAATGGAACAATTGGTGAATCTGGGTAGAATATAGATAGGAAAGTCATAATTTTGGTGGGTTTTTTTTTTCTTTCTTTCTTTCTTTCTTTCTTTCTTTTTTTTTTTTTTTTTTGAGATAGGGTCTTGCTGTCACCTAGACAGGAGTGCATGATCTTGGCTCACTGCAACTTCTGCTTCCTGGGCTCAATTGATTCTCTCACCTCAGCCTCCCAAGTAGCTACAGGCATGAGGCACCACGCCCAGCTAATTTTTGTATTTTTTTGTAGAGATGGGGTTTGCCGTGTTGCCCAGGCTGGTTTTGAACTCCTGGGCTCAAGCAGTCCATCTGCCTTGGCCTTCCACAGTGCTGGGATTACAGGCGTGAGCCACTGCACCCGGCCCTGTTGTATTTTTTATGTGCTTGAAATTATATAACAACAGTATTTCAGATGTCTTATGTTTTATAAGTGTGGCTAAAATTCTTCAGAAACCAGCAAAACCCAACTAAGGCATCTCAGCCAGGACCATATTCTGTTCTTGCTTCCTCCATTGGTAAAAAAGTTGCCAAACCAAGTTGATGAGATAAACAGAGACTGTAATTTTACAGAGAAACTATGTTAAGTTGTAGTTAAGATGTTTTTCTTGGCCGGTTGTGGTGGCTTATGCTTGTAATCCCAACACTTTGGGAGGCCGAGGCAGGCGGATCACCTGAGGTCAGGAGTTCAAGACCAGCCTGGCCAACATGGCGAAACCCCGTCTCTACTAAAAATACCCGAATTAGTCGGGCGTGGAGGCATGCGCCTATAGTCCCAGCTACTTGGGAGGCTGAGGCAGGAGAATCACTTAAACCCAGGAGGCGGAGGTTGCAGTGAGCAAAGATAGCACCACTGCACTCCAGCCTGGGCGACAGAGCGAGACTCTGTCTCATTACAAAAAAAAAAAAAAAAAAAAAAAAAAAGGCCGGGCGTGGTGGCTCATGCCTGTAAATCCCAGCACTTTGGGAAGCTGAGGCAGGCAGATTACCTGAAGTCGGGAGTTCCAGACCAGCCTGACCAACCTGACCAACATGGAGAAACCCCATCTCTACTAAAAATACAAAACTAGCCGAGCATGGTGGCACATGCCTGTAATCCCAGCTACTCAGAAGGCTGAGGCAAGAGAATCACTTGAACCCAGGAGGCGGAGGTTGTGGTGAGCCGAGATCGCACCATTGCATTCTAGCCTGGGCAACAAGAGCGAAAACTTCGTCTCAAAAAAAAAAAAAAAAAAATGACAAAGATGAACCTTGCCTACAGTTCTGCTGCTGATGGTAATAAGTAGCTATATACTGGATCCTCCCTGCCTCCCTCTTTGCCCCCACACATACCCACAGAAAGATAGAAGGAATAAGAGACCACCTTGCCTCATAAGAGGAACTGAGTCTCTTTTTAACATGCTTCTCTGCCTGGGTCACATGCACATATTAACTCAGCCGGGCTGCTGCCCCATCACACTACTACATTCATGCTAGAAATCTACCAAAATGTATGTACTCGTTGCCTGTACATAAAGTGGTTTTCATAGGCTACTTAAGGTTGACTCTGAGTGTTAGACTGGCAACACCCTGCTTTCCTTTGAGTCTTTCTTAAAGTTAACTGAATCTTAGAATAACATTTACATGTGGGTAATTAGTGCCTATTAATGATGGCGTTTATGTTCTATATGAATGTGAGTCAGGATTGTGAAACAGTTAAGTGCTCAGGTCCTGAAGCCAGATAGATCTGGGTTTAAAACCAGCTCTGCTACTTACTACTTGTGTGGCTTTGAACAAATTACTCCTTATCTTTCCTCACTTTCCTCATCTGTAAAATGGGATAAAATTATTCTCACCAACTGAAATAACACATGTACAGCACTTCACATAATGCTTGGCATTTTGTATGTGTGGAATAAATGTTAGCCATTGTTGGTTATCATTATCATTATTTTTTGTTATTTTGTGTGATTTCTGGCTCCCCCTGAATTTGCTAAAGTGTTCCGATTTGTCAGACTTTTCCCACAATCTCTCCTACTTCTGTCTTCCATGCTGATTTTTCTT
The DNA here is from genome assembly GCF_000001405.40 of Homo sapiens. Classification (NCBI taxonomy): domain Eukaryota; kingdom Metazoa; phylum Chordata; class Mammalia; order Primates; family Hominidae; genus Homo; species Homo sapiens. The sequence goes on from NC_000002.12 coordinate 62,117,823, forward strand.
TAGTGGCTTTTCATTTTTTAGGCATTTCGTTTTTCCCAAGGGTCCAGAAATGATCCCTGCACCCTGCCCCGCACTCCCCGCCCCCAACTTTTCTATTCTCTCCACTGCTTTCAAAGAATGAGTGATGTCCAAGTAAGAAAGTCTGTTTCTTCCCTAGTTAGGACCTGACTCCTACTCTGCGTTTTGTAAAGGACGGAACTTTTAAACCAAGTTTATAGAATTGTGTGCGATTTTAAGTAAATGAGGTCTTACTTTCTTTTCCTCCCTAACTTAGATTAGAAGTATATCAAAGCCCTTAAAATCCATTGCATTTTCTGATAAAATCTTTCTGCCAAATATGACTGGAAGGATGTGCTTTGGGTTAGATGGGCAAATTCTGTCATTTTTACAGTTATTCAAAATGCCTTACCTTCTGGCTTGATCTCTTCCTGTTTAACAGTTCTGTTCTAAGGATCAGATGAGATCATGCATGTGAAAGGGCTTTCTAAACTGGGAAACACATTGTTAATGTGAGGGATGATTATTGCATTTGAACAAAGGCCCCAGCAACCCAAGTGATGTCAGAATTCAACTTTAGATAATAAAGCAACCTCCTATCTTCCTGTCTGTCTAACACCACCTCCAGAAGTTTGCATGAAGCTATTTGAGTTAGAGAGATTTGGTGACTAACTTCATGCAGTGACTGCAATCCTTTCTCCTAATCCCTCATCCCCATATTATTCTCTCTCAGGATGGTGTGCCAGATCCTGAGTTAGTCTTCAGGGCTAGACTTTGGGATATAGCATGGCAGGCAAGACACTTAATAGGATCTAGTTGTGGGGTAGGAGAGATTTCTTTTGTGCCATTTTCTAATCCCCTTCCTCACAGGTTTTATCCTGGCAGTCCCCGTAAATTAAATTACATTTCAAAATCAAGTTCAATGAGGGTGAGGCCAGATATGGCTTCTGCCAAAATGGGCTGGCAGACCTGGGCAATTAAGCAGATAGCTTTGGTCTGTTGTGTTTTTCTTATTTATGGACTAAATACCAGAAATTATTATTTGTACCATGTGGGCAGCAAATCAGGAAATAGGTGTGAGATCATCACCATCAACCACAAACACTTACCAGATGCTTGATAAGCACAGGACCCTCTAAGCACTGGGGAGTATTTTGTTGCATCCTCCCAAAATTCATATGTTGAAATTCCAACTCCCAGTACCTCAGAATGTAACTGCATTTGGAGATAAACACATAAAGAGGCAGTTAAGTTACAATGAGACTGTGGGGCAGGGGGAGAGGGGCTCAAATCCAGAATGACTTGTGTCCTTACATACACACACACAGAAAAGACACCAGCTGTACCTGCACACAAAGAAAAGGCCGTGAGAGAAGATAGCTGTCTACAAGCCAAGGAGAGGCCTCAGGAGAAACCACACCTGCTGACACCTTCATCTTGGACTTCTAGCCTCCAGATCTATGAGAAATAAAATTTCTGTTGCATGAGCCACCCAGTCTGTGATACTTTGCTGTGGCAACCCTAGCAAACTAATACAGAGAATAAGAGGCTACCTTGCCTCATATATAAACAGAGATATAAACAGATAGGAAGAGCTTTTGCAGTGGGAAACCCAATAAAATTAATCCTCACAACCCATACAACTCCACCCCAGCCAAAAAAACAAAATCCAAAACTTTTTTTCCCCAAATCAGCATTTTCTGAAATTGAAAGTCCTCTTATCCTTGGTCATTTCAACATTTGCCCTCCTTACATAGCTTTATTTGCTTTCTCTAGAGAAGGGTCAAGAGAAAGACTGCTTTCTAACTATGCCTATTTCTCCCTAATGGTGCTGTCATGAGTTAACTTAGAGAAACCACATTGAGAAGGCTGGGAATAGATAGATGGCAGAGTAAGTTGGTGATCCCTTTTGTTGGAGAAGAACTGCAATCCCAGAATTGGTTTGATTAGTACCACTTCTGCTTTCCTCCTCTGCCAAGGAGTTTCAAATTCATTGCTGATGCTGTGTTCCTGTTTTTGTATTAGATGTATTATGATATTTCCCCATCTTAATCTGTAGATTATCATCCTTAGAAAGCAAGTACTATTGCATATTTTGTTCAGCCTGTAGTGATGTGCAGATGTTCAGGCAACTCTGGATGACTTTGTTTATTTATTTTTTTTATTATTATTCTTTTTCTTTTTTTATTTCATTTCGAGACAGGGTCTCACTCTGTTGGCCAAACTGGAGTACAGTGACCCGATCACAGCTCACTACAGCCTTGACCTCTGGGCTCAAGCAGTCTTCCTGCCTCACTCAGCCTCCTGAAGAGCTAGGATTACAGGTGTGCGCCAGCACACTGGCTAATTTTTGTATTTTTAGTAGAGAATGGGTTTCACCATGTTGCCCAGGCTAGTCTTGAACTCCCCAGACTGAAGTGATACACCTACCTTGGCCTCCCAAAGTGCTGGGATTACAGACATGAGCCACTGCACCCAGCTGTGGGTTTTTTTTTTTTTCTTCAATTCCTCTCTGTTTCTTTCATGTAAATATATTGTAGTTTGTTTATCAAATTTGTTTGCAAATGAGTTGTTGCAAATGGAATGAACCTCATCAGGAATGATGAGGGGCCCTAATCTGAACTTCAAACTAAAATCAACAACACTCTTTTTTTAATGTGCTAAGAGTTTTGTCATTTTGGTTTCTTTGAGATTTAAGTGAAATTTATTTCTCCTTCAGTGTGATCTGCCTTTCAGCTTTTCAGTGGTTTTCTTCAGGTATGCTGTCCATTGTCATATGGGAACTAGTTCTACTTAGCCAAAAATAAGATGATTTCCCACACATCAAGCCAGAACACCTAAAAATAATTTTTTAACCAAATTTCTTTCAGTCAAAGTTTTTCAAAATACAGAAAATTCTTTTTTCTTTTCTTTCTTTTTTTTTAGAGATGGAGTCTTGCCCTGTCACCCAGGCTGGAGTGCAGTGGCGCAAACACAGCTCACTGCAGTCTTGACCTGTGCTCAAGCAGCCCTCCTGCCTCAGCCTCCCAAGTAGCTAGGACTACAGGCATGTGCCACCATATCCAGCTAATTTTTGTTTTTGTTTTTGTTTTTCTTTTTGTTTTTTTAGAGACAGGGTTTTTTCATGTTGCCCAGGCTGGTTGTGAACTCCTGAGCTCGGGCAATCTACACACCTTGGCCTCCCAAAGTGCTGAGATTACAGATATGAGCCACCACGCCCAGCAAAATACAGAAAATCTTAACAGGTAACCATTAAATCCTCCCTAAAGGCCAGGCACAGTGGCTCACGCCTGTAATTCCAGCACTTTGGGAGGCCGAGGCAGGCAGATCACTTGAGTTCAGGAGTTCGAGACCAGCCTGGCCAACATGGTGAAACCCCATCTCTACTAAAAATACAAAAATTAACTGGGCGTGGTGGCATTTGCCTGTAATCCCAGCCACTTGGGAGGCTGAGGCAGGAGAATCACCTGAACCTGGGAGGTGGAGGTTGTAGTCAGCCAAGATCATGCCACTACACTCCAACCTGGGCAACAGAGTGAGAGACTCTTTCTCAAAAAAAAAAAAAAAAAAAAAAAAAATTCCTGCCTAAAATGAAAAGTTGTAAAATGAACTAGGGTGTGATGTTTTGAGAAAACAGGACTGGGCGTGTTGCCTCATACCTGTAATCCCAACACTTTGGAGGCCAAGGTGGGTGGATCACTTGAGGTCAGGAGTTCGAGACCAGCCTGGACAACATGGTGAAACCCCATCTCTACTAAAAATACAAAAATTAGCCAGGCGTGTTGGTGTGCACCTGTAATCCCAGCTACTTGGGAGGCTGAGGTAGGAGAATTGCTGGAACCGGGGAGGTGGAGGTTGTAGTGAGCTGAGATTGAGCCACTGCACTCCAGCCTGGGCAACAGGAGCGAGACTCCGTCTCAAAAAAAAAAAAAAAGAGAGAGAGAAAGAGAAAAAACATAGAAATTAGCCATTTGTTTATTTATTTATTTTGAGACAGGATCTCACTCTGTCACCCAGGTTGGAGTGCAGTGGCACAATCACAGCTCACTGCAGCCTCTATCTCCCGGGCTCAGGTGATCCTCCCACCTCAGCCTCTTAACTAGCTAGGACTACAGGTACCCACCACCGTGCCCAGCTAATTTTTTGTATTTTTTGTAGAGACGGGGTTGCCATGTTGCCCAGGCTGGTCTCAAACTCCTGGGCTCAAGTGATCCGCCTACATAGGCCTCCCAAAGTGCTAGGAAATATAGGCGTGAGCCACCGCACCTGGCCATATTTATTTATTTTGTACAGCCCTTTAATGCATGAGAAATTAGCCAGTTATTTAATTGCATTTAACTTTGAGTGTTTATATAACTTGGCTACATTTTATTTTATTTTGTTGGATGTTTCTAAAATCCCTTTGTAAATGCTTAAGTGCTGGCGCTTACGTAAATCAATACGGAATCAGGTATTTCTAATTAGTTCCCATTCTACCCTGTTCAATGTTTACCAGTTGGGTTTGAAAGTATCAAAACTCGGGAGTCAGATGTGAGTCAGGGGTTAGCCAGTGATAGGTTGAATCAAAGAGCTGGGAATTATGGACTTCACATAATGAAGGAAAATCTCTAAGTTTCTTTCTTTTCTTTTTTTTTTTTTTTGTCTAGTAGTGAAACAAAGATTGGTGGTACCTCTACCTTTTATTATCCACTGGCCTATAACAGGGAACAGAGTGTATGTCAGACTGCTTTGAAATCTCTAGGAAAAAAAGAATAGTGATTACTCTTGGTTTAGCTGTACATAATTCATCCAACCAAAGAACCACTCATTCTTGCAAGATCAAAACTGTTTTCTTCCTTTCAGAAACAAGGCAGGGTGGCCTGGGCCAAAATACATGTTCCTTTTGACCACATATTGGCAGGACAGGAATATCTATCTAGCTAAATTATGGCTCTAGCTTTTTTCTAACCAAGAAATCTCAAACCAAAAGAAGAACCTCTGGGTCCTATTCTTGGCACATTCCCACTTTCTCTCTTCTTGGAAAGTTAAACAACTTTGAGTGGATAGTGTTTTTAGAATCTCATTGCCTTGTTAACGCACAGGCCCTGAGCCTGCAGATAAAAATGGAACCACAGCAGTAGGAGGGTATGTGTGTGTATGTGTAAATTCAGACTTTGGTTTTTATTGAGATTATCTTGCTAATGCCCCCTTTGTAAGGTTCCCTAGGTTTTCTTGATGTCTAGCAGCCTTGGTAACTGAGTGATTAGAAAGGCATGGAAGCCAGGTGTGTTGGCATGCACCTATAATCCCAGCTACTTGGGAGGCCAAGCCAGGGGGATTGCTTGACCCAAAGAATTCAAGACCAGCCTGGGCAACATACCAAGACCCCATCAGAAAAAAAATACTTTTTAAAAAGAAAGGCATGGGCCAGGCACGGTGGCTCACACCTGTAATCCCAGCACTTTGGGAGGCTGAGGCAGGCAGATCATGAGGTCAGGAGTTCAAGACCAGCCTGGCCAATATGGTGAAACCCCTTCTCTACTAAAAAATACAATAACTAGCTGGGTGTGGTGGCGCGCACCTGTAGTACCAGCTACTTGGGAGGCTGAGGCAGGAGAATTGCTGGAACCCGGGAGGCGGAGGGTGTAGTGAGCCAAGATTGCACCACTGCACTCCAGCCTGGGCAACAAAGCAAGACATGTGAAAAAAAAATTAAAAAAAAAGAAAAAAAAAAACAGGAAGGAAGGAAGGAAGGAAAGAAGGAAGGAAGGAGAAAGGAAGGAAGGCATGGAGGGTATGGATCAGCAAATCTGAATAACTGAAAATATTTTACCTATGGATCTGTGTGTGTATCTTATAGGAATTATAGAGTAAGGAGAAGGATTTGCCTTTGTTACTTTTCTGATTCTTTTATATCTTGTGCTTTGCAGGGTTTGGTCCTACACCCACTAGCCCCAGTCCCTCTTAATGCTTTAAGGCAGACTACATGGTTCATTCTTCCTGGGAGAAAATAAATCTCTTGATTTTTAAGTAATAGAAAGGTGTTAATGACCTCTCCTGGGAGTATTTATGTGTTTAAAACATAACCTAGGCTGAGGGCAGTAGTCCTGGTCATCAAAGGAAGGGAAATATTTGGGAATAAAAATATTTTTCTGCCTTAATTGCACCATAGGGTATGATTTTCCAAAGTAGTGTGAAGTCACAGTTAAAGTTCCTCCCAGCCAGGCACGGTGGCTCACACCTGTAATCCCAGCACTTTGGGAGGCCAAGGTGGGCAGATCACAAGGTCAGGAGTTTGAGACCAGCCTGGCCAACATGGTGAAACCCTGTCTCTATTAAAAATACAAAATGAGCTGGGTATGGTGGCACACACACCTGTAGTCCCAGCTACTTGGGAGGCTGAGGCAGGAGAATTGCTTGTACCTGGGAGGCGGAGGTTGCAGTGAGCTGAGATCGTGCCACTGCACTCCAGCCTGAGCAATGGAGCAAGACTCCATCTCAGTAAATAAATAAATAAATAAATAAAGTTCCTGCCAATAGTCCTAATCTCCTTTTCCAGAAAATGTTTTGCAGAGCTGCTGTGATATGGTCACATTAACCAGTTTAAGTTCACTTTATTTTTCCATCTTGTGGAAATATCTAAAAGATGGAGCAACACAGGTGGCAGAAGAGAAGCAGCAGAGGACCTGGATAATCTCTGAATAATTAAGATCTGATGTTATTTTATTTTAAAAATGCCTTTTGTTTGTTTGTTTGTTTGTTTGTTTTTGAGACAGAGTCTCACTCTGTCGCCCAGCCTGGAGTGTAGTGGTACCATCTCAGCTCACTGCAACCTCCGCCTCCTGGGTTCAAGTGATTCTTGTGCTTCAGCCACATGAGTAGCTGGGGTTACAGGTTTGTGCCACCAAGCCCGGCTAATTTTTGTATTTTTAGTGGAGATGGGGTTTTACTATGTGAGCCAGGCTGGTCTCAAACTCCTGGCCTCAAGCAATCCACCTGCCTTGGCCTCCCAATTTTGCCATTTTATATTAAACCTGTGTGTGTCCCTTGGAAAGTTGATCACTTAGATTTGTTTAGCAGTCACTTACATCAGTGGTAGATCTGAAATTTCCTAGATACCAAATGTCTCTTTCTTCCTTGAGTTTCTAGTAAGCCATTTGAAAGTTCATGTTTCCCGTAAAGTTTATTTTTGAATACAAGAATTTATGGGAATGCAGGCTTTTTAATTTTTAAGCATTCTAACACTGTCATCAGGTTGTCGTCACAAAAATCCTTTGAAATGCCTGAATGACATCTCCAGGAAAATCACTAATTGTCCAGTGATGATTAATGTTTTTGTATTACACTAATACTGTAATACTTAGTCCTTTTCTAGGAGATTGTGAGAATATGGATAAACACTTCCTCTAGAAGATTCTGTGACTCTGAAAGCACCTGGTAGGTGCTGAGGCACTGCTCTGTTCATTTATTAGAGTAAATTCTGTTACTTCCTGCAGACTCTATCTTAGTCCCACATAGCTCTCATCACGATATGGGTATCTATTGAGTTTGGGGGTGAGTCATTTTAATTTAATTGCTCAGTAATTAAGTTGCAGTCCTAGACTGACTGATGTCAGTCCTTTTTCAGCCTCAGTAGGATGACTTGCGTTGTGATTTGCAGTATGATTTTTTTTCTGTTTTGTTAGCATGCTCTCTGAACATAGTAGATGTGGGACTTATTGGCTATTGTGTTTGAAATGAGGCTATGTCTAGATAAAAATGGTCTGAATAAGGACCATTGGTAGTAATAGTTATTGTTTAAAAAAAAACTTTGTCAAAGGCTAAAGAAAAAATATTATGTCACAAATTTTCTTTTTGTAAAGTATTGTTTTAAGATACAGCATAAACTATCCATTGTATAAGAACAGGTTATAGCAACAAGGCCATGTTTCAGTTGTCCAGGACTTTTGATGCAAATTCTCTCTTTTTTTTAATTTTTATTTTAAGTTCTGGGGTACATGTGCAGTATGTGCAGGTTTGTTACATAGGTAAATGTGTGCCATGGTGGTTTGCTACCTATCAAACCATCACCTACATATTAAGCCCAGCATGCATTAGCTATTTTTCCTAATGCTCTCCTTCCCCCCACTTCACCCCCGACAGGCCCCAGTGAATGTTGTTCCCTCCCTGTGTCCATGTGTTCTCATTGTTCAGCTCCCACTTATAAGTGAGAACATGTGGTGTTTGGTTTTCTGTTCCTGCATTAGTTTGCTGAAGATAATGGCTTTGAGCTCCATCTGTGTACCCTGCAAAGGACATGATCTTATTCCTTTTTATGACTGCATAGTATTCCATGGTGTGTATGTACCACATTTTCTTTATCCAGCCTATCATTGATGGGCATTTGGGTTGATTCCATGTCTTTGCTGTTGTGAATAGTGCTGCAGTGAACATATATGTGCATGTATCTTTTTAATAGAATGATTTATATTCCTTTGGGTATATACCCAGTAAGGGGATTGCTGGGTCAAATGGTATTTCTGGTTCTAGATCTTTGATGAATCGCCACACCGTCTTCCACAATGGTTGGACTAATTTTACATTCCCACCAACAGTGTAAAAGCATTCCTATTTCTCCACAACCTTACTAGCATCTGTTGTTTCTTGACTTCTTAATAATTGCCATTCTGACTGGCATGAGATGTTATCTCATTGTGGTTTTGATTTGCATTTCTCTAATGATCAGTGACATTGGGCTTTTTCACATTTGTTGGCTGCATGAATGTCTTCTTTTGAGAAGTGTCTGTTCATGTCCTTTGCCCACTTTTTAATGGGTTTTTTATTGTAAATTTAAGTTCCTTGTAGATTCTAGATATTAGACCTTTGTCAGATGGATAGATGGCAAAAATTTTCTCCAACTCTGTAGGTTGCCTGTTTGCTGTGATGATAGTTTCTTTTATGAGAGCCATTCATGACAAACCCACAGCCAATATCATACTGAATGGGCAAAAGCTGGAAGCATTCCCCTTGAAAACCGGCATAAGACAGGGATGACCTCTCCCACCATTCCTATTCAACATAGTATTGAAAGTTCTGGCCAGGGCAAGCAGGCAAGAGAAAGAAATAAAGGTATTCAAATAGGAAGAGAGGAAGTCAAATTGTCTTTGTTTGCAGATGACATGATCCTATATCTAGAAAACCCTATCATCTCAGCCCAAAAGCTTCTTAAGCTGAAGCAACTTCAGCAAAGTCTCAGGATACAAAATCAGTGTGCAAAAGTCACAAGCATTCCTGTACACCAACAACAGGCAAGCAGAAAGCCAAGTCATGAATGAACTCCCATTCACAATTGCTACAAAGAGAATAAAATACCTAAGAGTACAGCTAACAAGGGAAATGAAGGACCTCTTCAAAGAGAACTACAGACCACTGCTCAAGGAAATCAGAGAGGACACAAACAAATGGAAAAACATTCCATGCTCATGGATAGGAAGAATCAATATTGCGAAAATGGCCATACTGCCCAAAGTAATTTATAGATTCAGTGCTATTGCTGTTAAACTACTATTGACATTCTTCATGGAATTAGAAGAAAGTATTTTAAAATTCATATGGAACCAAAAAAGAGTTTGCATAACCAAGACAATCCTAAGCAAAAAGAACAAAGCCGAAGATATCATGCTACCAGACTTCAAACTATACTACAAGGCCACAATAACCAAAACAGCATGGTACTGACACAAGAACAGACTCATAGATGAATGGAACAGAATAGAGAACCCAGAAATAAGACTGCACATCTACAACCATCTGATCCTCAACAAACCTGACAAAAAAAGCAATGGGGAAAGGATTCCCTATTTAATAAATGGTGCTGGGAGAACTGGCTAGCCATATGCAGAAAATTGAAACTGAACCCATTCCTCACGCCTTATATAAAAATTAACTCAAGATGAGGCCAGGGGGCCGGGCGTAGTGGCTCATGTCTGTAATCCCAACACTTTGGGAGGCTGAGGCAGACAGATCATTTGAGGTCAAGAGTTTGAGACCAGCCTGACCAACATGGTGAAACCCCATCACTACTAAAAATACAAAAAAATTAGGCATGGTGGCACATGCCTGTAGTCCCAGCTACTCAGGAGGCTGAGGCAGGAGAATTGCTTGAACCCAGGAGACAGAGGTTGCAGTGAGCCAAGATTGTGCCACTGCACTTCAGCCTGGGAGACAGAGCGAGACTCTATCTCAAAAAAAAAAAAAAAAAAGGATGAGGTTGGGCATGGTGGCTCATGCCTGTAATCCCAGCACTTTGGGAGGCTGAGGCAGGTGGATCATTTGAGATCAGAAATTCAAGACTAGCCTGGCCAAAATGGTGAAACCCTATCTCTACTAGAAATGCAAAAATTAGCCAGGCATGTTGGCATGCGCCTGTAGTCCCAGCTACTTGGGAGGCTAAGGCATGAGAATTGCTTGAACACAGCAGGCAGAGGTTGCTGTGAGCTGAGATGGCACTTCTTCACTCCAGCCTGGGCGACAGTGTGAGACTCTGTCTAAAAAAAAGAAAAAAAAAAAACAAAAAAACTCAAGATGAATTAAAGACTTAAATGTAAAACCCAAAACTGTAAAAACCCTAGAAGAAAATCTAGGCAGTACCATTCAGGGCATGGTCATGGGCAAAGATTTCATGACGAAATCACCAAAAGCAATTGAAACGAAAGCAAAAATTGACAAACGGGATCTAATTAAAGAGCAAATTCTTAATGAAATCTCATCTTAGTTGTTGATGTTGTTGTTCTTCCTCCTCCTTCTCCTACTCTTCTGCCTACCTCCCTCCCTCCCTCCTTCCCTTCCTTGCATTCTTAAGATATCAAAGTGCTACCATATAAGATATTTCAAGACCAGGCACGGTGGCTCACGCCCGTAATCCCAGCACTTTGGGAGGCCGAGGCAGGTGGATCACGAAGTCAGGAGATTGAGACCATCCTGGCTAACATAGTGAAACCCCATCTTTACTAAAAATACAAAAAATTAGCTGGGCATGGTGGCACACGCCTGTAGTCCCAGCTACTTGGGAGGCTGAGGCAGGTGAATTGCTTGAACCTGGGAGGCAGAGGATGCAGTGAGCCGAGATCACGCCACTGCACTCCAGCCTGGGCAACAGAGCGAAACTCCATCTAAAAAAAAAAAAAAAAAAATCAGTATCAAATGGTAATAGAAAATATCAAATATTGGTTCTAGCTTATCCTATTATTTAATACTTGGAGGGCAACCTTCTTACCAACCTAGGCATGATGACAGGCCTTGCTCTGCTCAACCTTGGAGTTTGTATTTGGTGATTCTATGCTTCGGCAGTCTGAAGAGACTTAGCTTTATGTGTGTACTGTTGGCTTTGTGAACCAGAAGAAATAGTGATTGAGACCAGTAAATAAAATAGGAAATGAAGAAACGATACCCTACATAGAAAATATTGGAAATATCAGAAGAATTAATATAATAACCTCTCTCTCCTCTTGCCTGAACCCAACTGTAAGGAGTGACACAATTTTTTGAGAACAGCCCCACAGGACATGGAATAAGACAGAGAAGGGAAGATAATGAATAGGAAAGGACAAATGGAAAATAATCAGCACAGTTTTCAGGAAAATATAAAATTTTAATTGGGGCCAGTGGTTCCTTAGGAAGGAAGTTGGGTGATCTTTTGCTACAGAGAAGCTATTTCTGGGATTCCAGGTCTCTTGAAGTAAAGGAGCAGTATCAATGATAATTGTAAGAAAGCCACAGAAAGTGTGGGAATGAGTGGTGAACACAGGTTTACTTATGAAGATGTTTTGAACTTCTCTGGCAGGCAATGTTCAGTGCTACTGGGTTTCTTATTTATTATTTAATTGCCCTTCAAGGAGCCATTGCCAATTTTAATGTCTGCCATATGTGTTCATTCTTGAGTGCTTGCTCTCCCTCTTCCTCTTTCTCTCTTTCTCTCCCCTCCTTCCGCTGTGGTTAAACACAGAAGACAGTTGCAGAGTTGTGGGTCAAAGGGTTATTTTAAGCATATGAAAGGACAGCCCAAACAGAGGATAGGCTTTATGGCCAAAGTTTGTGCTCAATAAAGAGTCCCTTTGAGCCGGGCGCCGTGGCTTACGCCTGTAATCCCAGCACTTTGGGAGGCCGAGGCGGGTGGATCACGAGGTCAGGAGATCGAGATCATCCTGGCTAACACGGTGAAACCCCTTCTCTACTAAAAATATAAAAAATTAGCCGGGCGTGGTGGTGGGTGCCTGTAGTCCCAGCTATTCAGGAGGCTGAGGCAGGAGAACGGCGTGAACCCGGGAGGCGGAGCTTGCAATGAGCCGAGATCGCGCCAGTGAGCGAGACTCTGTCTCAAAAAAAAAAAAAAACAAACAAAAAAACAAACAAGAGTCCCTTTGTGTCAACAAATGAAATTAAAAGAAAAATCTGGGGTAATAAGCTTTATGAAACATAGCCAGCTTTATGTGACTTTTTTTTTTTTTTTCTTTTTTGAGATGGAGTCTCAATCTGTCGCCCAGGCTGGAGTGCAGTGGCGCAGTCTTGGCTCACTGCAACCTCCCTCTCCCAGGTTCAAGTGATTCTCCTGCGTCAGCCTCCCAAGTAGCTGCGATTACAGGTGCACACCTATGTGGCCTTTTTGAATCAGTATTGGTTAGTGAAATTCTAAGGCATCCTTTCCCACTCTCACCCTCCATCCCCCAAATTTATCATTTTTAAAAGAAAACACAAGACATTAGAGCCAACATTGCCAATGTTGTATTATAATCCTAAATATGATCCATAAATTAGAGGATAAAGCGTTGTGAAAATTTTGCATGGGAAGTAGTATTACTGTAGAAAATATAGGACTGTTGTTTTATTTTATGTTGAATTTGTTCTAAATGGTTCTATTCAAGTATTTAATATGTGATAAGTCTTTTATTTTCTAGTTTAAGCATTTTGTCACTGTAGTATTGTTTTGCAGAAGAATTGCTCAGAACCTAGTTAAGGAGGTTTTTAAAATGGACAATAATACTCAAAGAGGTTATTTAGTGTGTAGATGGATAAAACCAAACATTTGCTTACTAACAGCCTTCAGTTATTCTGTAAACTAATAATCAATTATGCTCTCTAACCTTGCTAGGAAGTGAGTTAAAGCTAAAGCATTAAAGATTTAGGCTTGACCAGTAAGTTTCCTGAGGAGTGTTGAGTGGTTACCAGGGAAGGAGTTCATTAGGAATATGTGAGATGGCCTTGTCAGGAGGTGTTAGAGCTGGCTCGGTTTTTTTGTTGGTTTGGAGAGGGAATCCTCTCACGGATTTTGTCATAGGATTTTGTGGCTTTTTAACATTTGCACTTGGAGAGACAAAAATTTGAATATTTTGCCTTTGCTTTCCATTGTAATTTGGAATGGCTATTTAAACCGTTGAGTTTAATACACTGCTGTACTCCCCAGGATCACAAAGTACATGTTCTTGACAATGATGTGCTTGCTTATCTGCTAGCCACATTCTGACTCTACTCCATACTGCATCCTTTACTGAAAAGAAGCTAGTTTGATTCTTGACTCAGATACTTAAATACAGGAATTTTAGTCTTGTCATCTCTTATTTTTATCACCAGTTAAGCCCAAGATGACCATGAAAACAGTAACAAGTGTTTCAGATTGCTCTTGTACCTTCTGCCTCTGGCTTGATAAGCATCACATCTGCCTGCCTGCCTTCCTTTCTTTTCTTTTCTTTTTCCTTTTCCTTTCCCTTTCCCTTTCCCTTCTTTTCTTGAGACAGGGTCTTACTCTATTGCCAAGGCTAGAGTCCAGTGGCATGATCTTGGCTCACTGCAACCTTGACCTCCCAGGCTCAAGCAATCCTTCCGCCTCAGCCTCCTAAGTAGCTGGGACTACAGGCACATGCCACCATGCCCAGCTTATTTTTATACTTTTTTTAGAGATGGGGTTTCGCCATGTTGCCCAGGCTGGTCTGAAACTCCTGGGCTCAAGCAATTCACCTGCCTCAGCCTCCCAAAGTGCTGGGATTACAGGCATGAGCCACCACCCCTAGCCCACATCTGCATTTCTAAATACACACACACACACACAAACACACACACACACACATTTTTTTTTTTTTAGACAGTCTCGCTCTGTTGCCCAGGCTGGAGTGCAATAGCGTGATCTTGGCTCACTGCAACCTCTGCCTCCTGGGTTCAAGCAATTCTCCTGCCTCAGCCTCCTGAGTAGCTGGGATTACAGGTGCCCACCACCAAGCCTGGCTAATTTTTGTATTTTTAATAAAGATGGGGTTTCACCATGTTGGTCAGGCTAGTCTCGAACTCCTGACCTCCTGATCTGCCCGCCTTGGCTTCCCAAAGTGCTGGGATTACAGGCATGAGCCACCACACCCGGCCTGGACTTCTTTATTTAGCCTACTCTTTCTCTAGTATTTGGCATCCCTCAAAAATAAACTGAGCTTCATTCATACATAGAGATCCAATCACAAATGAGTCCTGAAACCTACAACAAACTAATGATCCCTTAGAAAAGATCCTGGCTATTTTTAAACATGCCTTACTCAGTTGCTCCTATCTCTATGAATATTGTTCCTGGTAATTTCTTTGCCTACATAGAAAACCAGGTTATTTATTACTGTAACTTACTTTCACTGAGGTGAAATATAGGCTACATCATCTTTTTTATCAATGTCCTTAATATATATGTTAGTTACTGGTAATCACTAATTTCTAGACCATTGTGTCCAAGGCCAGATGTTTTAAAAATTGTTTTAGGTCAGACACAGTGGCTCACGCCTGTAATCCCAGCTCTTTGAAGGCCAAGGCAGGCAGATCACTTGAGGTCAGGAGTTCGAGACCAGCCTGGCCAACATGACGACACCCTGTCTCTATTGAAAAAAAATACAAAAATTAGCCAGGCGTGGTAGTGCACACCTGTAATCCCAGCCACTCAGGAGGCTGAGGCAGGAGGATTGCCTGAACCTGGGAGGCAAAGGTTGCAGATTGGGCCACTGTACTCCAACCTGGGCGACAGAGCGAGACTCTTGTCTCAAAAAAAAAAAAAATTGTTTTAAAGTCAAACTAAAGCCCTCAATAAAACTGAATGAAGAACAGGCTTTCACATCTGAGACCTCTTCTGAATTTTGCCAACTGAACTGCCTAATTTGTCATAAATCTGCTTTTCTTTCCAAAAGGAGATAACCCCTCCTAGAGCTTGAACACTTAATTAGTATTCTTTCTTTGTTTAAACTTGGTTTTTGCTTTGGACTAAATGAAAACTTGGCAAAGTTTCTAAGCTCACATATGAGACTGCACTTCTCTCCTATCCAAATACATGTTTGAGGACAGGACTCCTGTAGGCAAGGAAAGCTGCCTTCCCTGTCTGTGGAAGCCTTTCATCCAAGAGGCCCCTTCTTTCCCTTTGTACTTATTTCTCCTTGGGAGATGTTCACTGTCATCAGTGTAGACTCAGCTTAGCAGCTTAGCAACAGCAAAACCAACTCCTGAATGTTCTTTTGGCTGATGGCAAAGTGACACCCTCCTTCTGAAGAAGCTTGTTGGCCTGCCTTTAACTACCACTTTGGAGATGGGGGTAGGAAATGCCATAGTATCGTAGGGGACGAAAAAGTTTTTCTCTGCCTTCTTAGGTTCATGTATAAGGCCTGCAAATTAAACTGACAAAAGATTCACAGGAGAAAAAAAATTATAAATTTTGCTGATGGTAAGTATTTTTAATTTTATATGCACACAAGCTTAACAGAAAAAAAAAAAAAAGAAAATCCAAAGAGGCAGTTAGACTTGAAAGCTTGCATACCATTTTAACAAAGGATGATAAATTGTGGAGAGAAGTGACTAGACATAGGAAGAAGGGTTTGGTCTTCTAAAGGTGGTAAATTATGGGAATTAAGTATATGGTGAATCTAATAGTAGATAAGAGTTATTTTACTAAGGTTTGGGCAGACTCATCATGGTGTCAGCTTTCCATCTTTTTCATGCCCATAAAACTTCCCCAGAGAGGGATTTATGGCAGTTCTCACCCTCTCTTTTTTTTTGAGACAAGGTCTCACCAAGGTTGCTAGGCTCACTCCACCTCTTGGGTTCAAGCAATCCTCCCACCTCAGCCTTCCAAGTAGCTAGGACTACAGGTGCGCACCACCATGTCTGGCTTTTTTAAATTTTTTATTTTTTATTTTTAGAGATAGAGTTTCATTATTATTGCCCAGGCTGGTATTGAACTCCTGGCTTCAAGTGATCCTCCTGCGTCAGCCTCCCAAAATGCTGGGGTTACAGGCATGAGCCACCATGCCTGGCCTGGCAGTTCTCATTTTTTAGAAGTTTCTGCTCTTGGCCAGATAAGGGAAACTCCAAGACTTATTTTTCCATCTGTTGAGTCTCAATTGCCTTCAGCACAAAGTAACCTATAGGCCAAAGTGGCAAAGTTGGGGCTGGTATATTCTGATACTTTTCAGTAGTTAGGAAAATACAGAGAAAAGAACATTGACTTAGTGACTGTCATCAACAGAGGGACATTAATTAGCCACATCATTTAACATGCCTGGGGCTTAATTTAATTATCTAGAAAACAAGGCAATTGGATTATATGCTCTGTAAGGATTCATACTGCTCTAAATTACTTGATTATTGTTCTGAAGGATTTTGAATGTAGTTGCTCCTAGATACATAAAATTTATCCTTGTCTCTCAAGATAATGCAGATGTAGAATTTGTCTAGTGTGCATGAAATTCCTGCTGCCATAACTCAGAGATCTTATGACTGGGCAACATACTGATCCTCCCCCTACCCCCATCTCTACAAAAAAAAAAAAAAATTTTTTTTTTTAGTTAACTGGGCATGGTTGCATACCTGTAGTCCTAGCTACTCAGGAGGCTGAGGTGGGAGGATCACTTTAGCCCAGGAGTTTGAGGCTACAGTGAGCTATGATCATGCCACTGCACTCCAGCCTGGAAACAGAGGGGGAAAAAAATCTTATTTTTTGATATCTACCATCTACCTAACCTAGGATTGATTGACCAATCCTAACAGTGATTGAAGGGAACGTATTTAAGGGAGCTGTGAGGAGGGTTGGCTTGCAGCAAGTGGAGGGACCCCAGAAATGTTTGTTGTTATTTCAAGATCTGGTTATCTTTCAGTTATCTGGCTCATGTTTCCCAAGCAACTTGTCACAATTTCTGGCATAACCACTAAATCCAAGTTAGCTCACTTCCCAGACTAACTCAGAGTCCATCAGAGTCAGTCAAAATTCTCCTTTCATTTTTGTAATCCAAGGTGCTGTGGAGACAGTATGGACTTCGGCGTCATCCAGAGCTGAGAGTTCCCACAGTCTGATTCTGCCTTTATATGGTATTTATTTTTGATACAGGTTAACCTCTTTGTGCCTCAGGGTCCTCATTTTTAAAACAGCACTACTCAAGTTCTTACCTTAAAAATTATTAGAGGATCCAATGAGATGACAAAGAGGAAGAGCTTCTCATATGCCTCCTAGTGAGAACATCTGACATTTGTACGCCTCTTATTTATCAATATGAAACACCATCATAAAAGCACTTTTTTTTTTTTTTGAGATGGACTCTCACTCTCTCCCCCAGGCTGGAGTGCAGTGGCCCGATCTCGGCTCACTGCAAGCTCCGACTTTCGGGTTCACGCCATTCTCCTGCCTCAGCCTCCTGAGTAGCTGGGACTCACAGGTGCCCGCAACTGCGCCTGGCTAATTTTTTATATTTTTAGTAGAGACGGGGTTTCACCGTGTTAGCCAGGATGGTCTCGATCTCCTGACCTTGTGATCTGCCCGCCTCGGCCTCCCAAAGTGCTGGGATTACAGGTGTGAGCCACTGCGCCTGGCATAAAAGCACTTTTATTTAGGGCATTATGTGGATATGCTTTGCTGGGTAAAATATCACTTCGATATTAAGGTCTGAGCTGGGCTTGCTGGATTGGGACCCTGGGTATTTTGAGTTTGGTCATGCCAGATGGCCTTGGCTATCTTGTGGTTTCCCTCTAAAATATCCTTTTATGTTTTCCAGGAATCTGAATTTCTGTGTTTGGAATTTGATGAGGTCAAAGTCAACCAAATTCTGAAGACGCTGTCAGAGGTAGAAGAAAGTATCAGCACACTGATCAGCCAGCCTAACTGAAGATGATGTATGAAGGAGTTGGAGTTGTTGAAACCAAGGTGTCCATGATCCCTCCCCACTGACCTTTTCTAAGAAAATTCTTGTGCCCGCATTGGTATTAAATCCTCGCATTCAGTCTTCCTGCCTCTACTTGCTCAGATTTCTTTTTTTCTAGCTTTCATTTAGTCTTACATTTGTTCCAGTGCAGAGGTTCTCACCCTTCAGTGTGCATAAATGTTATAAGGGGTACTTGTAAAAGCATTCACTTTTTTGTTGTTATTATTAAATTCGGAGTGTTGCTCTGTTGCCCAGGCTGGAGTGCAGTGGTGCAGTCATGGCTCACTGCAGCCTCAAGCTCCTGGACTCAAGCGAGCCTCCCACCTCAGCCTCTCAAGTAGCTGGGACTACAGGTGCATGCCACCACACTCAGGTAATTTTTGTATTTTTTGTAGAGATGGGGTTTCACCATGTTGCCCAGGCTGGTCTGGAAATCCTGGGCTCAAGTGATCCTCCCACCCTGGCTTCCCAAAGCCCAAAGTGCTGGGATTACAGGCGTGAGAAAAGCATTTACATTTAAAAAAAAAAAAAAAAAAAAAAAGTAGGCTTCCAGGGCTCTATCCCCAGAGACTTGGATTCAATAGGATTAGGGTGAGAGAGATCAGCAATGGAAATCCTTGATATAGTGGTTTGTCCTGGGTGGGGTTTTAAGAATTTATACATGATAAATCATGTAGGAATTATTTTTAAAGTAGAAAAAAAAGCTTTTATCATGCAAATATAGGGCTGACCAAAGTGCTATGTACTTAGCTGAGGCATAGGAGCACCTACCTAACCTAGAAAAGATGTACCTGACCCTAGTTAAAACCTGAGCTCTTTCTGAAACTGATTTGGGCATTTGGATTAGTTCTGCTTAAATCTGGGGCATCTGGTTTGATCTGAACTACTGAGAGACTCAGGCTTTTCTGGAACCTAGAACTAAATTGGCCTCACAACAAAGGGACTCCCTTCACTTGCCTCAAGTCAGGATCATGGGAAGGGGCAGATGTCTGCTGAGACTGATGTGAGGTCTTTTACCTCAGAAAATTTTACCTGAGTCATTAAAATAAAACCCCTTTCAAAAAATTTCTTTAAGAAAAACTAGTGTAATAAAAAGTAGGTCCTATTAGAGAACTTACCAAACACCAAGAACATTCTAACGGCGGAGGCTGTCAACTAGCATATTGAGGCTATGGTCCTTGTTGAACAGGTTTTGTCATCTGATACTGATAATATTTAGAAATCTAAGATGCCTTTGGAGTATAATATGTTCAAAAAATGTGGTTATCTTGGTCTGTGATTACAGCATATGTCCATGCTAAGGAGTTTGTTTCAGGACAGGAATAAGTCCTCTTCTGTTAAGCAGTTTCTCCTAAATCAGTTTGGAGACATTTCAGGAGCTTTTCTAACACCCAAGCTGAAATTATTGGCTTCTTCTCTGATTAAAACCATCCCAGCAGTTAGCAAACAATAACCAGAAGGTTTTCAATGTAGCCCCTGTGCACCCTTCAGAAAACATCTTGAAACAGTACTGTAAATAGATTCAAGAAAGGAATGTGGTTTGGAAAAAAAAAAAACTATTTTAAACTTGCCTTCTGTTCCCAGGGCTGCTGTCATGTAATCTAGGAGAATTTTGATAAGGTCTCCTGCTGTAAAATGGAGCAATAGAATATCTCATCAGATAATCGGATTCCAGATGTCCTTGGAAGGAATAACTAGAGCTATCACCTTAGTATTGACTCATATATCCCATGGAAGTCTGTGGAAGTGTGAAGGAACAGCACATGGGCCACAAGGAGAGGAAATCATTGTCATAGTCTGAAACTCTGTTTAGGTCATCCCATGAAAGTAATAGCTACAAGAGTGGCCATGGGCTTTTAAAATTGTATTCCCAAACCCTAGGTCATTGGAAGAACTACAGTTAATGTATACTGAGTTTTCAAGAATTAAAAAGAAAACCAAAAACTGGTTGTTGCAGGTGGTCCCCACATTTAACACTAAGCACTTCTGAATGCAAGTTGTTTCTAACAGGGTATATTTTATATTTACTGATGATTTTTAATTTTTTATTATCAAAGGTATATATGTTTATTATAGTCTATTATGAAAATACAGAAACATACTAAGAACAGTTAATGACCCATCAATCTAATGTACAGAAAGAAGGCTAGAACTAGGAAAAGAGTTGACTTTCCTTGAATAAATTCCCAGAAGTGGAGTACACAGTTTTATTTATTTATTTAGAGACAGAGTTTCACTCTGTCACCCATGCTGGAATGCAGTGGCGCAATCTCAGCTCACTGCAACCTCCGCCTCCCGGGTTCAAGTGATTCTCCTGTCTCAGCCTCCTGAGTAGCTGGGACTACAGGCACCTGCCACCACGTCCGGCTAATTTTTTTTTGTATTTTTAGTAGAGACAGGGTTTCACTATGTTGGCCAGGCTGGTCTCGAACTCCTGACCTCCAGTGATTGACCCGCCTCAGCCTCCCAAAGTGCTGGGATTACAGGCGTGAGCCACTGCACCCGGCCTAGTACACAGTTTTTAACTTTGATAAACATTGCCAAATTCCTCTCCAGGAAGGCTGTATTAATTTGTATTCCCTCTGAGAAAGTATAAGACTAAATTACCCCCTCTCTTGCCTAATTGGCTATCATCATTTTTTGTATTTTCTGGGAGTAAGTTCTTAGAAAGTTTTGTAAGGGACACTTACATTAAACCAGGACATCTCCCTGGTAACAATAAAAGCATGGAGAAAGGACCAGGGAAGGAGAAAACAGGTATAAAGTTCCCAGAGACCCCACTAGGTTTTCTACCTGTGCGATCCTAGATTAAAACCACTTGTTTTGATTTCAGGAAATTAGGGACAAAATAAAAATCTCAGCCTGAACTGGACCTTGTAGAAATTATCCCTGCTTGAGCAATAAGCACTCTAAATTCAGTCTGTTTAGAAAGATTCCTGCCCGTTAGCCAGGTGTGGTAGCACAGGCCTCAAGTCCAAGCTGCTCAGGAGGCTGAGGAAGGAGGATGCCTTGAGCCCAGGAGTTTGGGGCTTCAGGCAACAACAGCAAGAGCCCATCTCTAAAAAAGAAAGAAAAGGAGAGAGAGAGAGAGAGAGAGAGAGATGAGAGAGAGAGAAAGATGAGAGAAGAAAAGAAAAAAACAGTCCAGCCAAGCTAAAAGTTAGCTTTCAGAATAAAGTCAGAAAATAACTCCAGATTTTGGTAGCGTTGTGTTGATACGAAGCAAAAGATTTGGCCTTATTCTTAGGTCAGGCTTTCCTTGGAAGCTCTAGTTCTTCTCAGCTGTAACAGCAAAAGCCTAAATTCCATTATAGACTCTTTATTTCCTTTATATAACCTCTCTTCCCCCAGTCTTATTTTAATAATGATTCAAAAAGAGTTCCAGCATTAAAAAAAAGTAGTTTAACTCTTCACCCCCAAATGCAAGAAGGTGGTGAAAAGCAGAGGATGATGTTGAGTATCTTAAATAGCTGACATCATGTCAAACTATTAATTGTTGAAGTTATTTTTTTACACCTGAGTGAACATTTAGAAAATAATATAAATAGAAATTAAAGGGAAATAAATGCTAAACCGATGTTAGAAAATACTGTTTTCTGAAGTGTACAGTAAGTATCTTTTTGTATGTTTTTTTTTCTTTTTAATTTATTTATTGAAATGGAGTCTCACTCTGTCACCCAGGCTGGAGTGCAGTGGCGCGATCTTGGCTCACTGCAACCTCCGCCCTTTGAGTTCAAGCGATTCTCCTGCCTCAGCCTCCTGAGTACCTGGGATCACAGGCACCTGCCACCGCACCCAGCTAATTTTTTTTTTACTTTTAGTAGAGACGGAGTTTCACCATCTTGGCCAGGCTAGTCTTGAACTCCTGACCTCATGATCCATCCGCCTCGGCCTCCCAAAGTGCTGGGATTACAGGTGTGAGCCACCATGCCCAGCCTTTTATTTATTTATTTATTTTTGAGAAGGAGTCTCACTCTGTCGCCCAGGGTGGAGTGCAGTGGTGCAATCTCTGCTCACTGCAACCTCTGCCTCCCAGGTTCAAGCGATTCTCCTGTGTCAGCCTCCCGAGTAGCTGGGATTACAGGCATGCGCCACCGCACCCAGCTAATTTTTATATTTTTAGTAGAGACGTGGTTTCACCATGTTGGCCAGGCTGGTCTCAAACTCCTGACCTTCGGTGATCCACCCACCTCGGCCTCCCAAAGTGCTGGGATGACAGGCATGAGCCGCTGCACCCAGCCTCAAAGTGTATAGTAAATATCTAAACAAATGAAAGGGACAAGATATAGAAGGAATCTTAGGATCAGCTGAGAGATAATTGAATACTTTCCTAAAAGAACACAATACTGGAAGGGATGGGGCTTTGTGGGACAATTGCTATTTTGAATTCTTAGGTGTCCAACTTTACAACCAAGGTTTACAAATATTTTAAATGGTGATTTAGTCAGCAGAAGGGAAGACTCAAATAGAACATAATTAGCTTAAGCTTACCTCTAGTTGTAGAGTATACAGGTTTTGACCTCAAAATTTGAAAAATCGCAATTTTTATCTAAGTGCAATCAAGTTTTCCTTATTTGGGGATGGCCATAATTGTCTCTCATGGCAACTCAACTGTATGCAACATTGAACCATCCTTTGTTGCAAAGGAACCTGCCTGGGCCTGCTTCCTGTTAGATAAATGGTCCCAACTGGCATAACTTACAAGTTTGGTACATAAACTATCTGATTACAATACTAACGCTATACGTGAGCAGGTAGTAAAATATGGGCATTTACATCATTTATTCACCAAGAACTGTAATTAGGCATTTTCTTTCTCTTTTATTATATTTTAAAATTTAATATAGAGACAGGGTCTCACGCTGTCCCCCAAGCTAGAGTGCAATGGTGCAACCATTATTCACTGCAGCCTGAACTCCTGGGCTCAAGTGATCTTCCCACCTCAGCACCACCACGCCTGTCTTGTTTCTGTTTTACATGCTCTTGGCTAGTTTCTGTTTCCCACTGGTGTTAGGGTTTTAACTTCTGTTGATTCACAGGATGCAGGTGGGGGAGAGATGGCAAGGGGGAAAATATGAATTTGATTACTCAAGTGGAACAAGGTGAAACCATTAGTTTAAAATAATTTTAGGCTGAAAAATTAAAATCATTAAATTATTTCCTTCATGCTGTTATTACACTGTTTTTGTATTAAAGAAGTAAGCATAAATATGAGGATTGTATATTATTTCTATTCTGGCTATTTTTAGAATCATGGCTAAGAATTGGCATGGATCTCAGAATGACTGATTTGGAGGCTTTAGCATCTGGTCAAAAATGAGGAAACATCTGGACAGACAGGGCAGAAGATTTGTACAAGGCCGTGGTCAGGAAGGAATTTCAGGTCTACTGTCTTCCATCTCTACATTCTACCTTTTAGACCCTTCAAAAGAATAAGTGCTTATTTCAAAAATCTGTGTCCTTGCTCATGTGTTTAAATAATGACAGTTCCTGTAGTGAGGATTTTTGTATGCAGATGTGACCTAAGACTAGGTCCAACGTCACTTACATCCTGCATCCATGTTAGACCTGTCTCTGTGCTTCAGGTTGCTGTCACTCTTTGTAGAGCCTGATGCTGTTTGTGATGACCTTGGCCTCACTTTCCACTCAGTGCCACCCTTCTCTGGGTGCAGTGTGCAAAATGAGTAAGTTGGCTGCCACATGGGGCTTCCAGGCTGTCCACAGTACCCAGATAGCCAGCACATTATTCTCATCCTAGCTGGACAACCATTGACCCAAGCTTGGGTCTCGGGTTCTTGGTGACAAGTTGTTATAAATGGAGAACCGATACCGGGGCACGGTGGCTCACGCCTATAATCCAAGCACTTTGGGAGGCTGAGGCGGGCGGATTGCTTGAACTCAGGAGTTCAAGGCCAGCCTGGGCAACATAGGGAGACCCTGTCTCTACTACTAATAAAAAAATTAGCCAGGCATGGTGGTGCATGCCTGTGATCCCAACTACTCAGGAGGCTGAACTTGGAGGTCGAGTCTGCAGTGAGGCTGTGTTTGTGCCACTGCACTCCATCCTAGGTGACAGAGCAAGACCCCCTCTCAGAAATTAAATAAATAAATAAAAATTTTTGAAATGGAGAACTGAGAAAAGGAACACTAATGCAGTTGTGTTCCCATGGAAGATAGTCAAACAAAGCTAAACATAGCTGGAGTAAGAGAACCAGTGGCTGCTAACAGACGTGGAACTGTGCAACTGAACTAACCCCAAGGCTTACTCCCTCCCTGGGGAGTTGAGGCCAGAAACATTTTCTGTAGCATCTGTGGCAGAGCTGTGGGGCCTTTCTGGCTCAACTGGGAAGGAAGGTGACGGCTGTTGTTCTTCAAGGAATCGCTTTCCTGCCTCCTGAAGGGAATCACCAGGGCCTAGATTCTGGAAAGGGAAGGGAAAGTGGAGAACACAAAAAGGAAACGTTTTCTTGTTCTCCCATGAGATTCATGTGCATGTCCCCAAGCAGATTGCCAGAGGAAATGAAGGTTCTTTAAAAATAATAAATAAATAAATTCTGGCCCAGCACAGTGGCTCACACTTGTAACCCAGCACTTTGGGAGGCTGAAGCAGGAGGACCACTTGAGCCCCGGAGTTAGAAACCAGCCTGGGCAACATAGCAAGACCCTGTCTCTACAAAAATGTTGAACAATTAGCTGGGTGTGGTGCACACAGCTGTAGTTCCAGCTACTCAGGAGGCTGAGATGGGAGGATTACTTGAGCCCAGGAGTTCAAGACCATCCTGGGCATGATGGTGAGACCTCATCTCAATTTAAAGAAAAAAAAAATCCCTCCCATGCCTGTAATTCCAGCACTTTGGGAGGCTGAAGTGGGTGAATTGTTTGAGCTCAGGAGTTCAAGACCAGTCTGGACAACATGGCAAAATCCTGTCTCTACAAAAAATTAGCGAGGCGTGATGGTGCACGCCTGTAGTCCCAGCTACTTGGGGAGCTGAGGTGGGAAGATCAATCGAGCCCAGGAGGTCAAGGCTGCAGTGAGCCGAGATCATGCCACTGCACTCCAGCCTGGGTGACCTTGTCTCAAAAAAAAAAACCCACCAAAATCCCTCCCTTAAAACAGAGTTCAGTGACGGTTGTCACTCTGTGCAAAAATGAACTTGCCCAGTGGGTTTATATTTACTATCAACCAATATCAGCCTATGAATAGCAGAAAAAGGCAAGTAAGGCCATGTAACATTTCATTTTTTCCTGGAGCCCCAGGCTGACCCTGGTTTGGCTGGCCAGGGTGGGACTAAAGGTGAGGCTCCAAATCATCTGGGTACAGGCGGACCACATAGACCAAGAAAGTGCCTTTCAAACTGCCACATTTGTAATCCTAGCTACTCAGGAGGCTGAGGCAGGAGGATCCTTGAGCCCAGGAGTTCAAGACCATCCTGGGCAACATATTGAGACCCCATCTTGAATGAATGAATGGTGCCTTTCCCCAGACTTCCTTTGAATTGAAAGAAAACAAGTCACTTCATAAGTTACTTTATGAACCATTAAAACTGGATACAGCCATTTGCTGGGTGGCGTACCACCGCTTCAAATATCACTTATAGGGAATTTAGGGAAAAATCTTTTCCCCTAATATCAGGAAGTTTAAAAATAAGTAACCAGATAATCTGGGGCCAGGAGCATGTAGTGGGAGAGTTATCAGGCCCACCCAGTTCCCTGAGACAGGTGGAAAAAACTGACCCTTCTCTTCATCAGTTCTTATAGATGTAATTTCAACAAATGGGAAAGGATAATGCAAAACCCTTCCTTGTCCCTGTACACATGGGGAAGAGTTGAACAAAATGCTAGGGGAATTTGGCTCTGAAGGTCCCTGAATAGCTTGAGAGCTCTCACTGGGGACCCATCCCTGGGAGAATCAACTTGCATCACCTTTGGGCAACCACCCCTGGAACCATAACAGAAGGGGCAAGACCAAGCAAGTCCCTATTGCCTTGAGTGAGTCCTGGAAGAAAGTGGTTACTGGGGTAACCACAGCCTGTGCCATTCTTTACAGCCCAAATGCCATCCCTAGTTTTGCACCTAGAAGTTTAGCCATTAATTGTGTTCATAGATTTAGGGGTCCATGTGCATGTTTGATACTTTAGGTATATTGTGTGATGCTGACATTTGGCATATGAATGATTCTGTCACCCGGGTAGTGAACATAGTACCCAGTAGTTAGTCTTTCAACCCCAGTAGTCCCTAGTAGCTATTATTGCCGTCTTTATGTCTATAAGAATCCACAGTTTAGCTCCCACTTGTAACATGTGGTATTTGGTTTTCTGTTCTTGCATTAATTTGCTTAGGATAATGGCCTCCAGCTGCATCCATGTCGCTGCAAAGGATACGATTTTATTCTCTTTTATGGCTGTGTGATTTTTTCCCCCCCAGCTATTCTGGGAGCTACTCTCTTTAGGGTACCTTCGCATATGTAGTACGTTTTTCTCCTGTTAATCTGTGTATTGTCAGTTGATTCACAGGCCACCGACCAATTGGACCTAAATTGGTAGAGAAGTTTTTTCTCCCAACAGTTTATATAAATTTAGTTTATTAATTTTAACTGCTGCATAGTGTTCCATTTAGAATAGGCTGGAGGTTTTTGTTTTTGAGTTTCCTATTATAAACCAAAAACAAAATTCTAATCTCCCCAACCAACTGAATGTACCCCCTCAGCCAAGGGGATCCCAAAAAAAACCTGAAAAAGTTCAGGCCATGACAGGAAGAGGGGTGGTTAGAAGTTCAGGCCATGACAGGAAGAGAGGGGGAAGGTCTCATTATATACCCTTCTCTTTTTGGAGTTTAGACCCAACTGACCAGCATTAACATTAAAACAGAGATTTTAAGACCGACAAAACAGACTCTTTGTAGCAATAAGATCAAATTCCAACCTGACTCTGATGTAACATCTCATGACAGACAGCAGGCCCGGAAGGAGATCAGAATATTTTACCCCAAAATATATTTCTTCGACATACTTTGAATGGCCCTGCAAAGCTGTCCCTTGTGGGGGAAATTTGCATTTTTTTAGAGAATCTCCTTCCTCTACTAGGTTTTTCCACAGAGTTTGACACCTTTTAGGTCAGATAAGAGACTGTCACATCTATTATCTCTGAAGCTTGTTCTTTGGAGGTTTCACCTACATGACAAAAACCTTGGCTTCCAAAACATTCCCCCCTTACCATAACTCAAGCTGACTTCAACTCTTCACTCAGAGCTTAACTCTTTGAACCAACTGCCAGTCAGGAAATCTCTCAATCCACCTGTGACCTAGAAACAGCCCCCAACTCCCACTTTGAGATGTCCCCCTATTCCAGGCCAAAACCAATGTATACCTTCCATGTATTGATTTATGTCTTTGCCCATAACTTCTGTCTCCCTAAAACCAAGCCGCAATCCCACCATCTTGGGCACATGTTCTCAGGACCTCCTGAGGCTGCAGCATGGGCCACGGTCCTTAACCTTGGCAAAGTAAACGTCTTAATCAATTGAGACCTGTCTCAGATGCTTTTTGGTTTACACTATCAATGAGTGGGTTTTTAGGTTGTCTTCAATTTTCCATTGCAAATAATGCTGCTGTGAACATCCTTGAACATGCATCCCTGTTTACATGTACAAATATATCTTAGAAAACAGGAATACTGTATCATGGGTTATGTGCTTTTTCTTTCTTTCTTTCTTTTTTTTATTGTAGACACTGTCAAATAGACTTTAGAGTACTAATAAATGTTTAACAACCAGTCTTCCAAAAAGAGGAAGTGGGGCTGATTTGTAGCATTTGCCAATTTCCATGGTGTGAATTCTTCCACCATGGCCGATTTCAAACTACTAATGAGACATGAATGCACAATCAGCTCTGTTAGCTGGTATGAAGTGGCTCCAGCATAGTTCTCAGAATCTCTCAAACTCAGAATGCATATAAATATTGGCAAATAGCCCTCTAAAGTAGCCCAACCAATGTATACTTTCACAAGCAGTGTATGAGAATATCTACAGTCATGCTCCGCGTAACGATGTTTCAGTCAATGACAGATGACATGTGTGACAATGGTCCCATAAGATTATAATGGAGCTGAAAAATTCCCATCACTAGTGTCATAGCACATTATTTATGTGTTTGTGGTGATGCTGGTATAAATAAACTACTGCACTGCCAGTCATATAAAAATATAACACAATTATGTGCAATACATAATACTTGATAATAAGTGTGTTACTGGTTTATGTACTTACTATACTGTGCTTTTTATCTTTTAAGTATACTCTCTACTTATTAAAAAAAAAAAAAAGTCCTTTCCACGCTACCTGCAGAGGGGTCCATACGGCGTTGTTCTGGATTCCCATCGTAACTTAAAGGGAAACTTTCACAATGTCCGGAGCCCTTGATGTCCTGCAAATGAAGGAGGAGGATGTCCTTAAGTTCCTTGCAGCAGGAACTCACTTAGGTGGCACCAATCTTGACTTCCAGATGGAACAGTACATCTATAAAAGGAAAAGTGATGGCATCTATATCATAAATCTGAAGAGGACCTGGGAGAAGCTTCTGCTGGCAGCTCGTGCTATTGTTGCCATTGAAAACCCTGCTGATGTCAGTGTTATATCCTCCAGGAATACTGGCCAGAGGGCCGTGCTAAAGTTTGCTGCTGCCACTGGAGCCACTCCAATTGCTGGCCGCTTCACTCCTGGAACCTTCGCTAACCAGATCCAGGCAGCCTTCCGGGAGCCACGGCTTCTTGTGGTTACTGACCCCAGGGCTGACCACCAGCCTCTCATGGAGGCATCTTATGTTAACCTACCTACCATTGCGCTGTGTAACACAGATTCTCCTCTGCACTATGTGGACATTGCCATCCCATGCAACAACAAGGGAGCTCACTCAGTGGGTTTGATGTGGTGGATGCTGGCTCGGGAAGTTCTGCGCATGCGTGGCACCATTTCCTGTGAACACCCATGGGAGGTCATGCCTGATCTGTACTTCTACAGAGATCCTGAAGAGATTGAAAGAGAAGAGCAGGCTGCTGCTGAAAAGGCAGTGACCAAGGAGGAATTTCAGGGTGAATGGACTGCTCCAGCTCCTGAGTTCACTGTTACTCAGCCTGAGGTTGCAGACTGGTCTGAAGGTGTACAGGTGCCCTCTGTGCCTATTCCCTACTGAAGACGGGAGCGCTCAGCCTGCCACGGAAGACTGGTCTGCAGCTCCCACTGCTCAGGCCACTGAATGGGTAGGAGCAACCACTGACTGGTCTTAAGCTGTTCTTGCATAGGCTCTTAAGCAACATGGAAAAATGGTTGATGGAAAATAAACATCAGTTTCTAAAAAAAAAAAAAGTTAACTGTAAAACAACCTCAGGCAGGTCCTTCAGGAGGGATTCCAGAAGAAGGCAGTGTTATCATAGGAGATGACAGCTCTATGCGCGTATTGCCCCTGGAGACCGTCCAGTGGGACAAGATGTAGAGGTGGAAGACAGTGATATTGATGATCCCGACCCTGTGTACACCTAGGCTAATGTGTATTTGTGTCCTGGTTTTTGACAAGAAAAAATTAAAAAGTAAATAAATTTTTAAAAATTTTAATAGGAAAAAAGCTTACAGAATGAGACTATAAAGAAAATATTTTTATACAGCTGTACAGTGTGTTTGTGTTTTCAGATAAGTGTTATTAAAAGAGAGCCAAAAAGTTAATTACAGTGAACTAAGGTTAAATTTATTGAAGAAAAATTTTTTAATTTAGTGTAGCATAAGTGTATAGTGTAAAGTCTACAGTAGGGTACAGTAATGTCCTAGGCCTTCACATTCACTGACATCTCACACACTGACTCACCTAGAGAAACTTCCAGTCTTGCAAGCTCCATTCAGATAAATACCCTAGACAGGTATACCATTTTTTATCTTTTACACCGTATTTTTACTGTATCTTTTCTGTGTTTAGACAGACAAATACCATTGTGTTACAGTTGTCTACAGTATTCAGTACAGCAACATGCTGTACAGGTTTGTAGCCCATAAACTCTACCATGTAAGTAGGCTGTACTGTCTAGGTTTGTGTAAGTACTCTGTGATGTTCACACAATGATGAAATTGCCTAATGATGCACTGCTCAGGATGTATCCCCGTCATTAAGCAACGATGACTGTATTTCCCATTATCCTTGTCAGTGCTTGGTAATACCATAATTTTTGCCAGTATGATGAGTCAAAACTCATTTTTGCATTTTTCCCAATCATTGGTGAGATTGAGCGTTTTTGTTTTTCTTTTATGTCTTTGCTACTTTTATTTCCCTTTCCATGAAATGGTCTTTTGCCTTTTGCCTGGTTTTCTTTTCTTTCTTTCTTTTGAGACAGGGTCTCGCTCTATCGCCCAGGCTGGAGGGCAGTGGCATGCGATGACAGCTCACTGCAGCCTCAACCTCAGGTGATTCTCCTATCCCAAGCCTCGCAAGTAGCTGGGGCTACAGGTGTGCGCCACCATGCCCAGCTAATTTTTTGTTACTTTTATAGAGACGGGGTTTCACTCTGTTGCCCAGGCTGGAGTACAGTGGCGCCATCCCGTCTCACTGCAACCTCCACCTCCCAGGTTCAAGCGATTCTTCTGCCTCAGCCTCCCTAGTAGCTGGAATTACAGGCATGTACCACCACACCCGGCTAATTTTTTGTATTTTTAGTAGAGACAGGGTTTCACCATCTTTACTAGGCTAAGCTGGTCTCGAACTCCTGACCTCAGGTGATCTGCCTGCCCTGGCCTCCCAAAGTGCTGGGATTATAGGTGTGAGCTACCACGCCTGGCCCTGTTTTTCTTTTGGTATTTTTCTGTTGATTTGTTGCAGCCCTTGATGTAGCCTGGAAACAATTGTCCATCAAGAAGTTTTCAATCTATTTTAGAGAGTGAAGTGGGAGGAATATTCTCAAATGTTATTGAGCACTTGCTATATGAAAATACCTTTCAAGGACTGGGACTGAGAGAAAAGAGTATACATTGTGTACATCAAACCCTATTACCGATTTAACACTGTGGTAGTGTCAGTTGAACACACACACACACACACACACACACACACACCAGTGATATAAATAAAAACTAATTACTAGGAGTAGTGAAGAAAATAAATTGCATTTTGGCTCAGTCTGCCTATTTGTGATTTTTTTCACAAGCATCCTATTGGTCCTCATCTCCTTTGGGACACTGAGGTCACTGGATTATTTTTCTGGAGGGAATTCATCAGCACTTCTTATTCTCACTGAGGTTTCTATGGAGTCTTCCTGTGAGGCTTATCCCTCATCTCCCTACCTGTCACATTGGCCCTGATCTCAAAAGGTGGAGTGGTTTCTCTTCCCAGGCTGTTTCTTCTGAAAATGACTGGCTGCCCCACCAGCGGGCTATCCTCTGGGATAAGTTAAGGATGCACCATTTTTCTGGGGTGTGGACAATTCCCAGAATCCCTCAAATGCAGATGCAGGAGGTGGCCAGTTTTTACAAAGGCAGGGCTGTGTAGGAGGAAACATAGGTGTTATCTTAGATGGGAGTGATTATTTGCTAAATGCAATTTTGACTGCTTCTAATTTGCTGCTCAGAGATTCCGTCCTTGAACCAAACACCAAAATTTTTAAGTTGAAAAGATTGAAATAGCATCAGGTAGTAATGCAGATGTTATAGAGGACAACTCTTGCATCTTTCAATTCCTTGGTAGTTTTGCCACCCCCATCCCTCATCCTTTACTGGTTTTAGTGAATTCTGAAAGGGGACTTTGATTCTCTGAATGGCACCAAGATAGAAAATGGCTTTGGTAACATCTTAGAGCAGTGAGTAGTTCTTAACCAGGGATGGACATCAGAATCCCCCAGGGAGTATCTACTAAACACCAGGCCTGCTGAATCAGAGTCTGGGTGAAAGGCAGGCACATGTAGTTAGGAAAAGCTCTGGATATGATTCAGCTGTGCCTTCATGACTAAGAGCCACTGCTCTGTTCTACTGCCATTCTGTGATAAGATCAGTACAAACCTTCAGGGTAAGTGTTCAGAAACATTTACAGCAAATTCACAGAGTATGTCTATTAAATGTAATAAGTTTGAGCTTGTATTTTGCATGTATTTTACTTTGTTTTATATTTTACAAAATTACCAGTCTGTGATGAATTGGAAATGTTAAAAATCAACCTTACTCACAGTTTGAGAAGCACTGTTCTTGGCTTGTTTAGTTGTATCCAAGTCAGACAGGCACAATTAAAAATTACCTGGTAATAAAGTAAATAATTAAGGCCGGGCACAGTGGATCACGCCTGTAATCCCAGCACTTTGGGAGGCTGAGGCACACCGATCACTTGAGCTCAGGAGTTTGAGACCAGCCTGGCCAACATGACAAAACCCCATCTCCACTACAAATAAAAAAATTAGCTGGGCATGGTGGTGGGCGCCTGTAATCCCAGCTACTCGGGAGGTTGAGGCAGGCAAATTGCTGGAGCCCGAGAGGCGGAGGTGCAGTGAGCCGAGATCACGCCACTGCACTCCAGCCTGGGTGACAGAGCAAAACTCGATCTCAAAAATAAATAAATAATAAATAAATAAATGAGAGGCCATTAGACTCAGACTTCTCTAGTGCCTTAGGTTCCTTTCTAAGCAAATCAAAACCCAACTCAAAGTGGCCTAGGAAAACAAAACTTAAGCATAACCAGTCAAAACCTGCTAACCTCTAACTAGAAACTACCAATCAGAAACCACCAACTAGCCTCTAACTAGGGACTTCCACTTCAACGAATCAAATTGTGGTTTGGCAATGTCCAATTCATGAATCGCGGTCTCAAACCTTTTTAAAATTTTAATGTGTCTAAGTTTATCTAACACTGGTTTGGTAGCCTTGTGATCCTGGTGAGTAACTCTCTAGGTATCAGTGACCTCCTCTGGTGGGTCTTTGAGAGAATTAGAGATAATGAATGTATCCAAAGCACCCAGCACCATGCCTGACATTCACAAAAGTTATAGAAGCCCATCGTAAAACAGTTCCTAACAAAACTGTCTTCCAATTAGTTGTTGAAGAACACACAGAATCCTAGAGGTTGGTGACTGCTGCATCATATTGTAACCAACCCAGAGTGCACAGGATAACAGATTTGTGCAGCCTCTCTAAACAGTTTAACTTGGAGTTCAGCCATGGGGAAGGGAGCTTAGTGGCCATGGCACTATAGTACAAACCTCTGGTTAGCAGACCTCTCCCCAGTCGCTCCTTCCTGGCTCCTCTCTCACATTCCCCTTTCCCTTCTCTTTCGTACCCTACTGGGCCTTCCCCCAAGGTCTCAACTGTTTTTATTTCTTCCCTCTAGCACAATCATTTTCTGTTCCTGATGGAACAATGAGAAGGGTGGGGGATGAAAATTTCTGGCCACCGTGCTCTGGCCTCCTGTTCAAGCATCTAAAAATAAGCAGATCATTCACGCTGGGCCAAATGACCTCCGCTGGCATACTCCTGTGCCCTTGTTGTGCTAAAAGAGAATCTATCTCTTCCTTTGACTTTCATTACAAAAAGCCTCTTTCTCTAACCTTTGTTTTATGTAGGTGCCATTATTATTACTGGGAGCAGTGTTGTGTGATAAATACAGGTGCTTTGGAAACAGCAACTTTGGATTGGATTCCGACTCTGCCTCTTACTTGTGTGGCTTAGGGAATTTTTTATTTTTTAGAGACAGGGTCACACTCTGTCGCCCAGGCTGGAGTGCAGTGGCATGATCATAGCTTAAGTGATCCTTCTACCTTGGCCTCCTGAGTAGCTGGGACCCGCAGGCACGTGCCACCAGGCCCAGCTAATTTTTTTTAAGCGTTTTGTAAAGATGAGATCTTACTATATTGCCCAGGCTGGTCTTGAGCTCCTGGGTGTAAATGATCCTCCTGCCTCAGCCTCCCAAAGTGCTGGGATTACAGAGATGAGTCACCATGCCTGGCCTTAGTTAAGAGTTTTTAATTCAAATCAGTATTGAATCCCCAGTATTTCCTGTAAACCAGAAGTTAGATCTAGAGTCTTTATTCATATTAAAATTTTTGGCAAGAATACATCATAGTTTTCTTGAACCTAAGTTCCTACACAGATTTAACTCTAGCAACAGGCTGCTTTGCTTCTCCATCTTCCCTCTGCTCACCTCCACGGACTGAGTCATCCTTCAGGCCTTCCTTTGGACGTCACTTTCTCAGGGAAGCTGCCCTGACCGCCCATGTTTAGCATGTAGGTTCATTCCTGCCATGGCATCACCACAGGGGATTGTAATTGCCTGCCTGCCATTTGGAGAACTTCTTGTAGCTCACCTCCCTTGCCCTGCCTTCCACTAATCCTTCCCTCTCACCACACACATCCCCCTGCTTTTCTATGAGAGGTATGCTGCCCATCCTTCAGTCCTCACCTCACATGGCACACCCCTAGGTCAGGTTTCCCATGATACTGAGCCATACTCTCCTGTGCTTTTTTTTTTTTTCCCATAGCATTTATCACAAGTTATTTCTGGATTTTCTTTGTTACGAATATTTGCCTTGTACTTTAGACTGTAAACTTGTTGGTCTTTGCTTAATGCTGTATCCCCAGCACCTAGCATGGTGCCTGGCTCCTCATGGCAGTTACTACATATTTATTGGATGATAAAGGGTGCTATTGCATTCTTTTATCTCCTTTAGGACAGAAACTACCTTATTGATGTTTGTGGCCTTGGTGTCTAGCTGGTACACCAGGCCCACCACAAGATATGGTTGCCCAGGTACACAAGTCCTTCATTGTATGAGAGAGAAATGTAGAAATGTAGAAAAATAGGCCAGTAGGGAGGCCAGTAAGAAGGAAAAATAAGTCTCTATCAGCTGTGAACTATTCTTGCCAAAAGCATTTAACCAGAATCTAATCAAGCCTTTAGACCTAATTTCTAGTTTACAAGAAATGCAGGGATAGAAGAACATATTTGGTAACACCATGAAGAAGTGATCAACCACATCCAGAATGTCAGACATTCTGCAGTACGATGTGTTTGAACAAAGGTCATAACAAGAAAAAAGAAGCTAGCCAGGTATAGTGGCTCACACCTGTAATCCCAGCACTTCGGGAAGCCAAGGCAGGAGGATCACTTGAGGCTAGGAGTTTGAGACCAGCCTGGGTAAGATAGCAAGACCTTGTCGCTACAAAAAAATTAAAAGTAAATAAATAACTTTAAAAATTAAAAGATTCAAAGATGGCCGGGTGCGGTGGCTTACGCCTGTAATCCCGGCACTTTGAGAGGCAGATCACCTGCGGTCAAGAGTTCGAGACCAGCCTGGCCAACATAGCGAAACACCATCTCTACTAAAAATACAAGCTGGGCATTGTGGCAGCCGCCTGTAATCCCAGCTACTCAGGAGGCTGAGGCAGGAGAATCGCTTGAACCTGGAAGGAGGAGGTTGCAGTGAGCCGAGATGGAGCCACTGCACTCCAGCCTAGGTAACAGAGGAAGATTCCATCTCCAAAATAAATAAATAAATAAAAGATGCAAAGATTATTCTAGATTAAGAGATTGTAGAGACACACCATCCAAATACATAATATTATCCTTGACTGGATATAGTTAGAAAAAGACAATTACAAAAGACATTTTGAATACACTGGAGAAGTTGAAATATGGACCGTAAATTAGATGATATAATAATTAGAGTTATTGTTACTTTTCTTGGATATGTAGAAAATTGACCTTATTCTTAGAAGATGTATAATGAGGGGCTGGATGCGGTGGCTCGTGCCTGTAATCCCAGCACTTTGGGAGGCTGAGGCGGGTAGATCCCCTGAGATCGGGAGTTTGAGACCAGCCTGACCAACATGGAGAAAACCCGTCTCTACTAAAAATACAAAATTAGCAGGGTGTGGTGGCACATGCGTGTAATCCCAGCTGAGGCAGGAGAATCACTTGAACTCAGGAGGCGGATGTTGTGGTGAGCTGAGATTGCGCCATTGCACTCCAGCCTGGGCAACAAGAGCAAAACTCCGTCTCAAAAAAAAAAAAGTGTATAATGAAATATTTAGGTATAAAATGTCCTGATGTCTGCAACTTATTTTCAAATGATTCAGGAAAAATCACATTCATATATAAAGCAAATGGTCAAATATTAGCAGCTGTTGAATCTGGGTGGAAGATATGCAAAGTTTTTTGACTGTTGGTTTTGGGTTTTTGGAAATTATTTTTGGTCAGATTAATTAGGTATAATTTACAAAGTAAAATGTACCCATTTAATTGTAAAGTTTTATGAATTTTGACAAACACATGCAATTGTATAACTACCATCATAATCAACACATAGAACAGTTTATCATCCCTAGAATTCTCCCTTGCCCCTTTGTAGTCATCTCCTCACCCTACCCCCTACCCCTTGTACCACTGATCTATGCAACATTTCTATAGTTTTGCCTTTCCCAGAATGTCATACAAATGGAAGCACATAGTATGTTGCCTTTTAAGTCTGGCTTCTTTCACTTATACATTAGTTTGCTAGGGCTGCTGTAACAAAACAACACAAACTGGGTGACTTCAAACTATAGACATGTATTGTCAGCCAGGCGCGGGTGGCTCATGCCTGTAATCCCAGCACTTTGGGAGGCCAAGGCGGGCAGATTACCTGAGGTCAGGAGTTTGAGACCAGCCTGGCCAACATGACAAAACCCCGTCTCTACTAAAAACACAAAAATTAGCGGGGCATGGTGGTATGTACCTGTAATCCTAGCTACTCGGGAGGCTGAGACAGGAGAATCACTTGAACCCAGGAGGCGGAGGTTGCAATGAGCCGAGATGATGCCACTGCACTCCAGCCTGGAAGACAGAGCGAGACTGTATCAAAAAAAAAAAAAAAAAGAAAAAGAAAAGATAAAAGAAAGTATTGTCTCATTCTGGATGCTGGAAGTCCAAAATTATATTGTCGGAAGGACCATGCTTTCCCAAAGGCTCCAGGAAGAATCTGTTCCATTCCTTTCTCTTAGCTTCTGGTGTCACCAGCAATCTTGGCATTTTTTTACCTTGTGCCTGCGTAACTCCAATCTCCACCTCTCATTGCATGGCATTTTTCCTGTGTGTCTCTTTATAAGGACATCAGTCATATGGGACTAAGGGCCCACCTTATTTGAGTATGACCTCATCTTAAGACATTATATCTGCAGTGACCCTATTTCCAAATAAGATCACATTCTGAAGTGTTAGAGAGTTAGGACTTACTATTTTTGGGAGGACACAATTCAACCTTTGACACTTAGCTTAAGACGTTTGAGATTAATCCATGTTTTTGCATGTGTCAGTTTATTCCCTTTTTATTGCTGTGTAGTATTCCACTGTTTGGATGTATTGCTCTTTGTTTATCCACGTATCAGCTGAAAGACATGTAGGTTGTTTTCAGTATTAGGCAATTATGAATAAAGCCACTATAAACATTTGCCTGTGGATTTTTGTGTAAACACAAATTTTCACTTCTCTTGGGTAAATATTGAGGAGTGAGATTATGTTTAACTGTTTAAGAAACTGCTAAACAGTTTTCCAGGATATTTTCAGTTCCCAGTAGCGATATATGAGAGTTCTAGTTCTTCATGTTTTCACCAACACTTGGTATTGCTGACTTTTCTAATGATAGCCATTTTAATGAGTATGTAGTGGTATCATGTAATGGTTTTGATTTGCATTTCCCTAGTGACTTATGATGTTCAGCATCTTTTCATGTGCTTATATGCCATTTGTATGTCTTCTTTTTTTTTTTTTTTTTTTTTGAGACAGAGTCTCACTCCGTTGCCGAGGCTGGAGTGCAGTGGCGCAAACTCGGCTCACTACAAGCTCTGCCTTCCGGGTTCACGCCATTCTCCTACCTCAGCCTCCTGAGTAGCTGGGACTACAGGCCCGTGCCACCACGCCCGGCTAATTTAAAACACTGTTTTTAGTAGAGATGGGGTCACCACGTTAGCCAGGATGCTCTCAATCTCCTGACCTTGTTATCTGCCCACCTCGGCTTCCCAAAGTGCTGGGATTACAGGCGTGAGCCACCGCGCCTGGCCTGTATGTCTTCTTTAGTGAAGTGTCTGTTCGGATCTTTTGCCCATTTTTATTAGGTTATCTATGTTCTTATTGAGTTTTGTGAATATTAAAAATATTCTCCATATAAGTCCTTTATCAGATATGTATTTTAGTTTTATTTATTTATTTATTTTTTTGAAATGGAGTCTCGCTCTGTCGCTCAGGCTGGAGTGGAATGGCGCCATCTCCGCTCACTGCACACTCCGTCTCCTGGTTCAAGCGATTCTTCTGCCTCAGCCTCCCGAGTAGCTGGGATTACAGGCGCCCGCCACCACGCCCTGCTAAGTTTTGTATTTTTAGTAGAGACGGAGTTTCACCATGTTGGCCAGGCTGGTCTTGAACTCCTGGCCTCAGGTGATCCGCCCGCCTTGGACTCCCAAAGTGCTGGGATTATAGGCGTGAGCCAGTGTGCCCAGCCAGATATGTATTTTAAAAATATTTTCTTCCAGTCCATGGTTTGTCTTTTCCTTAACAATGTCTTTCAAGGAGCAGAAGCTTTTAATTTTGATGACATTCAATTTATCTTTATGGATAGTTTTTTTGATGTCATTTCATTGTATGTGTTTTTCAACTTTTCTCTGGGTTTGAAATCTTTTATAATAAAAAGTTGAGAGAAAAAGGCAGAAATAGCTATTTTGTTTTTTTTTTAAAGCAAACAATTACTAAAAGGCAAACAATAACATCCTCTTTATTTACCCTCCAATTCTGCTCCTTTCACAGAGGCAATCACTTTTAAACCCTTTAACTGTTTCTTCTTCAGCTCCTTATTTAATCAGTCTTTGAGGGTCAGGGAAGACACCTCCAGGACATACCAGGGTTCATGACAGGGAGCTTTGGATCTGCCCTGGGAGTGCCCTGAGGCTAGAGTGGGCAGTGACCCAGACTCCTCAGCAAGTGGGTTGATTCTGGCTGTGAAATGAGCACCCAGCTCTTGTTAAAAGCAAACTCTGAGACTGCAGAAGGTCCCCTGTTGTCCTTGGCGTCTGACTTGGTGTTCCCTCAGCCATTAACCACACTCCGAACCTCAGACAGTTGCCAGGCCTCCCTTCTTCAGCCAGACTTGGGCGGGAAGCCTGCTGAAACTGCAGAATGTGTGGCCAGAGAGGAGCCCTCAGCAAGGCAGGTAACTGTGTCATCTTGTTGGATGTCAAACTCATTCAAAAACAGATGAACAATGGGAATTCCAGCCTCCAAACTGGCTTCCTCTCTGCCTGCTTCCCAGCGGTGCTGCCATACACACCTCTCCTCTCTCCTGGGCAAGGATTTGCCTATCACTCACCACCTCTGCAGTCTTTGAAGTTGTTTTAAAGGACAATGAGAGAATAGGACGGCTCCCTGCAGGACGTTTTCCAGGTGGTAGCCTAGGTAGAGGAAGGCTTAAGACATCTTTTTGACTCCTTGCCCATTCCCTCTGGCTTCTCTTACTGCTACCTCACTCATTCTGCCTGAAAAGGAAAAGTTGGAAACAGATGCTAACTCAATCTGGGTCCTCGTTTCCTGGCTGAGCCTGTGTCAGATCTCCTGGGTTGGCCCTGTCATAAATTAGGCTCTGCATGGGCTTTGGAACAGGCCCTTCTAGATGGTCTTCAGAAGACCCCAACTCTGTTTTGAGTTCAACCCAACATTATCACTGGTCCAATAGTGGGCCTCTTCCTGGGAGAAGGTGCCTCTCTTTATCAGCTAGCCTTGAACCCTGCTGCATTTCTTCAGTACATGGGCAACAGACAGATGGAAAGTTTCTCCCACCAGCTCCAGGGTAGTTTTTGTGCATCACTGGCTTCCCACAGTTCTTTCCTTGCTAGCCTATCAGACCCTGTTTTATGCTGACTTTAACCATATTAGTTTCCCTGTGGCCTGTGTTCTCTCTCCTCAGTCAGCTTCAGGTACTTCCCCAGGACTAATTCCTGATTCTGGAGAACCTACTGAATACAGCCGATCTCCATCTCACTATTGCTACATGGTGGCTGCTCCCATGAAAACAACAGCTGGCAGTGGCACACTACTTTTCTATTTAGAAAGCACCATTTAATAGGATTTCATTTAATGTGCACCCTAACCTTGTGAAGTAGGTGCTGTTACTCCCTTTTTTCAGATGAAGACCCACCCAGCTAGTAAGGATTGATCTAACTCAGGCTTTCTGGGGAAAATAAGAAACATGTTTTTTATAGAGCATATCTCTGGAAGGATACAGAATAACTGAATTTCATGGGTGGCCTATCAGTAGAGGAGGACTGAGTGGCAGGGGACAGGAGTGGCAGGAAGACTTCCTATCATATGCTATTAGGTAAACTACGTTACTGTATTATCCATTTAAAACAAACAAAAATACCTGTGCCTGCCCTATTTCTTTAGTCTGATCTACTGACTCCTCTGTCCGGGACCAGCTTAATGAGCCACTCAGCTGAGTGCACCAAGAAAACATGACTCTGGAACGGGCAGTATTTTTGGTGTAAAATTAAAATACTAGCTCCAGTCTTCCATCACGAGTCCACTTTACGTTATAGACATATCCAATCCCCTTTAGGAGAAAAAAGAAGTTCTATTTTTATTTTCAAGGCAGGCCAGCGCCCAAGTTGTCTGGGCATGGTACTTCAGCCAGCCCAGTAGGCAGCCAGGACTGTGGGGTCATGAGAACTTCCACTCTCAGCCCCGGGAGGACCTGGGCCAATTATACTGCTAGAGGACTTTACAATTTTTTGGCAGGATGGGGCATTTTTCCCTCTATCAGATTCTTGGTCACATAAAGAATCAAGCTTGAGGGGTTGGGACTTCCAGAAGGACAGAGTCAGGAGCTCAGCTGACCCTCTCCGCAGCAAACAACAATTTGATGAAAATTATAAAAAAAAAAAAAAACTAAAAATTTCTGAGAATTGTCCCAAGGGGACACAGCAAACAAAGAGACATTCATTCAAGGAAATCTACTAAATCTTAGCAAGAACAAGGAGAGTCTATGGCATGTGAGACAGGAACAACCTTCTTTACCCCTTGCCCCAGCTTCATGTTCTGGAAGTTCTACCTCAGGAATGATAACGCCATGCAAGTAACAGACAAGGAGACCGGGGCCCCCTCTCCTGGAGCGCCCAGTCTGGTCTCCCAGTTTAACCCCAGGAGGGGAGGCTGCCAGTGTTTCTCTCTCCCTCCCCAGCCCTTGTTGCAGAGGCTCTGTGACAGACAAGTGCGTCAGAGGGGACCAGGTGTCCCTTCCCCTGCTCAGCCTTCATAGGGCAGAAGATCTACTCTGGTGCAGCAAAGAAACTGGATCACTCATCCATTGCTGGAGGGAATGTAAAATGGCACAACCATGCTGGAAATCAGTTTGGCAATTTTCTAAAAAAATTAAATATACGACTACCATACAACTCAGCAATTTCAACCCCAGGCATTTAACCCAGATAAATGAGGACATATATTCAAACCAAAACCTGTACACATATGTTTATAGCAGCTTTTCTTGTAATAGGTCAGAACTGGAAACAGCCCAGATGTCCTTCCACAGGTAAATGGTCAAACAAACTGGCCCATCCCAAGGTGCTCAGCAATAAAAAGCAACACTAGCACTTAACAACCTGGATGAATCTCCAGAGAATTTTGCTGAGTGAAAACAAGAACAATCCCAGAAGGTTATATACTCTATTGTTTCATGTGTATCACATTCTTGAAATGATACAATTTTAGAAATGAAGAAGAGATTAGGGGCTGCCAGGGGTGAGAAGGGGTAAGGGCAGGAGGGAAGTGGGTGTGGTTTTAAAAGGGAAACATGAGGGATCCTAGTGGTGATGGAAATGTTCTGTATCTTGACTGTATCAGTGGCAATATATTGATTGTCACATTGTACTAGTTTTGAAGGATGTTACCATGGGGAAAACTGGGTAAAAAATACACAGGATCTCTCTGTATTATTTCTTAGAACTGCATGTGAATTTATAATTACCTCAAAATAACAAGCTTATTTTAAAAAAATAGAAAAGGTTTGGAATAGACATTTGTCCAAAGAAGATATACAGATGGCCTATAAGTACATGAGAACATGCTTACATTGAGTCATTAGGAATATGCAAGTCAAAGCCACAGTGAGATAGGAGAACTATAATTAAAAGCCAGACAATAACAAGTATTAGGGAGGATGCAGAGAAATTGGAACCCTTATACATTGCTGGTGGGAATTTAAAATGCTGCAGCTAACATCAAGCAACAATATGGTATTTCCTCAAAATCACAAATATAGAGTTACCTTATGACTCAGTAACTCTACTCCCACATAGATATCCCCCAAAATGAAAATGAACATTCACCAAAACTGTTTTTCAGCAATAAAAAGGAATGAAGTACCAATACATGCCACAACGTGGATGACCCTTGAAAACATTATTCTTGGTGAAGGAAGCCAGTGACAAAATATTGAATTATTATATTTATATGAAATGCTCAGAATAGGCAAATCTGTAGAGACAAAGTAAATTAGTGGTTGCCTGGGGTCAATCTGTGTGACTGCTAATGGATATGGATTTCTTTTAGGGGGAATGGATGTTTAAAATTAGATTGTAGCTGGGCCCGGTGGCTCACGCCTGTAATCCCAGCACTTTGGGAGGCTGAGGCAGGCGGGATCACCTGAGGTCAGGAGTTTGAGACCAGCCTGACCAACATGGTGAAACCCCGTCTCTACTAAAAATACAAAAATTATCCATGCGTGGTGGCAGGCACCTGTAGTCCCAGCTACACGGGAGGCTGAGGCAGGAGAATTGCTTGAACCTGGGAGGCGGAGGTTGCAGTGAGCCGAGATCACGCCAATGCACTCCAGCCTGGCGACAGAGCGAGACTCCGTCTCAAAATAAATAAATAAATAAATAAATAAATAAATAAATAAATAAATAAAATAAAATTAGATTGTGGTAGTGGTTGCACAACTCTGAACTTACTAAAAAAATATTGACTTTAAATGGAATGCTAAAATGGACTTAAAGTAAGAACATTGAGTTTAAATTAAATTTACCCCTTAAATGGGTGAATAGTTAGGTATGTGAATTGTATCTCAATAAACATATTTTTTTAAAGGAACAACTTTGAATCCAAGCTATGTCTTTCTCTCTTCTCTCTCTCTCGTCTTCTTTTTTTTTTTTTTTTTTTTTTTCAAGAGATGATGGGGTCTTGTTCTGTTGCCCAGGCTAGAGTGCAGTGGCATGATCATGGCTCACTGCAGCCTCAACCTCCTGGGCCCAAGTGATCCTCTTGCCTCACCCTCCCGAGGAGCTGGGACTATAGGCATGGACCACCACGCCCCACTAATTTCAGTATTTTTTGTAGAGATAGGATTTCACCGTGTTGTCCAGGCTGGTCTCAAACTCCTGGGCTTAAGTGAGCCTCCTGCCTTGGCCTCCCAAAATGCTGGAATTACAGTGGTGAGCTACCCCACCTGGCCTCTCTCTTTTTAGAACTTTTTATTTCGAAACAGTTTCAAGGTCACAGAAAGTTGCAAGCTTCACCTCTTACTGACATTTTGCCTCTTTTTTAAGGACAAATTCCATCAGCTTTGGGCTGATGCATTCACTGGCTTTTTTGTAGTCATGTATTTCAGATTGTGTTGCTTACTCTACCCCAGTGGTTCCCAAACAGGACATCTGGCAATGTTGGGAGATATTTTTGGGTGGGAGTGGCACCTCCCTGCACCTAGTGAGTAGGAGCCAGAGATGTTGCTAAACACCCTACAATATGGAGGACAGCACTCTCAGCACAAAATTATCTGGACCAAAATGCTAATAGTGCTAAGTCTCAGAAACCTGCTCTATGCACTATATTTATCAAAAAGAGAAGTATTGCCAGTCGTGGTGGCATGCACCTGTAGTCCCAGCTACGTGGGAGGCTGAGGCAGGGGATCCCTGGGATCTAGACAAGGCTTTTCAGAGCTGGAGTTTGAGGCAACATAGCAAGACCCCGTCTCTAAAAAAAAATAAATTAGAGAAGTATAGTCTAATTAAACAGATTGGGGATTTTACTCAAAGATTAGGGTTTTGGAACATGTGGAGTGTTATCTGCTGTGATTTATTTATTAGTTTGTCTTTCAGTCAGCTCTCCTACCCTGAACATTGCCTCTTCCCTGAGGGGCTGGGCTTAAAGCGCTACAGCATCTGAGTACTAATGGGCACTTAAGCATTAGGAAAAGATGATAGGGCAGCAGCTAGGAAGTCAGGCAGCAGCATTAACATGGCCCAGGAAGTCAGTGGCTTGGGAGATCTGGTCCCGGTTTGAGGCAGCCCTGTCACAGCACTGGAATAAACCACAATCACAGAAGTTAAAGAACTCAAAGGGACATTTCACATGTGACGTTTTGTTACTGTGTTTCCCTCAAAAATGGTAGTAGTATGGCCATTTCCAGAGGCTGAACAGCTGAAGGGATGACTGCATGCTAGAATATCTCTACCTGCAACTAGCCAAGGCTTTTCAGAGCTGCATCGCCACCTTACCTGGTGAATATGCCTCTCCCAACTCTGCATAGTGGGCCTATGCAGGGTTTCTGTGGCCTCCAAGGAGATGGTAACCACAGAGGGAATCTTGGCTCTTCCAAAAGGCCTTCGCATAGGAAGTCGAAGCTTTCACCCACCATTAGATAGATGTATGTGTCATGACAGGCCTTGGGTGGGTAGAGGGGGGCACTGGTCAGGAACCCCTGAATCCTTTATTTCTGCAAATTTCCAGAAGGTCTAAGAATAGTATCCTGCTCAGAGAAGGCACTCAACAATTTTCAGCAAATATTTGAGTCTCTACTATGTTCCAGG
Source organism: Homo sapiens (assembly GCF_000001405.40). Classification (NCBI taxonomy): domain Eukaryota; kingdom Metazoa; phylum Chordata; class Mammalia; order Primates; family Hominidae; genus Homo; species Homo sapiens. Next base: position 62,162,810 of record NC_000002.12, read on the forward strand.
AATTGTATGAGGACACAGTAGTAGACAAGAGAGACAAGGCCCCTACCCTCAGATAGCATATATTAACAGGAGTACCTCAATATATATTTATTCATCAGTTGATTTAGCTGTCTCAGCTCTTAGTGGCTTAAACTGCATTTATTTATTTATTTATTTATTTTAGTTCTGGAGTCTGGGAAATCCAAGATCAAGGTGCCAGCTGATTTAATTCCTGGTGAAGGCTCTCTTTCTGGTTTGCAGACAGTGGCTTTCTCACTGTGTCCTCACATGGCAGAGAGGGAGAGGGAAAGAGAGAGATCTGACTTCTCTTCTTCTTCTTATAAGGACACTAATCCCATTAGGAGGGCTTCACCCTCATGACCTCATCTAAATCTAATTACCTCCCAAGGTGCTGCCTCCAAATACCAGCACATTGGGGGTTGGGGCTTCAACATATGAATTTAGGGGGAGGGACACAATTTAGCCATAGCACTGGCTTTATCACATCTTTGCAAGTTGTCTTCAGAATGTTTTTGAGATGAATAATGTTTGTGTGTGGGAGTAACAGAAGAGCCATCTGTATTGTTTTCTAGAAGGGGTGATAGCTATCAACTGGAGTCTTAAGACTACTGGAAAATCCTTCTTAAGATGTTTAAGTGGATAAGCCACTAAGAGCTTAGTAATTGAGAAGCAAGGAAACAGTGAAATGGAAAATACGGGAGTATAAATTGAACTTTGAAGACATCATATTAGAGAAGTCAGAAGACGGCTTTCTAAAAGAGTGTTGTTGCATTTGAGTAATAGAAGCTAAGAGCCAGGCATGGTGGTGCACCCTGTAGTCCCAGGAGACTGGGCTTAAGGGATCTCCCAGGGGGCTGCAGTGAGCTATGATCATGCCACTACTCCCCAGCCTGAGTGACACAGCAAGACCCTCTCTCTCTTGCTCTCTTTTCTTTTATTTTTAATAAGAAAGCTAAGCATATTCTTTAAAGTACGATCATTGCAGATGATAAATGCACATTTGGCCATGTCTATTTTTCTGCTCCTTTTAACTAGTTTTAGTTTTGTTTTCCTTTTTCTTGTCCTGTTTTATAGAGGAAAATATTTCAATTTTTAAATGTCTTCAAAGCTTTTTTGGAGTAGGGTAGGGTATAAAAAAATACTTAAAAACAATCAGACTAGTATGTGAACAATAGATGTCCCCTGGGGTGAAAGGCAGGAACAGCTAGGGTGGAGAAAGGTATGCTGGGAAGGACAGAAAGTCTCCTGATAGCATTATTCCTCTACGTGGTTCTGAGCACAGTGTTCTGTGTCATTCCAGACAAAACTGACCTTTAACTAAAGAGTTCTTTTTTAAAAACCAAGTACTTTTGATACATCAAGGCCCTCTGCTCCTTAGATAACGGAGATCCCTTAATTGGACAGTAATATGGTTTAATCCATATTCACAACTTTCAGGAAAAGGAACGTATTGTCTTAGGCTTGATACAATAGATCAAAGTGGAAGAAAATGAGATAGACTTGGGCGACAAACTAGAAATCTCCTTGAACACAATCCACTGGGGAGGGGTAGGGTGCTGTTCTCTCAGGTTGAAAATCAGTTCCATTTTGCCACAGGTGGGCAAGGGCCTTTGTTAGCTTTGCCCTGCTTCTTTACAAAACACAGGCAGAATCTGAACCCCTTTTTGGAGACCCAGAGAGTAAATACCCTTCCTTTCACCTGAAGCTTCAAACGGCTGACTTTGAGCCTCTGCTGGATCCAGACAGTAATTTCCTTCTTTAATGCTTCCATAAAGTTGGTTTTTCCCTCTGAGCTAGGTGGTCCACAGAGAAGCTTTCCCTGACACAGCTTCCTGTTAGGGGTGACCGGGGTCATCATCCAAAACGCATCCTGACTGCTGAGCCTGCAGGCTCTTAGGGCTGGAGAAATGGGCTCCCTCTCATGCTCTAGTCCTGCCTCTCCAGTCCCTCACATACAAGAGCTGGGTGTCCTCCATGCTCAGAAAGCCTTTCTTGGAGCCAGGCACACAGGAAATGTTAGCTAGTTAGCATTGGCTCTAATACTTTAATGTGTATATAGCTTTCCAAAAGAAAGTATGAACACAGCTATCAGAATGGCTGAAACAAAATTAGTGATAATTCCAAATGCCAGCAAGAGTGCAGAGAAACAGAATCACTCATGTATCACCGATGAGAATGTAAAATGCTACAGGTGCTCTGGAAAAACAATCTGGCAGTTTCTTACAAATTTAAACGTGCACTTACCATATGACCTAGCAACTGCACTCCTGAGAAATAAAAACCTATGCTCACACAATAACCTGTATATGAATGTTTATAGCAGCTTTGTTCATAATAGCCCAAAGTGCAAAAAAGCCAGATATCCTTTCACAGGTGAATGACTAAACAAACTTTGGTACATCTATAACATAGAATACTACACAACAATAAAAAGGAATGAACTATTGGCCAGGCACGGTGGCTCACACCTGTAATCCCAGCACTTTGGGACACCGAGGCAGGTGGATCGCCTGAGGTCAGGAGTTCAAGACCAGCCTGGCCAATATGGCAAAACCCTGTCTCTACTAAAAATACAAAAAATTAGCCGGGCATGGTGGCAGACGCCTGTAATCCCAGCTACTCAGGAGGCTCAGGCAGGAGAATCACTTGAACCCGGGGAGCAGAGGTTACAGTGAGCTGAGATCGCGCCATTTCACTCCAGCCTGGGCAAAAGAGTGAGATTCCATCTCAAAAAAAAAAAAAAAAAAAAAGGAATGAATTATTGATATATAGAACAACTTGGATGGAGCACAAGGAAATTATGCTGAGTCCAAAAAAAAAAAAAAAAAAAAGAAAAGCCCATCCAAAAATCATACAGGTAAATACTGTATGATCCAATTTATATAACATTTTTTAAATAACAAAATTATTTATTATACTATAATAGTGAATACAAGAATACCAGACATTAAGCATCTTTCAAAACCCATAGAGCTTCACATTTTAAGGAGTAAATCTTTTTTTTTTTTTTTTTTTTTTTTTTAAGACAGAGTCTTGCTCTGTCATCCAGGCTGGAGTGTGCAGTGGTGTGATCTTGGCTGACTGCAACCTCCGCCTCCTGGGTTCACGTGATTCTCCTGCCTCAGCCTCCCAAGTAGCTGGGATTACAGGCATGCACCACTATGCCCAGCTAATTTTTGTATTTTTAGTAGAGATGGGGTTTCACCATGTTGGCCAGGCTGGTCTTAAACTCCTCACCTCAGGTGATCCACCCACCTTGGCCTCCTGAAGTGCTGAGATTACAGGCATGAGCCACCGCGTCTGGCCAGGGGTAAATCTTAAAATGCACATTTAAAAAATAATTTAGGAGGTCAGTAAATCCCAGGATAAAATGCAGAATATGACCAAAGTATACAAATGTAATCCAAAAATAAGAAACAACCTCACTGGCTGTGTGTACTGGCTCATGCCTATGATACTAGCTACTTGGGAGGCCAAGGCAGTGGGGGATTGCTTCAGCCCAGGAGTTGGAGTCTGCAGTGAGCTATGATCATGCCACTGCACTCCAGCCTGGACAACAGAGTGAGACCCCACTCTAAAAAAAAAAAAAAGAAAAAGAAAAAAAGAAAGAAAGAAAAGAAACAATAAAAGAGTGCAGGAATAAGGTGCTGACCTAAGTAACTTTGGAAGTGAAAGGGGTCTATACAACTAAAAGCAAATGGAATTGCATAAAAGTCCCGTACTCTAGTTGATAAAGTTGTTTTCTATGGAGGTATGGATTCAGAATTAGCAATTCTGAAAACCACTATACACGTTTACTGGAATTAAGCAATCAAGTAAATGAATAATGGATGATGAGAGTGATTGTTGGAGTGGGAGGTTACAGACAAGAAGGGAAAGAAGCTGGAATAATCCGTGTGGCAATGGATTCACGTTGGAGATGTGAGTGTGAACTCATATTTAGCTTAATATAGGCACACATGGTTACATCTAGAAATATTTACAGATACGTGTGTATCTAGATGGGTTAGCATACACACCTCTAATTATTTGTCAGCCGAGAGGGTCTATAAGAAATGACAGCCTAGCAGAAATTAACACACCTAGAGCCTATTCTCCAATTAAAGGAATCAAGACTTCTTAGAGGAAAAGCCTGATTCTAAGAATGGGCATGAAACACACAATTTGAGCCTAGAGGATCTTATAGTGCCAGGAGGTAAAAACGTGCTCAAAAGAGAAAACACAAAAACCCCTTATATCAAAAGGATACAGGAATCAACTCAAAGAACTCCTAATGGCCAAAAGTGGAACGATTTGAGCAAGAAAATGAGTAAAGTAGTATGGGATTATAACCCTAAGTATAAAATAAATATTCATGACTCTGCTGATACAAATAAATGATTGAATAAAAAAGTAAATTGGGGAGATTAGACATATCTCTATACTTAACGAGGATCATTTGCAGAAAAATAAAAAATAAAAACGAATAGAAAGACATATCTCCAGGCAGAATTCCAAATAATTGATGTTGATATTCTGCCCTTAAGAAGTTAGAACATAATTCCCTACTTCTTAAATATGAGTTGCACACAGTGACTTTCTTCCCAAGAGTACAGTATGAAATAGGATTTAAAAAAAAAAAAAGAGTAACTTTACAGTGGTGAAACCTGACAAACACTATCTCAAGACAGGTGGTCAAGGTCAACATCAACAGTGATGTTGGCCAGGCACGGTGGCTCATGCCTGTAATCCCAGCACTTTGGGAGGCCGAGGCGGGCGGATCATTTGAGGTCAGCAGTTTGAAAGCCTGAGCAACATGGTGAAACCCTGTCTCTACTAAAATACAAAAAAAAAATAAATAAATAAAAATTAGCTGAGCATGGTGGTGGGCACCTGTAATCCCAACTACTCTGGATGAGGCAGGAGACTCACTTGAGCCTGGGAGGCGGAGGTTGCAGTGAGCAGAGATCGAGCCATTGCACTCCAGCCTGGGCAACGGAGCGAGACTCCGTCTCCAAACAACAACAACAATAAAACCAGTGATGTCGATGTGATGACAATGGCACTTTACCTCTCTAGTCTTCCTCCTAAAACACATTACCCCAATCTGATCATAAGGAAATCATTAAATAAGTCACAATTGAAGGACATTCTATAAAATACGTAATCTGTATTCCTCAAAACTCTCACCAGGCATGGTGGCTCACGCCTGTAATCCCAGCACTTTGGGAGGCTGAGGCGGGCGGATCACGAGGTCAGGAGTTTGAGACCAGCCTGGCCATGATAGTGAAACCCTGTCTCTACTAAAAACTACAAAAATTAGCCGGGCATGATGGCGCGAGCCTGTAATCCCAGCACTTTGGGAGGCTGAGGCGGGCGGATCACGAGGTCAGGAGTTTGAGACCAGCCTGGCCATGATAGTGAAACCCTGTCTCTACTAAAAACTACAAAAATTAGCCGGGCATGATGGCGCAAGCCTGTAATCCCAGCTACTCGGGAGGCTGAGGCAGGAGAATCGCTTGAAGCCAGAAGTCGGAGGTTGCTGTGAGCTGAGATCACGCCATTGCACCCCAGCCTGGGCGAAAGAGCGAAACTCTGTCTCAAAAACAAAACAAAACAAAAAAACTCTTAAAGTCATCAAAGACAAGGAAAGTCAGAGAAAGTGTCACAGCCAAGAGGAGCCTAAGGAGATAAAACTGCCAAACAAAATATGGTATTCTGGGTGGCATCCTGATACAGAAAAGGGACATTAGGAAAACACTGAGGAAATCTCAAATATGGACTTCAGTTAATAATAATATATCAAGATTGGTCCATTCATGGTGATGTATGTGCCCCAATAATGTTAGATGTTACTAAGAGGGAAAACTGGGTGTGGAGTATACGAGAACTGTACTATCTTAACAGTCTAAACTGTTCTAAAATTAAAATTTTATATTAAAATAAAAGGAATGAGTGAGGGTTGTGGTTTGCCTGGGCCAGGGTGGGGATGATGCCATTGCACTTTCTCCTTTTCTTCACTGCATCTCCCTGAAACCCCTGGTGCAGCAGCTGCTTGGAAGATCCTCTGCTGAGATGGTCTAAAGACCTGGGGACACGGTGGAAAATTCACTATCATCACTTCTTTCCAGAAGGAGTGATTTGTACCTCTCTTCCTAAGTTCCCAATTTGGTTTCCCATTCTAGCTCATGCAGGCTTTTATTTATTTATTTGTTTTTAATTTATTTTTCAACTGTTATTTCAGGTTCAGGGGTACATGTGCAGGTTTGTTACATGGATAAATTGCATGTCACTGGAGTTTGGGGTACAAATAATCTCATCCCCCAGATAGTGAGCATGGTACTAGACAGGTGCTTTTTCTTTTTCTTTTTTGACATGGAGTCTCACTCTGTTGCCCAGGCTGGAGTGCAGTGGAGCGATCTCGGCTCACTGCAAGCTCCGCCTCCCAGGTTCAAGCGATTCTCCTGCCTCAGCCTTTGGAGTGGCTGGGATTACAGGCATGTGCCACCATGCCTGGCTAATTTTGTATTTTTAGTAGAAACGGGTTTTCTCCATGTTGGCCAGGCTGGTCTCGAACTCCCAACCTCAGGTGATCTGCCTGCCTCAGCCTCCCAAAGTGCTGCTATTACAGGCATGGGTCACCGCGCCCGGAGACAGGTGCTTTTTCAACCCTCCCCCTCCTTTCACCCTCCACCCTCAAGTAGACCCAGTGTCTGTCATTCCCCTCTTTGTGTCCACATGCACTCAATGTTTAGCTCCGCCTTTAAGTGAGAACATGTGGTATTTGGTTTTCTATTCCTGTTGTTAGATATGAGTTCTAAATTTCTTTTCAAAACATTAATATGTCAATGTGTTCAATTCTTTGCCTTCTACTTTTAAAATTCCTCCTAAAGCAACCTTTTTCAATTACCTACTCCACCGTAACTCATCCCGATTACCTACTCCACCCTGACTCTTTCTAATCACCTACTCCACCCTAACTCATTCCAATCACCTGCTCCACGCTAACTCATTCTGATCACCTGCTCCACCCTAACTCATTCTGATCACCTGCTCCATCCTGACTCACTCTGATCATCTGCTTCACCCTAACTCATTCCAATTACCTGCTACCTGCTGTGCCCTGACTCTGGCCAAAACACTAACCCCGTCGTTCTCTTTAAATTAGCCAATCAAAATAAGTTTAGCCTGTACAGTCTAACCCTAGCCAATAAAAAAAGACACAACAACAAAAGCCATGTGCATCAAAAATAACCCCTTCCCCTCCGTTATCCAAGTTTGCACTCACCGTTGTTCCATCTATAAAGACGCACCCTTCTGTATAAAAATACCTTGCCTTGGCCAGGCGCAGTGGCTCATTCCTGTAATCCCAGCACTTTGGGAGGCCGAGATGGGCAGATCGCCTGAGGTTGGGAGTTCGAGACCAGCCTGACCAACATGGAGAAACCCTGTCTCTACTAAAAATACAAAATTAGCTGGGCGTGGTGGTTCATGCTTGTAATCCCAGCTACTCAGGAGGCTGAGGCAGGATAATTGCTTGAACCTGGGAGGCAGAGGTTGCGGTGAGCTGAGATCGCGCCATTGCACTCCAGCCTGGGCAACAAGAGTGAAACTCTGTCTCAAAAAAATAAATAAATAAGTAAATAATACCTTGCCTTACTAAAAAAAAATTTATATTCGAGTGCTGTTTCTTTTGCAGCACTGAAACTTTATATATAACACTGTGTTAATTTGCTTAGGCTATTCGCGTCTGGCTGCATCTATATTGTTGCTAAGGACGTAGTTTTTTATTTTTTATGTTGTGTGGGGTTTTATACCTCATTTTTTTTTTTTTTTTTTGGAGACAGTCTCCAAAGGCGGGAGTGCAGTGGCACGATTATACGATTGCTCACTGCAACCTTGACCTCCTGGGCTCAACTGATCCTCCCACCTCAGCCTCCCAAGTACCTGGGACTACAGGCATGTGCCACAAGGCCTAATTTTTATACTTTTGTAGAGATGGGGTCTCACCACGTTGCCCAAGCTGGTCTTGAACTCCTGGGCTCAAGCGATCCTCCCACCTTGGCCTTCCAAAGTGCTGGGATTACAGGTGTGAGCCACCATGCCAAGCCATACCTAATTCTTGACTCAACTCCCTGGGCTCAACCAATTGGCCTAACATATATTGGGCAGTTGCATTACCTGTCTCCCTCCTTATTACTGCAGTAATCAGCTATGCACACTTATTTGAAATTAGCATGATTAATAGCCCTCCACTTGACTCCATTCATACAATCACAGATAGCTGTGGTAAAAATCAGCAGCAGAAAAATACCAAGGAGAGGCTCTCTCAACATTAAGAGATATTCCTATTAGTGAAGTAAACTAAATATATTTTTCTTGTAGCCAAAGTACGTTATACCAAAAACTGAATTTGATGTAGACTTTTCTTTTTTTTGAGACAGAGTCTCACTCTTCTGCCCAGGCTGGAGTGCAGTGGCATGATCTCGGCTCACTGCAACCTCTGCCTCCCAGGTTCAAGTGATTCTTGTGCCTCATCCTCCCTAGTAGCTGGGATTACAGGCATGTTTCACCACCCCTGGCTAATTTGTTTATTTTTAGTAGAGATGGGGTCTCGCTTTGTCGCCCAGACTGGTCTCAAATTCCTGAGCTCTAACGATCCACCCGCCTCAGCCTCACAAAGTGCTGGGATTACAGGCGTGCATCACCACACCCAGCCAAGACATAACAATTTATATTAAAATTTTGAAATAACAAAATTACAGAGATGGAGAACAGATTCATGGTTGCCAGGGATTAGGGATGTAGAACAGGAAGGGTGTGAGTACAAACAGGTACCATAAAGGATCCTTTGATAATGGGACTGTTATGTATCTTGACTGTCGTTGTTACAGTCATCTACACGTGATAAAACTGTATAGAGCTACATACACACATAAGCAGATACAAATGGCAAAATCTGAATAAGCTTTGTGGACTGTACCAATGTCATTCATTTTCCTAGTTGTGATATGGTACCACAGTTATGCAAAATGTTACCACTGGGATAGTCTAAATACAAGGTAAGTGGAATCTTTCATATATTTTTAAAGGCATTAGTTGTTATTTTTATTCATTCTTTTAAAATTGACATATAATTCAAATACCATAATATTCGCCCTTTTAAGTGTACAATTCGGTGGGGTTTTTTTTTTTAGCATATTCACAGTTGTGCATCCAGCATAACTATCTAATTCCAGAACAATGTCATCATCCCCAAAAGAAACCCCATACCCATTAGTAGGCACTTACCATTCTCCTGTCCTCCCATTCTCTAAAAACTATTAATCCACTTCTTGTCTCTGTGGATTTACTTATTCTTGATATTTCATAAAAGTGGAATCATACAATATATGTTCTTTTGTTTCTGGTGAACATTTTCAGGATTCATCCACATTGTAGCATGTGTCAGTACTTCATTCCTTTCTGTGGTTAAGTAATATTCTATTACACAGATAGGCCATATTTGGTTTATTGATTGATTTGGTTTACTGATTGGCATCTAGGTTGTTTCCACTTTTTGACTATTATGAATAATGTTGCTATGAACACTTATGTACACATTTTTGTGAACATATGTTTTCAATTCTCTTGAGTATATATAAGAGGAATTTTTGGGTCATATTTTAACTCAATATTTAATTTTTTGAAGGACTGACACAGTTTTTCAAGATGTACCATTTTACATTCCCATCATCAATGCACAACAGTTCCAATTTCCTCACATCCTCAATAACACTTGTTATTATCTGTGTTTTAGATTATAGGCATCCAAGCTGGTATTCAGTGGTATCTCATTGTGGGTTTGATTTTCTATTTTTCTTGGCTCTGTTTCACTAGCTTTTGTCATTCTAGGAAGTTGTCTGTTTTATCTAGGTTATCCAATTTGTTGATATATACTTAATCCTTTATGATCCCCTCTATTACTGTAAAATTGGTAGTACTGCCCACTTTTTCATTTCTGATTTTAGTAATTTGAATCTTCTTTTTTCTTCATCAATCTAACTAAACATTTGTCAATATTGTTGATCTTTTTAAGGAACCAACTTTTGGTTTTACTGATTTTCTTTATTTTTTTATTCTCTTTTTTTTTCTTTCTTCTTCTTCTTTTTTATTTTTATTTTTGGAAGAGACAAGGTTTTGCTGTGTCTCCCAGGCTGCTCTTGAACTCCTGGGCTCAAGTGATACTCCCACCTCAGCCTCCCAAAGTGCAGAGATTACAGGAATGAGCCACTGTGCCCAGACGGTTTCTCTATCCTTTCTTTCATTTATTCCTTTCTAATATTTTTTCTTCTTCCTGCCACTTGCTTTGAATGTAGTTTGCTCTTCTTCTTCTAGTTTCTTTTTTTTTTTTTTGAGATAGAGTCTTGCTCTGTCACCCAGGCTGGAGTGCAGTGGCACGATCTCGGCTCACTGCAACCTCCGCCTCCCGGGTTCAAGCAATTCTCTGCCTCAGCCTCCCGAGTAGGTGGGATTACAAGCACCCACCACCACACATAGCTAATTTTTGTATTTTTAGTAGAGAAGGGGTTTCGCCATCTTGGCCAGGCTGGTCTTGAACTCCTGACCTCGCGATCCACCCGCCTCGGCCTCCCATAGTGCTGGGATTACAGGCGTGAGCCACTGCGCCCAGCTCTTCTACTTTAGGTGAAAAATTAGGCTACTGATTTAATTTTTTTCCTTCTTTTTAAATATAGGCACTTATAACTTCTGTATATTTATTCCAATTTCATGTGAATCTATAATTATTTCAAAGTAAAACCTTATGAAGAAAGTATGTATTAGGGGAGCCATGTATGGTGATGACTCAACTGTTATACTTACCCTCAAGTAGCTTAATTTAGTGGAGAAAGATATAAACAGAGTGATGCAGAAGATGGGACGAAGAGATGGCTGGCTGCTGCAAAGATGAGAGAAAACACTAAGCGATATCCAGGAAAGCCACGAAGGCACAATCAAGGGCTTATTTGAATTGAAGAGTGATGCTTTTTATCTCCTTTTTTTCTTTCTTCCTGATATCTCCTTCTAGATGAAAAGTGATGCTTTTATCATGAGAGTTCCATACTCAGAGGCCCAGCCTCTAGGGAGGCTGTCACTTATTTCTCCTCAGATCTTTAGAGACCACAGCTGAAGCCGTTTGAGACAGGGATGGACCTACATTCTGATTAAGGCCAATGTTCCTAGCTGAGGGCTTTTCTCTGTAGCTCAAAATATTCAAAGTCACCCCATCTCGTACCAAGTCACTTACGTGTTCTAAATGTACAGACTGACTTCCTTCACAAAAGAGAGCAAGAATGGTATTTAAACAGCAAGGGAAAACTGTAGAAAATTTGTTTGGGACTGGGAGCAGTGGCTCACACCTGTAATCCCAGCACTTTGGGAGGCGGGTGGATCACTTGAGGCCAAGGGTTTGAGACCAGCCTGGCCAGCATAGCGAAACCCCATCTGTACTAAACATACAACAAATTAGCTGCGTGTGGTGGTGCACGCCTGTGGTCCCAGTTACTCAGGAGGCTGAGGCATGAGAATCACTTGAACCCAGGAGGTGGAGGTTATAGTGAGCTGAGATCGCGCCACTGCACTCCAGCCTGGCGACAGAGCGAGACATTGTCTCAAAAAAAAAAAAAAGAAAAAGAAAAAGAAAAGAAAAAGAAAATTTGTTTGGGTTGTTAATGCTGAAAACATTTATTTTAACTTTTAATTTTGAAATAATTCTAGACTCACCGAAAAAAAGTTGCAAAAATAGTACAAAGAACTCCTTTGTACCCTTTATTCAACTTTTCCAATTCTCCCAAACAGTAACAACTTGAATTGGGTTGCTAACACTTTTTTGACGCTTATTTTTAATTTGCTTTTTTTTTTCACTAGGTTTTTGCTTTTAGTTTATAAAGCAAAACAATATAAAGATATATACAAGTGATAAATCTTGTTCTTGCCCCTACCCTTTATACCCCATCACTCTCACCCCTCACAAACACAGGTGACCATCTGTCTTTTTCTTTATGCAAACATAAACAAAAAAATATGTTTTTCACTACCCCTGTCTGTGTACACATACAAAAGCTAGCATCTATGGATACTGTTCTGGATCTTGCATTTATTGTTTAACAATATAGCTTAGAAATATTTCCCAAATTGCTAGGTGTGGTGGCTCATGCCTGTAATCTCAGCAGTTTGGGAGGCCGAGGCAGGTGGATCACCAGAGGTCAGGAGTTTGAGATCAGCCTGGCCGACATGGTGAAATCCTGTCTCTACTAAAAATATAAAAATTAGATGTGGTGGCAGGTGCCTGTAATCCCAACTACTAGGGAGGCTAAGGCAGGAGAATTGCTTGAACCTGGGAGGCGGAGGTTGCAGTGAGCCAAGATCGTGCCATTGCACTCCAGCCTGGGTGACAATAGCAAAACAACATTTCAAAAAAAAAAAAAATCCCAAATGAGAATGTAGCAATGCTTTTTAATTTTTTTTATTTTTAAAGAACTTTAGGGCCGGGTGCGGTGGCTTACGCCTGTAATCCCAGCACTTTGGGAGGCCGAGGCGGGCAGATCACCTGAGGTCAGGAGTTCGAGACCAGCCTGGCCAACATGGTGAAACCCCATCTCTACAAAAATACAAAAATTAGCCGGGCATGATGGCGATGCCTGTAATCCTAGCTGCTCGGGAGGCTGAGGCAGAAGAATCGCTTGAACCCGGCAAGCGGAGGTTGCAGTGAGCCAAGATCGTGCCATTGCACTCCAGCCTGGGTGACAAGAGCGACAAGAGCAAAACTCTGTCTCAAAAAAAAAAAAAAAAAAAAGAACTTTAGTATTTACTCCATCTACCCCCTAGCAACATCTCAGACATTGCTTATGGCTCCCTCTTTTCTGTCTAACCTGGATTGTTCAGATCTCAAATTCTCCAAGCATATTTCATTTTCTGCACTTTGTAGGCTCAGGGCTTACACAGACCTCAGGCAGTATGACTGGAGCAAAGCCATCAATCCCTTGTGCCATCAGGACTACAGGGACACATTCAGAAACAACACCAACAGGGTGATGATTGCTTAGCCTGAGCGACACCCCAAAGAGATCACTCTGGGCCAAAGAGACGAGATGGTCTGGAACAAGGCCTTGTTGCCAAGCAACCCCAGAGGGGATGAAATTAACGCAGTCTGTTTTTCATGTAACTGCATCTCAAATGAAAGCTGAGGCCAGAGTTGATCCTATGCAAAATTAATAATTACCATATGATTCTTTCTTTTAAATGGCTGTTGCCAAAAGACCGAGGACTAAAGAAACCAGTATATCCTTTATTTAAAAGGGATAAGGGAAAAGGAAAAAAAAAAGAACAAATATATTCAGATCCTGTGTTTTTCCATTTGCGTCTTAGGTAGGAAATCAGACATTGCTATCTTAGACTGCTGTTGAATCTGCCTGGTGGGAAACCTGCTTTGAAAGCAGATCCCAAGCAGACAAGATAATATGTACCAAAGGGCTGAGAAAAGATATTTTTTAGGGAAAGGAAAAAGCTTAGGATCATTTGAGACCCTTTAAATGTCCTTTCTAGAAGATCTAAAATGTACTTTTCCCCATTAGTACATTTAGAGAGGGCAAATTGTTGTAAAAATAAAAATAACCCTACTGCTTCCACTCCACTCTCCCTAACCTCATACTTAAAGGCTGAAAAGGCACAGGTTGAGATACCAAGTAACCCTTGCTTCTTGAGAGCTTATTAATATTTCTAAAAATGCAAAAGTGAGATAGAAAAGAAGATTCTACTCCCACCCGCTTTTGCTGCGTTGATTTGGGTAAATTAACTGTGTGGTCAGAGCAGAGCGATGGCCTTTCTCACCAAGAGAAAATTTTTGATTATTATTTTGTGGTTGTGCAATAAAACATAATTCAAAACAAAGCATTTTTTAGCCAAAGAAACTATTTTTTTCTGAAAAGGAAAACTTTCTTGCCTAATGGAAGGTTGGATCCAGACTTTGTTCTGGGGAAAGTGGCCACCAAGTTCAGTGACTTCCTCTTAACATTTATGCAATGAAATTATTGGCATTGAGGGATGACTCCCTTCCCTCCCTCCTGCCACCTCACCACCCTCACCTCATACTGGGCCATCAGACTGGCAAATATCCTCCCAGCCAGCTTTCCCCTGTGAAGCTGTATTTGCTGATAGGGTTGAGCAGAGCATACCAGTACATAGAGAAAACCAGAGAGCAAAAGGAGCATGCTTGATTTGGGGGACCTCTTATCATTCAAAGTCTCAGCAAGAAACAGATGGTACAGTCAAATTGGGTGGGGAAAGGGTGTTATGATGGGCTGGTAACATGGGTTGGGAGTCATTACCATGTCTAGGCCTGAAAAAATGAGAGAATTGGGAGGCAGAGGGGTTGTATGGAGAGGGCTGCCTCACAACAATGTCAGGCTCAGGGGGAACGAATATCCCAGTGTCACTTGCCTTCTTCCCTCTGATGTCTGGCTAGGACTCCTCATTTGGCTGAACCCCACCAGAAGTCAGAGGACAGGGAAGCCCTTTAAGGTAGTACCCCCAGAGCAGCCTCCCAGGGCAGGGAACAGCAGGGAGATGGTGACACACAGAAGATGGCCAACACTGAACCTTAAATAATCTTTTTGGTTCCCAGTCTATTCAATCACTCAGCCAGCACTTATTGATCACCAAGCTATTTGATCAACCAGTACTATTGATCACCAAGCTATTGATCAGCCAATACTTATGGATCACCAACCTATTGATCAGCCAGCACTTACTGATCACCAAGCTATTTGATCAGCCAGCACTTATTGATCACCAAGCTATTGATCAGCCAGGACTTATTGATCACCAAGCTATTGATCACCCAGCACTTACTGATCACCAGACAGGCACTGAACTAGGAGATACAGTGGTAAAAATGCAGCCCTCATGGCTCACAATTCTTGTGGCTGCGTCAGGCCCCAGCAAGCTTCAAACCATATCCAGACTGAAGGTGTAAGATCACAGCTCTCCAGCTTGTACTGTAGTTATCGCATGACTTCTCTTATCTTCTTTCTGCCTGTCAGGAAGGACTATGGTCTCTGGTTACACTTATTAGTGGTGATAATGGTGACATGTACTTGTTGGCGTACGTTAAGGTGTGAATATTGAAAGGGTGCATATACAGAAGAACCCAGAAAAAGAAAAACACTGGGTCTCAGGAAAGGCAGGAATGGTGGTAAAGCCAGGTCACAGGAGTTTCTCTCCAGCACTTGGCCCTTCATGTGACCCAGCTGCTACCCATGCATCTGACCCTCTGCCTCCTCCACATACACCCAGCTTCCGGCTGCAATTTCCATAAATGTGGCCCAGCTCATCTATCCATGCCAGCCTCATTTGAGCTCACTACCTAGTCTATGTGGGGTGGTCCTTGAGCTGGCCCCCTTGGTCCTGGCCCAATCAGTGGCCATTCCTGGGCGTAGAATAGTTTGGTGCTATCTCTGAGCAGGGGGCTATAGATGGGGTAGTTTCCCCCCTCTGTAGGAGATACTGGGCATGGCAGAGCCCAAAGCTGACATGCTCAGAGCCCCCTACTAGGAGATGATAAGCTCCTGGAGGCCAGGGACCTAGGACTTACACTGGTTTTCCAGTAGCATATGGCATCATTTCATGGAATTCAGCCACTCAGTTGACATTAAATTAGACTGGGCAAAATAACCCCAAAGCTAAAAATTGGATACCTCAATCACATCTGTCATAGGAATCTTTTAAAGCACCAAGACACTTGACATTTGTTGAGAAGGACATTGTTGATCCATAGGCAGAGAAGCCAACCTGTGTTTGGGATGACAAGGAGACAGGCTGGCAAGGTGCACATCCTGCTGGGGACAATGGCTCCTTTCTCCTGAAATGCCTCCCAGCTCTGTGTGGCCAAGCCAAGGTGAGGCAAAGCTGAATTTCTTGCCCTAAGAAACAGCAGCAGGAGAGTAAGGGAGGTGCTGCCTTTGTACTATGGTGACCTGCTTATTCTGTTTCAGTGACACAAGCTCATTGACATTGCATGGAGAGAATGATGTCATCGATTCTTCCCAGAGCCAAGCTGGCCTTTCTGGTGGTGCACATGGTACTCCAGTACTGTGTACCACAGAGATGTTTTCCTCCTGGCTGGATGTGGGGAATTGAATTCCTTTGGCTGAAAATGAGCTATGAACCATAGTAAAAGCTGCTAGTAGGAAGGCCTTTGGACTTTTCTGGCTTAGAATTTCTGAGGAGTTCCATGGCAGTTTTCCAAATCAAATTCTTAAGTCCAGAGACTTAGCTGGAGAGCATCTTGAAGGTTCTCCATGAACGGTAGGCGCTGACCCCTGGGGGAGGGGAAGGTTTTAATTAACTTTGTCGGAGAAAGTTGCCAAGCACTCTTCAGCTGTTTTGGAATGTTGTATTCCAAGTTGTAGAGGTTATGACTTTCTCTTTCTGGAACCCAAAAGCGACTTGTGGAAGCAAAATGAGAACAGCTTTTGGCCTCCGACACCACAATGCATCAGCCAGACCTGGATGTTGCCACTAAACTGAGGAAAAACTGTCTCTGGTGTCTCCTTATGGCCAGAATGGCATGTTCGACTTTAGACTTGAAGACTTGGCAGTTTCGGAGCACCTTGTTGACCCTCTGCTAGGGTCTGGGTCTTCTCCCAGCGCCTGGGAATTTGAGAGACAGCCAGCTAATGGAATGGCCAACTGTGCAGTGCTGGGTACCAGGAGAGGGGAAATGGTGGCTCTTTGGTACTGTGAGGCCTGACATCTTGGAACAGACGGCACCTGTTGGGACTAATGTATCTAAGAATGTCAAGGAAAAGCATGTGAGAACTTTTCTCAATTGAAAGGATGTGCTGAATCTTTTCAAGAATGGGCATCCCATTCTCCCATTCAGGAAAGACTGAGCCCCTTTTGTCCAGCAGGCACCATGGTGGGTGTTAGAAGCTAGAGCAGTGAATCAGTCACACATTTTAAGGACAAGGACCACGTTCCATTCTTCTCTGTCTTGCTCGTAACAGGTACTCAGACAACACTGCACTGAAATGGTTCTTTTTTTTTTTTTTTTTTTTTTTTTTGAGATGGAGTCTCACTCTGTCACCCAGGCTGGAGTACAGTGGCACGATCTTGGCTCACTGCAACCCCCGCCTCCCAGGTTCAAGCGATTCTCCTGCCTCAGCCTCCCAAGTAGCTGGGACTACAGGCATCTGCCACCATGCCTGGTTAATTTTTGTATTTTTAGTAGAGACAGGGTTTCGCCATATTGGCCGGGCTGGTCTTGAACTCCTGACCTTGTGATCCACCTGCCTTGGCCTCCCAAAGTGCTGGGATTACAGGCGTGAGCCACCGTGCCCAGCTACAAATGGTTCTTTCAAAGTCCCCTGGCTTCACCCCATCCTTCAGTGTCCATTTTTCATCTCCTTCCCCACTTTGGTCTCCTATCTCACCAGATTAAGGAAAATGCAATGTCTTCCCTATGCAATTGCTGCTTTGCACGGAAAATCACCTTTAAGCCAAACCAATAATCTACAAACCAAAAGAAAACAAGAGGGGAAGGGACGAATAACTGATTTCCCTGCGAGCCCTACCTAGTTTTCATCTGGCACATTCTGCTTCTAAGTGGTTGCTGGTCACACTGGCAGATAGCCTGTTTCTCCTTAACTCTTCCTCCTCAACCACCTACTCTCTCATTAAAGAAAAAATTAAGAAAGTTTCCTGATTATAAAAATGATAAATACATTTGGAAAAGAGAACACATTGTCCCACCCCCGCTACATTTTTGGTTTTCTTTTGTTTTGTTTTTTAGAGACATGGTCTCACTCTGTTGCCCAGGGTGGAGTGCAGTGGCATGATCATGGCTCACTGCAGACTCAACTCCTGGGCTCCCTACGACGATTAAAAAATGACTTTCAGGCCAGGGATGGTGCTTGTGCCTGAAAAATCAAAATTTTCAGTGCTTTTGGAGGCTAAGGCAGGAAAATTGCTTGAGCCCAGGAGTTTGAGACCAGCCTAGGCAACTTAGCAAGACTCTGTCTTTACAAAAAAATTAAAGAATTAAGTGGGCATCTTGGCATGTGCCTGTAGTCCTAGCTACTTAGGAGGCTGAGGCGGGAGGATGATTTGAGCGCAGGAGTTTGAGACTGCAGTGAGCCACGATCATGCCACTGTACTCCAGCCTGGGTGACAAAACAAGAGTCTGTCTCTAAAAAAAAAAAAAAAAAAAAATGTAGGGTGGCTTTCTGAAGCCATGCTTGGCCCTTCCCTCTCAGGGGTTTCCAGAGGAGGCAGATGAGCAACGTTGATCTCTGACCCTCAACTCCATTGTTCACCTGCTGCCATGCAAAGTGCCTCAACCGCAGGGTTTGTAACTTCGTGCAGATTATCACAGCTGCCCAGATGTTCATTTTAACTGAATTTCACTCATATAAAAGTGAAGGAAATGGGCAGGAAATGAGGAGAGGGGCCCAGTAGTGAGATTGTATTTTTATAATGGAAATAGCACCAGCCTGGGGGCCGAGCTGTCAATTTGAGTTCAACCTTTACCAATGACTAGCTGTTCCTTACACAAGTCCCCAGCCTCTATAAGTGTTTACTTTATCATTTGTGAAATAATACAATTGATTTTATTATCTCTAAGGTTCTTTAAGTTGCTCTGTCATAGAGTTTAAGAATAAAATGTGAGAGCTAGGCTGGGCTTGGTGGCTCATGCCTGTAATCCTGGCACTTTGGGAGGCTAAGAAAGAAAGAAGAAGAAGAAGAAGAAGAAGAAGAAGGAGAAAAATAATAAAATGTTTATTTGACTAATCTACTTTCTCCCCCACCATGTTTTTCCTCTTTTCACCTCAAAGACCTATCAGTTTTCACTGTTTCTTGTTACCCAGCTTTGCCGCTGTTCTTTTTGGTAAGGAGTGAAATATTTTTTCCAACTGTTCATGCAGCAGGCAAACTTGTCTTACTTCTCAGTCATTTTTTGCTTTTCTCCGTGCCCTCTCTGTTGTCTTCCTAGCCTTTTATCCCAAACTAGGCCTCACACAAGCAGGTTTGCCTCTCTGATCTGTGGCTTTAATTAACATAACGAATGAGCAAACAAGTCTTTATTGGGCATTTACAATGAACAGTGCACAGCTTGGTGCTGTTGAAGATAAAATAGGTTTAAGACATGTTCTCAGCCTTCAAGGAGACAAGACCTCTGGGGCTTCAAATCCCTTAGCTGCCTTATGTTCTACCACTAACATCTGGGTGCCAACAGTGCTACCCATCCCCCCACACCCACCCAACGCTACTGTGCTCTGAAACCAGCTCTTCGGTGGGATGCTGTGTCTCCACACTCTGGTTTTTTTCCTTCTCTCACTTCTTCCTGGCTTCCTTTTGCTGGATTCTCCCTCTGGGTCCATCCATTAATTGGATCTTCAGAGGCTCTATCCTAGGCCCTCTGCTTCTCTCAGTCTCTTTTCATTCCCTGGATGAGTTCAACCATACTCATGACTTCAGTTACCATCTATATGCAGATAATTCCCTTGTGTGTGTGTGTGTGTGTGTGTGTATTCCTGGTTGCTATGGTTTATCTCCACCAAAACTCAGGTTGAGGCTTAGTCCCCAGTGTAATGATATTGAGACATGGTGAGACCTTTAAGAGGCATTTGGGTCATGAGGGATCTGCCCTCACGAAGGGATTAATGCAGTTTCTTGAGCGTGTGAGAGCAGGTTGTTATAAAGTGAGGCTGCCTCTCATGTTTGCTCTTCTCGCATGTGCCCGCCTCCCCTTTTGCTTCTCTGCAATGTTATAACACAGCATGAGGCCCTTACCGGCAGCTGGCCAGATGGGCCACCCAGTCTTTCATCTCCTGGCCTCCAGAATTGTGAGCTAAATCAACTTCTTTCCTTAATAAATTATTCAGCTTCAGGTATTTTGTTATAGCAACAGAATATGGATGAAGACACTGGTCTTTCTTTGGGTTCCAGACCTGTATATCCAGTTGCCTCATGGGCAGCTCCACTTCGACATCACATAGACACCTCATACTCCCCATGGTCACCACCGAGTGTATCACCTTTCCCACCACCCTGCTCCTTTTCCCTTCCCAGTGTTCTCAAACTCAGTAGATGGCACTGCTATTGTCTATCCAGCTGTTCAATCCAGCAACCTAGGACTCCTCATTTCCACAATCTTCCTGTCCCTGCCCCCAAATCCAATCAAATTGCCTTATAAATATCTTGAGATAAGCCAGGCATGGTGGCTCATACCTATAATCCCAGCACTTTGGGAGGCCAAGGTGAGAGGATCAGGCCAGGAGTTTGAGACCAGCTTGGACCAAGCTTGGCGGTTTGGATTAATATACATATATACATGTATGGACTAGTATACATATGTATATATGTGCGCACATATATATGTGTGTATATATGTGCGCACATATATACATATGTATGCTAGTTCAAACCTCCAAACTTCCAAACATTATCTCAGCCAGAATATATAAAGAATGCCTACAAATGAATAAGAAAAAGACAACCCAATTTAAAATGGACAAAAGACTTAAACAGGCACTTTACAAAAGAGGGCATCCAAACAACCAGTATGCATAGGAAAGGGCATTTACTGTCATGATCAAGTTAAATGCAAGTTAAAACTGCAACGGGGTACCAGTACATCTCCACTGAAACAGCTAACCTTTTAAAAAACCTGATGATACCAAGTTTTGGTGAGGTGTTGGAGCAGCTGGAATCTTCATACTGACGGAAGTGTAAACTGGCACAACACTGTTGGAAACATGTTTGCCTGGAATTAGTAAAAGTAAACATATGCATCCCTTGTAACCCAGCAGTTCAATGCCTGGGTACAAAGCCAACAATAATGGGTGCTTCTGTCCACCGAAAGATGTGACCTGGGTTCATGATTTTGTTGCTTTTCCAACATGGATGTGAAGGAGCTGGATGTGAAGGGGCTCCCTCACATCCTCATCACCCCTCACTGTGCCCAGAAGTGGCAGCACGCACTGCTTCCCTGCCAACATGAGCCCTTCAGCTAAACCTTGGTCACCAGTCCAGATGACCCAGTATTCTGTCCTGCATACTGACCTCAACTGGGATTAACTCCATCCATCAGATTCTAGTGCAGGCCCACAATCCTTATTCAGGAGTTAGAATTTTCCAGATTTTGGGAAGTAATGGTATATACATATCATAGTCTATCTAACACCCCATGTTTCACTGCAGATATATGAATGTGTTCGGAGCAGCTCCATGATCAAACACCTTAACATATTTGTAGTGAAACATAGGATAAATAAAAACTATGCCCTCCCATAAGGTCCAGTCAGATTTTGCTGCCATGTTAGTTTTAGTGCCACCTTCTGAAAAAACTCATTTTCCAGCCCTTTATGGATTTCAGAATTGCAGACAAGATTGTGGGCCTGTGGGAGGAGGGGTGGCCTTTGTCAGCGCAGGGAGGGAAAAAAAGAAATCAAAACTGTTCATTTCCATTTCCCCAAGACAACCAACAGCCCCTGGCCTTATATCTACATAACCAAAGGACCCTCCAGTGGTTTTTTTCCAAGGGGAGTCGGTGTATCTACTGCTAGAATGAGGAGTGACGAGAAACTTGTAAATAGTTTTTCTTGTTAAAAAAAAAAATTTCTACCACATCTGGCTCCACACTACAGTAGGTGCAGCCCGAAGTATAAGATTCAAGTTCCTTGCTCTTACTCACTTAGCTGAAATGCTTGAGGTTTCTATAACACATATTCCCTGTGCTTCCTTAATAGACACAAAAACACCCATGTGTATGGCTTTAATTTTGAGGCATTTAACTAGATATATAACAATGCACAAAGTAATTTCCCCAGCTCCTTTCCATGACAACTATTTACATACCCTAGCATAACACTTCCTATGAGTTGGCCCTACAGCCAGAGTAGGAATACAGCCAGGGATGGGGTGGAGGAGGCAGGGCAGCATGGAGAGGCTGGATAAAATGATATTTCAGTATTTTTAGTGAGACAGAAAAAAATTCATGCAAACAGCTCTATTCCCTCCCCCTCTTTTTGTTTTGTAAAATCTTTCTTTCTCCAAAGCTCAGTTTTGAATTAGACCCTTGTTGACCATGTCTGCTTAAGTCTTAGATAAAGACTTATTTATTTGACCTGCATATCCATAGTTGCTAGAACTGCTCATTTCAATTTTCCTATTGTGTACACTGTGTTGGGAAGCTTGGCAGGAAGCACACTATGGAAATGTGGAACCGAACAGTTGAATGTGTGTGATTTGGGAAGTTCAGCAGATGCCAGGGCTTAGCAGGCTCCCGGCTTGTTCAAGACTAATCCTGTGGATTTTCATTCTTGTGGGCCTCATGCCCCTTAAGTCTGAGGGCTGGGTCCCGCTGGGTCCCACCCAGACTCAGTCCACACAGCTATCTCTCAGCTGTCCTACTAGTAACGACCAAGGTAGTGCTGTGCTGACTCTTGGATGCTCTCCTCTTCCCTCTCCCCAAGGAAGTGGAGGGTTCCAGAAATGGCCCTGGTCAAGGCTGCCGTGTTTTCTCTGGACATGAGTGTAGACTCCAGGTTGGATTCTAGGAGACCTGAGGGACTGACAATGCAAACTCATCTTCCCTATAGCAGATGACATGTGTCACCCAGATCCCCCCTCCAAGACTGAAGCACTCATGCCCCCATCTACTGGGAGTGCTGACGGCGGCAACTGTCCGCTGAGTTCCTCTCTGACACTTGTCCTCTGCTGCAGAGAGAGTCACCTTGCCTAAGATGAAGCTCACATTGACCACGGGCAGCCCACATCTAATGACTGGCGGACGCAGGAGTAAAAAGGGTTCGTCCTTTCACCCCAATTTGTAATAACTCTGGGCCATCCCACCACCAGAGCTCCCTGAAAGATCAGCTGAGGTCTTTACCATGATTGCACTGCAGTTCAACTTCTCTCTTTGTCCATTCCTACCCACCTCACTTCCCCTCAGGCGTTGATGCTGTACCTACCCTTCAATAAACTTCCTGCTTGCCAACCTCTGTTTCCGAGCTTGGAAACCTTACCTACAGCACCCCCTTTATCGGGCAGGTAGAGCCCTGTGTCTGGGGGACCATGCCTTCTTCATGCAATTCATGCTGCCCTCCCCCTCCACCCTATCCTGCCATCCTTTGAAAACTCAAATTGGTCTAAACGATTCAGGATGGCGCTATACACTCTCGCCAGTGATTGGCTTAGGAAGGGTCATGTGACTGTGTTCTAGCCAATGAGACGAGAAGGGAACTTGGGTAGAGAACTGTAGGAAAGGTTTTCTGGGTCATAACAAGAGACAAGGGAAGAAAGAGTCCCTTTTCTGTCGGATGTTGGCTCTGACTGAGATGCCTGAAATAGCTGTAGAAAGCAATAGATGTGAGAAGAAGATGGAGCCAAGAGAACAGCAGAGAAGTCAGACTGAAGCAGAGCCACGACGTGCTGGGTTGGAGCCTACTCTGCCTGTGATTTTCTTGTCATGTGTGATACATCCCCTTTGACAGCACAGAAGGGATTTGTCACACAAGTACTTAATGATGAAGTTGCATCAAATTTGCAATTTTAGTTCTAGTTCCAACTGCCCATTTCATTTTCCCACCCTTTGGGGGCCTTTGTGTTTTGAAATCCTTGGTTGTCAGGATTCTTTTCTTCTTGGAAGTTTTCTAGTGATCCAAACTCTCTTTTTTTCCTGATTTTTGATGGCCATAAACATGTCTGATTGATCAACTAAACTGCTTCCTTTTTCCATGGCCTTATGGGTGTAAAATTTATACGGCCAATGTTATGCAATGTGTATGCAGTGCTGGGGATGGAGGGCTGCTGACTCTGAAAAACCCTTTCCTGGGATGACCTTAGATGAGAAAAGAAGGAAATGGTGATGAAAAGCTTTCAAAATGTAAGGGAATGTGGCTTGGACCTAAATGGTTAGCACAGACTAGGATATTCTTAGAAAATGCCTCCCGCCTCTCTGTAGTTGATTTTGAAATGTCAGTTCATAACTGCCATACAGTTTGGCACAGGGAAAATTGCCTAACACAGCAGTGGGATTGATGGGTGGAGAAGCCCTTTCTTTTTTCCCACTTGCCCATACTCTTCTCTGCCTAAAGACTGCTGCTTCCTTTTTTTTTTTTTTAAAGTGGATGTACAATTTACAAACAATAAAATGCACATATTTCAAGCAGTTAACTAATAAAAAAATTATTTTTTTCCAGAAAAGAAAAGCACAAATATGAAGTTTACCGTGTAAAGAGTTGTGACAATGGTATGCTCCCATGTAACCAACATTCCAATTAAGTGGTAGAATCTTTCTCTTATCCCAGAAAATTCCCTCATGCTTTTTTTTCCAGTTAATTCTCTCTTTATCCCAGAAGCAACTCGAGTTCTGATTTCTGCCACCATAGATAAGTTCTTGCCTGTTCTTAAACTTCACTTGTACTTGCGTATGACTTCTTTCTCTCAGCGTAATGTTGGAAGATTCATCTGTGCTGTCGCATGGATCCTGCTTCCCTTTCAGACTATTTATGGGATCTGTTGCTCTCTGATTTCCCTGACTGCCGACTGTCGTGTTTGAGGAGGAGGCCCTGCCCTTCCTGGCAATGGTTTTGCTGTAAGACGATTTTGCCAAGTGAGTTTCGTAAGTCACTGGATCCTAAAGATCAAGCAGGTGGCTCCTTCCAGGGACAGCCAATTGATTTTTCCATTCTACATGATTATATTGATGATGATGGCGTCAGAACCCTTTGGAATGAGGACAGAATGGCAGTTCCTCCAGTGGAGGGCCCAGGACAAATGTTGAGAATGCGAAGCATTCTATGCCAAGATACCACTCATACTTTATCCTGATGGGGACTTGGTTCCATGGCCAAGACTGAGGAGGGAAACAAACATTTATTAAGCCCCAAATGTTTGCAGGTACTTGGCCATAAATGACCTAATTTCCTCTTCCTGAGAACTCTTTAGATGTTACTGTTCCCATGTGGACCACACTTGGCTTCTTCCCAAGGTGGGAGTTGAACCTGGAATTGGGGATTTCCATACCATGGTTTTTCACTAGCAGCAGCCAAGACCTAGGCCACTGTATCCATCTGAGTTGTTGCATGCATATCTCCATGTGGTGGTTAAACCTCACAATCATGTCCACAACTGGATTGCCACAAAGCAAGACTTGGAGCGAGATACACTCCCTTTCTTCCTTTCTCAATAAGAGCCACCTAGAGTTGGGAGATTGGTCTTCATTTTCTAAAAATATTCTCTTTCTCCATAGCCAGGCAGCTTTGATCTTTGGTAAAGGTGGGCAGATCTTTGTTATGCCCCCTGGAAATCACTGTTTTGTAACAGTTATGTTTACAACTGAGATGGTTTCTAAACCCTGAGAAGCATAACAAAGGGCGATGCCAGCAAAAAGGCATTAAGTTCTCTAATAGGCTTATGTCCTGATAATCATATTAATGGCACTGTCTCATGCTTGATGCTGCCATTATGGGCCTCTCGTCTTGAATATAATTTTTCAGTTTGATGATAATTAAGACTATGATTTTGCATTTCTCCTTACTGAGAATTCTATTCCCAAAACAATATGATGACCGTAATAGAGACAGCTGTTCATGCCCCTCCAAATTGTTGACCATAGGTACCACCACAATGTCCTATACACGCTGGACTTTACTAACCTGGGAATTTTAAGTTCTTTCAGCATCAGGACTCTGGAATATGGAGCAAGTCCCCTGGGAATCATTACATTTGTTTCTATATCTGCATCTGATAATGAGGCTGTTTTTCAACTGTTACAAAGTCCAAAGTCATAGTAACCTTCGGAGCAAAGGACCTGCTTTAAGAGCCAGGTGATTTTTAACCTGTGATTTAATTGTCCAACGTTCAAGATATTATCTCTGGTATTAGGTATTTGGCTTCCAGAAAGCTACTTTTGGGGCCTCATTTGCCAGTTCCAAGGGATTGGAGTAGAATTCTAAGAATTCCAGTGCCAAGCTTCCACACTTTCCATCAATAATTAATATTTTAGCCATTGAGAGAGGTGGTTGTTGTTTTCATAATTCCACTTGGGACTGATTAACAGACTAGGAAACATTGCCATCCTTCTGTGACAACCTAAGTTGGAGGATATACAAAGTTTGGGGATTTCTGCTGCTGATGCTATCTGTGTGTGCCTGGCCCTTAGACAGGCTGGGAACTTTTCTAGATCTGTGCTGAAAGGAGGAGGGAGATACAGGGCTCAGGCACCCATCTGGCCATGGGGTTTGCCACCGAGGAAGAAGGCTTTCATTCTGAACCATGTCCAAAGGGCTGCAGGAGTTGGTTCCAACAGAACCAAGAAGGTGGAAGCCAGCTCTGGGCTTATAGATGTTTGAGTTCCAGGGTGGCATCTCCATGGGGTCTGTACCTGAATGGCAGGTTGTTGGGGTGCTCCTGGTTAGTGAGGCAGAGGCAGTAAAGAACAAAGGAGGTGGGTGTAGACCAGGGCTGTGGCTCTGTGGGCATGAAGGTGTCCTAGGCTGGCCAGGTGAAGTGAGGCAAACCGCAGACCTTGAAGGCTGAGAAGGAGGGGCATTCAGGTCTGCTTGCTCAAAAGCTTGCAGTCTGGCTGGGCAAAAATACCAGGTGGATGCTGGCACCAAAGGGGACACAGGAAACTTGCTGAAGATCAGCCCGTTTCCTCACCAGAAAAATGGGTGACAAGGCCGGATGCTGTGGCTCGTGCCTGTAATCCCAGCACTTTGGGAGGCCAAGGCAGGTGGATCACTTGAGATCAGGATTTCGAGACCAGTGTGGCCATCAAGGTGAAATGCCATCTCTACTAAAAATACAAAAATTAGCTGGGCGTGGTGGTGCATGCTTGTAATCCCAGCTACTTGGGAGGCTGAGGTGGGAGGATCACTTAACCCTGGGAGGCAGAGGTTGTAGTGAGTTGAGATTGTACCACTGTACTCCAGCCTGGGGAAAAAAAAAAAAAGAAGAAGAAAGAGAGAGAGAGAGAAAGAGAAAAAGAAAGAATGAAAGAAAGAAAAAAAGAAAAGAAGAAGGAGTGACATGGAAAAGCCAGACATGAGAGGCCCAGGGCAAAGCACACAGGATTCACTGTGTAGTCTGGGCTGCCTGTCCACCTCGGAGGAGCACATGAGTGTGACTGAGAGGTGGCAGGGCTACAGGAGTGACAACACGCTGGGAAGCAGGAGTGCCAAGGGAGAAATCTATGACCTAGAAACTTTTTATAGACCCTCTTCAGACTGTCAGATCAACAGTCTTCACAGCCACAAAGAAATGGGCACATTCACAAATGTTCTCAGGATAAATGAGCAGTCTGGATGCCTTCCACTCCACCTTCTCCAGGAAGCCTCCCAGACTTTCCCAACCCTGACTAATTGTTCCCCTACCTGATCACTTCTCCTCCACGTCCCATAAATGCTGTTGTTCCTTTGGGGAGACTGTTGCCCAGCCATAGTGCCTGTCCCTTGCCTGGTGCTTTTTATCTTCTGCTCTCCTGGTCATTCCCTCTTGCCCACTCTCTTAAAACTTTAGCTCCTGGCTCCATGGCCTTCACACCATAACTGCCATTCCTCCTCACATCCTGGATGGCTTTCCTGTTCACACAGAGGACCTATCCAGTGCCCTCTTAATCTCTTGACCTCATATTCTCCAATGACTTTCTCCTCTATGCCTCCCCATCATGTCCTGGCATTGTCATGGCCCTAAACTTCTCCACCTCCTGAACTCCTTACTTCAGATCCAGATCTCTGACCCAATTCCTCTCCTTCTGGTGTGACTTGGTCTTGACTCCTTGACTTTTCCAGTCCTTTGGCTCCTGTCCTTTCTCTCTGATCATTCACCGTGCCACCTCACCTTTGCCAAAGCTCTCAATTCCTTTGCTCCTCTGCCCTGGTAATTTCCTCATTTGAGCTGGCACCACAGTGGGCAGCTGAGCTGTTGGAAGAAACCACACAGGAGGGCCAAAGCGCACCTTAAAAGTTCACAGGCACCAGCCTCAAGTGGACTGCCATGCTGCCTTGCTATCTGGCTGTTTCTCTGGTCATCACGACCCTCCCAAACTCCTGCAGTGACTGTCATACCTTCTCCACTCTCTTCAAATCTGTCATCTCTCCTTGCCCTATTGCTAGCCTCCTTTATGTCACAGAGTTAAGAGGAAATCATCAGGTGGAAAGATTCAACTATCTCTGTGATGGCAGCCTGGCTCAGTCCTCCTCCAGCCTCCTTCCTCCTGTTATAATACAGAAGGTGGCCCCTGCCTCAGATCAGCCTTTCCACCCACACTCTGGTCCATCCCTCCCATGGGCACAGGAGCCTTTGTGCTCCATTGTCCTTTCTCTACTGTACCTTCATCTTCCTCTTCTCTGTGGGATCCTCCTTATTTGCATTTAAATATACTGAAGTAATTCCATCCTAAAAATAATTAAAATACATAAACCAAAATAAACCCACTGCTGACATAACATTCCCCTCCAGCTATTTCTCTGACTTTTCACAGTTAAACCTTTCAAGAATTGTCTGCACCTTGTGCCTTTCATTTCTTCACCTGTTGCTCATGCCTCCATCCACTCCAGTCTATTGCCCATCCCCTTCATTCCACCAGCCGCTGCTCTGTAAAAGTCCCAACGACATCAAGGTCACTAACTCCAGTGGATGTTATTCAACTTTCACTTCACTTGGGTCACTTAGCCTTTTTTTTTTTTTTTTTTTTTTTTTTTTTTGAGATGGAGTCTTGTTCTGTTGCCCAGGCTGGAGTGCAGTGGCCTGATCTCAGTTCACTGCAAGCCCCGCCTCCCGGGTTCATGCCATTCTTCTGCCTCAGCCTCCCGAGTAGCTGGGACTACAGGCACCCACCGCCACACCGGCTAATTTTTTGTATTTTTAGTAGAGATGGGGTTTCACCGTGTTAGCCAGGATGGTCTTGATCTCCTGACCTCGTGATCTACCCACCTCAGCTTCCCAAAGTGCTGGGATTACAGGTGTGAACCACTGCTCCTGGCCAGCCATTTTTAAAAAAAGACATGGGGGTCTCGCTATGTTGCCCAGGCTGGCCTCAAATTGGGCTCAAGCTATCCTCCCACCTCAGTCTCCTGAGTAGCTGACACTACAGGTGTGTGCCACTAGACACATCTTTTGTCACCCATTTTGAGTGCTGTTGACTACTGCCTCCTGCTTAGAGTGCTTTTGTCCCTGGACTCTGTGACCCCCACCTCCCCAAACTCCTAGTTTTTTCTTTTTTTTTTTTTTTTTGAGACAGAGTCTCACTCTGTCGCCCAGGCTGGAGTGCATGGTGTGAACTCGGCTCACTTTAACCTCCACCTCCTGGGTTCAAGCGATTCTCTTGTCTCAACCTCCCAAGTAGCTGGGATTACAGGCGCCTGCCACCACGCCCAGCTAATTTTTAGTAAATATGGGGTTTCACCATGTTGTCCAGGCTGGTCTCAAACTCCTGACCTCAGGTGATCCACCTGCCTCGGCCTCCCAAAGTGCTGGGATTACAGGCGTGAGCCACTGCACCTGGCCAAGCTCCTGGTTTTCCTCCTGCCTCTCTGGCTGCTCTTCCACCTCCTCTGCCAGAGGTTTGCCTCTGTCTGGCCCTTAGATAAGAGTTCCTCAAGGCTCAGTGGTAGGTCCTCTTCTGATCTAATTGTACACTCTCATAGGAGCCCACAAGCCTCTGGTGACTTCATTACCACTGCCACACCAGCTATTCCAGCCCCAGCCTCTCCTCAGAGCCCCAGACCCTGCAGCCAACCACCTGTTCAACATCTCCACCCGGACATCTCACAGGCACCTCAAACCTACTTTGACCAAATTTGAACCTTGAGAGGGTTCTCCAACTCAGAAAATGGCACCACCATCCATCTGGTTAAAGAAGCAGAGATCTGGGAGTTTTCCTTGATTCATCCCCCCTAAGCAATTACCAAGTCTCGTTGGTGTCTACCTCTCTACATTTGCTCTACTGCTTAAACAAATGGCCCCTCTCACATTATAGCAACAGCCTCCTAACTGTCCCTCCATTCCATTCTTCCCCTTTCCCTATTCCTTCTTCACACTGCAGTCAGAGTGATCTACTTCAAAATGCAAAATTGAGTGTATGACTCTTGTTTCAAATGTCTCAGGATAAAGTCCAAACTCTGTAATGTGGTGTACTGGCCCTGCGTGATCTAACCCCTGCCTGCCTCTCTAACTTCCTCCTCAACCACTTCTTCCTTTATAGTCTGAACCAGCCAGGAACTCCTCATGGACTCCCCAGATGATCTCACCACCTTGCACTCCCTGTGGCCCATATCACAATTGTAATTAATTAATAGTGCATTTAATTGTTAAGCCCCTCTCTCCAGCTAGACTGTGAGCTCCAAGCAGGGAGTGTGTTTGCCATGTTCACCACTCCAGCGCCTAGTCCTGTGCTGCATCTAGAGGATGGCCAGTACATTTTTGTTGAATAAGTGAATAACACATCTCTGCCTACTGATGATGGACCTGGGTCCCAACCTAACAGTAGGGACTATAGCCAAGCGATGTGGAATCTAGCATTGAGTTACTCCCCAAAAGACACAAGGTAACTATTGTAGATATACTCCCAACTGTGTTAAAGCCACCATGGAGAAAATGCCCTTATTTATTTGAGACGGAGTCTTGCTCTGTCGCCCAGGCTGGAGTGCAGTGGCACGATCTCGGCTCAGTGCAACCTCCACCTCCCGAGTTCAAGCAATTCTCCTGCCTCAGCCTGCCAAGTAGCTGGGACTACAGGTGTCCACCACCACACCTGGCTAATTTTTTTGTATTTTTTGTAGAGACGGGGTTTTACCATGTTGGCCAGGGTGGTCTTGAACTCCTGACCTCAAGTGATCCGCCCACCTTGGCCTCCCAAGGTACTGGGATTACAGGCATGAGCCACCGTGCCTGGCCTAAGAATACCCTTATTTTTAAATTTCATGGCCTGGGCAGCCTTGGGCAGCGAGGGACACAAGCTTAATTTCCTAGTTGGTTGCCAGCTGACATTGTAGCAGCTCCTTTACTATAAACTCCTTGGCTGGCCGTTCTTGCAAGCATGTCTGTGGCTACAGGGAGTGCATTTAAAGGGAAGACACATATGCATGGAAACAATATACCAATCTGATGGCACAGAAAATCTTCCTTAGATGTCCGCTTTGTCTCAACACTGCATTTAAATATCAGACAGCAGCCTAGAGATATCTTTATTTAAACCCAGGAACATGGACTCAATATTATTTTGATACAGAATGAAGACATAGACTTCATTTATTAATTTATACTCCCTAGAGTTCTTTTTTTTTTTTTGAGACAGAGTCTCACTCTGTCACCCAGGCTGGAGTACAGTGGCACGATTTCGGCTTACTGCAACCTCCGCCTCCCTGAGTTCGGCGATTGTCCTGCCTCAGCCTCCCAAGTGGCTGGGATTACAGGTACATGTCACCATTAATTTTTGTATTTTTAGTAGAAACAGGGTTTCACCATGTTGGCCAGACAGGTCTCGAACTCCTGACCTTGTGATCCACCCGCCTCGGCCTCCCAAAGTGCTGGGATTACAGGCGTGAGCCACCGCGCCCGGCCTCTACTTCCTAGAGTTCTTAGAGAATTTCTAGCTTCTGTTTCTTTAAACATGTTTTATTAGCTTTCTAAATTATGAAAGTAAATACAACTGGAAAAATACAAAATCCAAAGTCAAGGGAGTAAAAAAATGTAACTCCCTTGTTTCCCCTCCCCGCGTAACCGTGGTTAACAGTCGGTGTGCACCCTTACAGATGTTTTTTCTATGAAAATACAAACATTCGACTTGTTTCTTGGACTTTACCTCGCAGTCCGAGGAGAATCATGTGAACAGCATGAAAGCAGCATGGTCCGAAGACTGCAAACCATAACATTTCCATATCTACTGACTCTGAATTCCTGTTTCTAGAGGACCCGCACCCACGTGGCTCTGTGCATCCGCAGCAACTTGGTCTTTCTTCCTTTGCTGAGTTTGGTTAAGGGAAAGGGCCGATTATTGAGTGGGCTCAGTTCACAGGTGCCTGAAATTCCTACTTAGCAATGTTCCTTTCCAGCTGATTCCGCCTCCGAGAGCCTTAGGAAAAAATGCTAACAGTTAGGAGCGAAGCGTCCTTAATTGCTCAGTCCAATTATCTAGATGGGTCCAGGTTCGGTTTCGATTCAGAGATAAGGACCAGGGGGCGGGGACGCTTCCAGGTGAGCCCCTGGTTAGGCTTGCCTCCCCGCGGAGCGCACGCGGGTCTCGCTGGCTGGACTGGGCCTTTCAAGACCAGGTAACTTCTCCATCCGGTATCGCCAGGCTTACCTGGGGGCCTCAGAATTGTGTCAGCTGCGTCTCTGAGTCACCTTGGAACCCCTCGAAGGAGCGCGGGGCTAGGAGGGCGCATCGGTGGGCCCGGGGACCCCGCTGCTAGGTGTGGTTGGCGCCAAGGCCGCCTCTGGCCGGCGGAGCCCTGCAGTGTCCGGAGGGTGCGGTCAGAGTCCGGCCCTTTAGGCCTTGCCTCGGTATCCGCCTTGCCCCTTGGGCCGCGGCACGGGTTCGGGCCGAGCGCCCGGCATCTTGCGTTTCTGGCTTCCTGAGACGGGCGTGGGACCTCGAGGAAACCACTCTGCATGACCCCACGAAGAGAACTAAGGACCACCCCCCACCCTTCCTGTCCTGGACGGCTTCATAAGCCAGAGGATCCAGTGGCAGTACCAAGCAGGGCACCACTCTGGGTCGTGAGCACCTAAGAGGTGGAGCAAAGGTCAGACCCCAGGGTGGCCCAGGCCTCCCTCCCCCGCCTCCCCGGCGGGGCCATTCCTCACCCGCCCCAGCACTGGAGGGGGCGGCCGGGGTCGGTCTAGTTCCGGTTACAAACTGGACAGAAAAGGCCACTGGAGTCTCGCTAGGCGATGCGCCTAGTCCCCTAGCCTCAGACGAACCGCAAGAGGGGCCACCCACAACTGGAGGGGCGGAGGCTGGAGCTGAGTTTCATTAGTGTTTTTGGAGCTGCCAGGCATTTCCAGGGGGGTCGCCTTCCTAGAGGCCCCCTTTCCCCAGCTTAACCCTCGGCTTTGCAGGAGGGTGCGTGGGGGCTGGAGGGTCCCTGGAAGCCGCAGGGAGCGCGGGCCCGGGTGGGTCCTGGTACCGGGTGGGGAGAGCGGAACCCTCCCAAAACTTGGGGCGCGGGGCGGGGCCGTCGGGCGGTGACGTGAGGGGCGGGGCCGGGCCCCATTGGCGGGCGGGCAGGGGAGGGGCGGGGCCGGGCGCCCGCGGCGGCTGCTGCGCCTGGAACCGGAGCCTGGAGTGAGGCGCAGCGGCAGCGGCAGCAGCGGCAACAAGTGCCGGAGGCTAGCAGAGCCAAGCCGGAGCAGTCCCTGCCGCCGACACCGCCGGGCCGCCCGTCCGGGGCGCCGCGCATGGAGCGTGAGCTGCGGCGGTCGCCGGGCTGAGCCGCGCGGAGCGGCCGGGACGTGGATGTGGCCGCGATCTCCCGCCCTTGCCCCCGCCCCGCCGAGCTGGAGCTGCTCCCGGACAAGGTAGGGCCCGGGCGCCGAGCACCCCCGCCGGCTCCCTCCCCGCTGCCCTCTCACCGCCAGGCCCCTCTACCAGTCCCCTTCCGCCTCCCTGCTTCCCGGCCCCACCTTCCGGACACCCTGCTACCCCCGCCCGGTTCCTCGCCGGTTCCGGCTTCGTACCCGCGCCCCGGTGGAGGAAGCCGTCCCTAGGTGGCTCCTGCCGCATTTAAGCCTCCCTTACCTTCCCGCCGTCCCAGCCACCCAACCTCAGCCCAGAGGGAGAGGAGAGGGACACCGCCCGCTGCGGGGCTTTGGAACCTCCCAACCCATTCCGTGCCCACCTCGCCCTGGAGCCCGGGGACCTTCCCCCTCCTCGCTGCACCCCAACTTCCGGGGGATCCGGCGCCGGGGCGATGCGGGCTTTGGCAAGGGGCATCTGGGGCCGGGCCTCCTCATCCGGGGCGCGCGGGCATTTCGGGGAGGGGGGCGCGCGTGATTCCTCGCTCGCACCCCCGCACCCCACCCTCGCACTGCGCCGGCCTCCCGTGCCGCATGGGGAGATCAGGTGTTTTGTGAGCCAAAGAGCCGCCGGCAGCCGCTCCCCACCCCCCACCCCCAACCTCTGCCACTTCTGTCTCCGGCTCCCCCAAAACTGGTTTCTGCCAAACTTAGGGAAAACCTTTCGCTTTGACCTTTTAAAAAAAATATTCCACACTGTTTGCGTTGAATGATTAACCAGGCTGCTAGCCCGAGTCGTGGGGGTGGGGTGGGGCGGGGTGGGGTGGGTGCTGCCAGGCCAGGGAGCGCCTGAAGCCGGACTCTACGAGACACCCCTCGTGGGAAGGTGGGCGTGGGGGGCCCTGCCGGGGCTGCGGGCGCGGGACTGGCGGCTACTCCAGCACGGCAGGCGGACCCTTCTGGAGGCAATAAACCGAGTCACCCGGTTAATTTCCAGGCCACGGTATTTGAAACTCGGGGCTGGGGAGCCGCAGAACTCCCTGTACCCCCATCAAGTAGAGGAGCCGTCGGGAGACTCCCCACAAGTGTCACAGCGTCAAAGCTCATCTTTAAAAATATGTACATTTATAACCTGGGTTGGCGAGGCGGCGCTCTTCTGCCCAAAACGTAGGGGTGGTTAGTTTGTAGAGTGGGCTTAGCTCACAGGTGCCTGAGCTGTATCCCCGTGGCCGCCTCAGCCACCCCAACTTCTCAGAAAGATTGTTTAGAACAATTAAACTATATTCTTTTGCCCTTCTCTTGTTGGAACCCTACCGTAATATCCGATAGCGAAGCCAGTTGGTGAATATAGAATTCTACTTGTTAAAACAAATTCTTCCGGTATAATTATTTGTGCCTCTGGAGGTGGTAAACGAGGTGGCCGACAGGGCCGGGACTGGGAGTGAAAAGGCGGGGACCCTGGCCGAGCCAGTCCCGGGGCTCCGGTGCCGGCTTATAGTCGCACCCATGCGGATCTGACAGCTGACCCGGAGGGAGGACCGGCAGGGCAGGGCAGGGCGGTCACTTCCCATTGTCCTAACTCCTGCTCCTGGTTCTTTTGAGTAGAGGGTGGTTAAGCCTGGAGGAATTTGGGAGAGTTTTACTCGGAGCCCATGCGCTCTTAAACCAGATTAGATTTTAAGAACACAGAAGTGAAGGAGCCCCATAGGGCTGTACTTGAGTAATTTGAGTAATCCTTTTCCTCCCTGCTCAGACTTTACAAATGTGTTTATCATTAGATCTTCTGTTTGAAACTACTTTTTTAGTTCGGAATATTGCTTTTTCTCCCTACAGCAAGGGTTCACTGTTTCTCATTTAGTTTTTGTGCAGGCGGCATTTGTATGATGAAGGCCTAATTCTCTGTGAAACTGACCAGTTCTCACCCTTGCCATTCATTAGACTTGATTCTGCCACATTTAATTCAGTGATCTTGGGCAAGTTATTCTTCACCTGAGCCTCATTTTACACATCTGGTTTTGGGGATGGTGGTGTTTGCTCTGCAAGATTATTTCTGAGGACAAATAGGATGTTTGCCAAACTCCTAGCACTGCACCAGGAGAGCTAAGAAGTGCTTAATAAATGGTGGTCATTGCTGTAATCAATAGAGAAGTTCCTCCTGGCATCGACTTCCCCTTACCAAAAACAGTAACCCTGTGGTAGCCTTTTAGATTTCCCTGTCTGAGACTGAAATCAGCCACATTTGGCAGATGCACATCAGAAGGTTCTTAAAACCTAAGTAGTATTTTGAGGAAAATAAGCATGATTTGCTTGTTGTTCAAAAATTATGAATTTTTTTCTGGGCTTCTGGTGAAGGGCTGAATATATGAAGGTTTGTAGTTTTGAAAATTTTCTTGTTTTAAAGAAAAGTCATGTTTTAGGTTTCTGATAAACTAAAGTTGTGCTAAAAATAGGAAAGTAGAACTGATAATTCATAGTTGATTTTGACTATACTGTTCAGATATGTGGTTTTTTTTAAAAAAAATAGTTGCATTAGTGAGGCATCGTTGGTATGTTCTGAAGAGAAATATGCAGGGCTTTTTCAGCTGATGCAGGGATAAAAGAAAAGGTGAATCTTCTGTTTCTCAAACTTTGAAACTTAGCTTTAAATGTTTTTTTCTTTTTTTTTTGAAATGGAGTCTCACTCTCCCGCCCAGGCTGGAGTGCAGTGGTGCAATCTCAGCTCACTGCAACCGCTGCCTCTTGGATTCAAGTGATTCTCCTGCCTCAGCCTCCCCAGTAGCTGGGATTACAGGCATCCACCACCACGCCTGGCTAATTTTTGTGTCTTTAGTAGAGACAGGGTTTCACTGTGTTGGCCAGGCTGGTCTCGAACTCCTGACCTGGTGATCCACCCGCCTAGGCCTCCCAAAGTGCTGGGATTACAGACGTAAGCCACCGCGCCTGGCCTTAGCTTTAAATGTTTTCTAGCAATGCTAGGGTTTCATGAAAATCCTAATTTAGGGATGCTGATCCACAGCTGTTAATACTCTTGACATACTGGGTCAGTGCTTTTCATTCTTTCTGACTTGGTTAATGGATGTAGTATTTGACTGTATTTTTCTGTATTTTTTTGATGGTTTTATTGGAAAGTCTGTTAGAGACTTTAAAAATTAATAACTGCCTATGGTTACTTTTATAAACATTGAGACCTTGAGATCTTGCAACTAGGATAATACTTGGTGATGTGTAATCTATTGCAACATCCCTGATGGTGGTACATACATCACCAATACTGAAAGATTCTCATAAAGGCCTTTTGGTCTCTTATGTAAGTGCCCAGGGGAAACTAAAGTCATTTGGTTGCTTGGTATTTTTGGTGTGTACAGAAGGTTAAAACATGAATTAAACTAGACTCTGA
This sequence comes from Homo sapiens, assembly GCF_000001405.40. Classification (NCBI taxonomy): domain Eukaryota; kingdom Metazoa; phylum Chordata; class Mammalia; order Primates; family Hominidae; genus Homo; species Homo sapiens. The sequence goes on from NC_000002.12 coordinate 62,199,690, forward strand.
AGTGGTAAATGTTTCCTGGCTGCATCCAGTAAAGAAAACAGCACAAACACCCAAAAGGTGTGGACCCAGCTGTCTTTTTCTCCACTCTCTAAGGTGGGATTGCTGTTCCTACGTACTTGCCAAATATGTCTGCAAATTACAGAATGAATACATTCCTCTCTCTGGAGAGGCAATTACTGTTTGAATAAGAGGTGTATGTATGTGTGGGGTAAGGTTTTGGGAGAATTGATGTAATGATTTCATCATCACTCACTGGTAAGGAGACTTTGCCAGGCTGGAACCTGTTACTTGATGGAGAATTTATTATTAGGGCTTATGTGGCACAATTACTTTGCTGCTGGAAAAAGTTATTTGTACTGAGTTTTCTATTTGTTACAAATTTTAAGAGTTGAGATTTTTGCCCTCTGTGTGTTGCCCTGTGAGTATTAACAACCTCTGCCCACCAGCTTTGTCTTTTTGCCTTGTCTTAATTTTTGTAACAAAAATTCAGATGTCTTTTGAGAGTCATAACATGTATCTTGTGCAATTTTAGCTTTAGGTATTTTCATATATAACTTTAAGAATGTTACACATTATTTTCTGTGCATCTATAACTTAAAAAAAACAAAAACCATTTTCTGATGTGGCTACAGAGGGGGAAATTCCCAGTAGCCAGGAAATTGATACTTTCTACTTTTCATTCTGTGGCATTTTAAAACAGAGGGTTCAGGTGTCTTCATTCTGATATGAGTAGGATGTACGTAGCTTACCAGAATGTTTGAAAAAAATGATAATCCAAGGTAATCAATTCTGGCATGTGGCTAGATTCTGTCCGAGTGCCATGTGGTGGTTTAGTGGTTAAGAGCATAAACTTGGAGTCCATAAGATGAGGATTTTTTTAACTTCATGTATAACATGCAGTAAAGTGTGAGAAGTGTTAATATTAAGCATGAGCTCATGTATGTAAGCTCTCAGATTAAGAAATAAACATTTTCAGTACTGCAGAAGGTTCCTGCGCCCATGTCTTGTCCGTGTTCCCACCCCCTCACCCTGAAGGAACTGTTATTCTTTCTTACATCATCATAGATGTGACTTCTGTCATCATAGATGGGTTTTACCTGTTGAACTTCATGTAAGTGGAATCAGTCATACAGTGTGGCATGTAGTCTTTTGTGAAATAGGCTTGAATTCTATTTTTACCACTTATTGTGTGACTACGGACAAGTTATTTAATCTGAGTCTCAGTTACGTATGGGAATGCCTAAAGTTAAAATTACACGAACTATTTCAGGATAAATTTTCTCACTTGTAAAATGGGGAAGATAAAGCCCTATGTTAGATTTACTGGGGAAAGTAATATAAAGCTACACCTAGAATACCTAGCACTGTGCCTGACTGCAGTTTCCTCTTCCCCTTTTTATTTCTTTAACAGGGTGATAACTAAAGCAACTAGATCTTTTGTGTTTAAATGAGCTATTTCATTAAAAGTTCTGTAGGTCTTTTATTGAAAATTAGAAGACAAATCTTTATTTAATACTTTGTTGATATAGCTTTAGCTTTAAGATGTATTATTTGTTAGTTGCCTGTTTTTGACATTTCCTCTCTAAAGACAGTCATTGAAATGTCCCATTCAGAGTTGTTTGGCCACCTGTGTAACATGAGCTAGGATGCAGTGATGAGAACTGGTTTATGGTCAATTATGGAGCTTGTGGAAGAGTTTAGTTTGGGTAAGAGTCATCAATAAGTGCCCAAGATGCTCACAACATCTGCTTTATGTTTAGTGAAATAATTATTTCAGAGGTGAAAGCACAGGACCAATTATTTTAATTGCTTGCTTCAGACAAGCCACTTAAAACATTTTCAGCTCTTGTAATCTTACCGTGTAAGCGGTATTACATAATTCCATGGCCTCATGTCTCCTTATTTGTTTGGTACTTTTCATTTTTGGACTCATTCTGCAAATGTAACTTGGGTAGTACTTGGCATTCTTTCTAAATGACTTTCATTAAATGTTTATTTAGAAAAAGTATTCAAGATAAAGTAAAGGAAAATAAAACTAATTCCACCCTCTCTCACCACTATAACTACATTAACTTGATGTGGGTCCTTCTAAGTGCTCATTTCTTCTTTTGTACACTTCTAGAATGACCTTAGGAAAAACATACTTCCAATACTTTATGGAAATTTAAAACAAAATATGGGCCTGCTTAGAGATGTCTAGCAGAGAAGGCAAGAGTCTTCGTAGGCCTAAGTTCAAATCTGTCCACACTGTGGTCCCTACTTGTACCTTTGTTAGTGCTGAGCAGACAGTCCCCAGAGACTCCATCAGAGGGTCCCCTGGTCTCCAGATTACAGTAGCCAACACGGAAAACCTGCCCTGGAATACTTCTCCATTAAGACCTCAAGATGTTTGGTGAAGTGAGCAGTTTGTTCTCCGACCAAACACGCATTGATTGAGCACTTGGTGTGTGCCTAGCACTGTGCTTGGCTGTGCGTGATTGCTGCCTTCAGTGGGCAGTGTGGTGGAGACAGCCAGGAACTGGTAAGATTGCCTTGGTAGAGGTGTAAGCCAATTATGTGTTGGAGGCAGCCAAGAAAGGCTTCTTAAGGAAGTGGCCTTTGGGCTTGGTCTTGAAGGATGTGAATAACATTTCAGAGGCAGAGAAAGGAAGGTAGAAGTGCTCAAGGGATTGTAGGCTGAGAAAACAGGACACAACAGAAAGGCTCATAGAGGTCTTTTGGGGAAACAGCAGGTGATCCATTGGGTTTGGAGTGCATGGTGCTTAGAAAGGTGTAATAGGCCATGATGCAATCTCGGGGATCATGCAGAGATGTGGCAGTTAATAGTTATGGAGGTAGTGAGGAACCAGTGAAAGTTCTTGTGGTCAGGGGAGAGAGAGAGAGGGTGTGGGTGCTGACAAGTTATGGCCAGGCTTGCATTGAGGAAGATGGGCCTGAGCGTGAATGAGGCGAGCCTGACCCCGGGCAGGTCATTGCAGTCCCTGCGTTCTCTGCTTCCCATTTGCCCCCTACCAGTTTCTCTCAGAAAGAAGCTGGAGGGATCCTTTAAAAACTGAAATGACTTGAGGTTACTTTTCTACTCAGAATCCTCCAGTCAGAATCCCTGTCTTCTTCAGAGGAAAGCCAGAGTTCAAATGTCACCTACCAGGACTGGTGATCTGCCCTCCTCCTCCTACCTCCCTTCTCCCCCTCATTTCACTCCAGGCACAAGGCCCCCAGCTTTCCTGCCTCTGGCCTTTGTGGTGACTGCTCCCCCTGCCTGGAACTATCCTCACCTCTTCTCTGAGAGGAGGTTTTCTCTGATCACCCGGCATAAAGCAGCCTTTCCTTATCCCCTGTGCAGTGCTTCATATTTCATCTAAGTGTTTATCAACCTTACAGCAATCAACTCTGACTTGGTTCTTTGCTGCCTGTTTTCAACACTGCTTGGTTTAAGTAGGCGTTTGACATTTGTTGAGTTAGGCCACTTCATTAAAGTTAGTCTTAGTAGAGGGGAAACTGAGGGCTCAAACCAGGGCAGGGATAGTACAAGATTGAAATATGTATGTGTGTTGTTTGGAAGAGGTGGGTGAGAGAAAGACTCCTGGTGGGTGTAAAGGAATTTGGAAACCAACTAAGGGAGGTTAGGAGAAGGGCCATGACACAGGTATATTGGGGCATTTTTTAGCATACGGGATATGGGAGTCTGTAGTGATGTCTAGGGGACAAGAATAGGGGGTAAGGGAAGACCCAGCAATAGACTTGGGCCCAGAACTGTGGAGCAAGTCCATTTTGTGGGATGGGGCCAAGGAGCAAAGGCTGCCAACATGCAAGAGAACCCTGGGGGTTCCTGAGCTTGGGGTGGGGTAGACATGGTGGCCAGCAGTATTGGGTGCCCTAGAAAGTCAGGAGGGTGCAAGGACTGCGAAGATTCTAGAAGGTGAGGGGGATTGGGAGGGTCAAGGCAGGACAAATGGGCATGACAAGGAGCATGTGCCTGGTGCCTTTGGAGAGGGAGAGGCTGAAGATGGGGGAAACAGTGGAGATTGCTATTGGTGCAAGACCCCAGAAGCAGCAAGAGCTGTCACAGGGAGTGGAGATCCTGGGAGTTGGGGGTCAGGGACTGGCTGATGTAGAGAACTTGAAGTAGGTTTTGGTCCCAGAGCTGACATCAAATGTCTTTGTAGCTATGGCAACCCACTTAGCTCCTGTTTCCCACCTCCCTGCAGAATCGCATGAAACCTGCACAGCCAATTTCACATGTTTATTATTGGAATCCATTGAACTCATGAATATGAAAGTGTTAATGCTCTGGGAAGATATTTCTATGGACCATAAACTTGCTGCAGTTTATTTGTGCTTCAGAATTTTTTTTGAGACAGAATTTCCCTCTTGTTGCCCAGGCCGGAGCGCAATGGCATGACCTTGGCTCACTGCAACCTCTTTCTCCTGGGTTCAAGCAATTCTCCTGCCTCAGTCTCCTGAGTAGCTGGGATTACAGGCATGCACCACCATGCCTGGCTAATTTTGTATTTCTAGTAGAGACAGGGTTTCTCCGTGCTGGTCAGGCTGGTCTCGAACTCCCAACCTTAGGTGATCCACCTGCCTTGGCCTCCCAAAGTGCCTGGTAGAAATTTTTCTAATTGTTTATTTTCTTTGAGAAGCACTTAACATCCAACTGGTTCTCCAAAGTACTTCTTTTTTGAGTCTTGATCAGGGAATAACACAATTGTGGTGAGTTTTATGTGCATGTGTGTTTTTAACCCTCCAGGTCTGGCTCTAGATTGTTCACTGGGAAGCCGAATGATATTTTCAGATTCAAATATATTTGTCTAATAATGAAAGGGTCGAAGTGTTACAAATGCTATCCTTTCTAAATAGTCAACATTTGGAACTAGTGAGATATATTTTTACCTTTATTATTTTATGGTTGTCTTTGAAGCTTGTTTATAAGGAACTTTTATGTAACTTTATTCTTGAGATGCAGCCATTATATTTTTGTTCTTTTCCTTTACCACATAAGGAATTATTTCCTTCAAATGAACTTAAAATATCTCTCATGAATACTCCTATTTTTAACTGAATGTTTCTCTTTTTTAAAAAACTTTTATTCTTCAAAGTTCTGATGGATCGTCTTTTTTTAACTCTTTATAATGGAAATTTTCAAACAAGTGCAGATACAGAGAATGGTATCATGAAGCTTCAGGTAGCCACCAGCGGCTTCAGGGTGATGATTCTTTATTTTCATCTCTACCCCACTCACGACTAGGGGCCCATGGGCACCATCTAGAGAGGGAGAGAGAAGAAGGTCACAATGGACCACAGAGTGGGCAGCCATCAATTTAGAGATAGCGGAGGCTGGGGGAGAAGATTGGACGCCCCCAGGGAGAGTGACAGGCAGACCGGCGAGATTGGAAGCCCGTGGCACTGGGATTGCTGTGGTCCCTCGTCCCTCCACATATGTGATCACCTATGGTATATGAAGGGAACGTGCAGAGACTCGTTTAAAACTGAGGTGACTCAAATTGCTTGGTAAAAGAGGCCCAGTTTTTAAGCAGTTCAATAGTGCCCACATATTGAGCAAACATGTTCTCTTTTTACTGTGGCGACAAAAACTTTTCTTGGCGGGTGGCCGGAGAAAGCTATGTTACTATTGCACTTCTTTAAATACGGAAGCAAGTCTTGGTCGAAGGCCTGAATGATGCCTCCCCTTTTATAGAACATTTGGATAAAAGGCCAAAGTGTTACTTTTTTTTGAGGATACGTATTTTAAAATGTATATGGTTTATTTTGATACTTAAAAAGCAACAACTTGAAAACAACAGTCCTGAAACACTTGTCAGTAAGGTGTTAGGATTTAACCAGCCTTTGAGAAAGGGAGAAGAGGCGGGACAGGAATCCGAGATGGAGCAGGGAGCTGGTTTGCTTCTTTGCCGCCTTGCTCTGAAGTTGCCACCCAGGGTCACACATCACTAGAAGTGTTTTCCTCTGGGAGGAGGATGATGTCTGACTGTGGAGAAGAGGCAGCATCCCAGAGGGAGCCCAATTTAACTGGATGCTCAGTGTGAGAGGAGGAGCGCTGGCATTTAGTGGCTGTGTGCCGTGGGCGGGGCCTGCCAGCCCTTGGCTGTCATTTGCCACCTGAGGGACAGGCTGCTTAGTTCCAGCCTCCTGGCTCACCTGGAACCATTTCTCCTGGGAAGCATGGTAGCCAGGAGAGTGGATTCCAGGTGGTGAGGGCTTGGTACTCCTTTTGGGGGATCCTGAGTGCCAGGAGAAGAGGATGAAATCGATGGACTGGGGGAATCAAGGCTGTCCTCATGGAAGAGGAGACAGGATTTGAACCTGGGCCTTCAAGGATGGGGGTAAGGATGGAGAGAAGCAAGATAAGGGATGTTTTAAGCCAGGAGAAACCAGGCTGAGAAGAGGTATGGGTGGGGAGGATAGTAGTTGTTGTTAAGGGGTGCTGGTGTCTAGAGGCCTCCGGGATGGGGTTTTAGGGGTGGCCTGCCTGGATCAAGGATCAGCTTGGACGTGCTCAGCGAGGATGGGGATGCCCATTTCCCTCCATGCAGCTCTGGGCTGGGGGCGGCCCATCTGGGTTCTCAGTTCCTGCCCTCTCCCTCTACTTTTTCTGGGAACATCAGACAACTTTCTGATCCTGTGAACCAGTTTACTTCTCTGTGAAATGAAGACACCTCAGTCACCACTTGACTGTGTATCCAATTGCGCCCATGGCATATGGACAAGCCCTCACTCAGCTAATGGGTGGGCACTAGGTGTGCAGTGGTTAATTTGTTTTATTATAAGGAGTGTCCTTGATACCTTTATCTCATTTCTCTATTTTTTTTCCCTTCCCCAAAGTGTTAGACCATGCACTTTAATCCAACATTATTTTTATATGTTTTTTATTCTTGTAGAGACAGGATCTCTCTCTGTTGCCCAGGCTGGCCTCGAGTGATCCTCTCACTTCCACCTCCCAAAGCACTGGGATTACAGGTGTAAGCCACTGTGCCTGGCCTAGTACAACATTATTTAAAAATCTCTACACATGTCTACTCTGCAGAACTTTCTGCACTCTTTGTGCCTGCTTTTGGAAGAGCGAGTCAGGCAGTTCTCTCCAAGCTGCTACCCTACAAGACTCCAAATGGATAAGCCAAGGAGTCCTGCAGTCTGAGGTTGTAGTACCTCACTTTCTGGTGTCCCCTTCGCTGTAACCAAGAGCATATTCTCTTTTAAGAAAATGTGTCACTGGAAACCTTCATCCTAACTACCAAGAAATTGAGACTTCCCAAAGCAATTTATTAAATTACTTAAAATACAATGTCATTTGTATAATTGTGAACACTTATTGAAGTTACAGAAGGTTATTTTTAATATGCTATATGTAATCTCAAGTTGCAGCATGTTCAATGCTTTTTTGATTTTGAGGTTACATTTTTATTTTGGAAGGAAGACAAATGTAAACGTTTATCTTGCAGGGAAATGTTGGGGATGCTCTCAAACTCTACAGTTTTGTTTTTTTTTTTAAGACAGGGTCTCACTCTGTCGCTCAGGTTGGAGTGCCGTGGCACGATCTGGGTACACCGCAACCTCTGCTTCCTGGGTTCAAGCGATTCTTCTGTCTCAGCCTCACGAGTAGTTGGGACAACACACATGCTACAGGCCACCATGCCCAGCTAATTTTTGTATTTTTTGCAGAGACGGGGTTTCATCATTTGGTTAGACTTACGGTTCTTGAGGGACAAGAATTGCCAAGTATAATTTAATAGAATTGGAAAGGCAGTGGTTGTTTTGAAAGAGTTTGTCTGTAGAGTACCTGATGGAAGTGAGGTACATCCGTGGTCCCCAGCCTTTTTAGCACTGGGGACTGGTTTTGTGAAAGACAGTTTTCCACGGACTCCAGGGTGGGAGGATATGCGAGATGGTTTCGGGATGAAACTGTCTCACCCTAGATCATCAGGCGTCAGATTCTCGTAAGGAGCATGCAACCTAGATCCTTGCATGCGCAGTTCACAAAGGGTTCGCCCTCCTGTGAGAATCTAATGTCAAGCTGATCTGACAGGAGGCAGAGCTCAGGCAGTAATGCTTGCAGGCCTGCCCACCACTGCTCACCACCAGCTGTGTGGCCCCGTTCCTAACAGACCATGGACCGCTAGGGGTCCATGGCCTGGGGTTTGGGGACCCCTGCCATAGATTATTCTTGCCTGGGAAAATAATGGATTGAATTTGATTGCCTGAGTGCTTAATATTAAAGTGCTTGTTTTAAAATTTGAAATTTCTGCTTCTCTGTGTGTGGCCAGTTATCACACCAGTGGAACTAAGTGGTGGGGAATGGTGTACTTTTGAAAGTCGATCTTATGAGTTTGAGAGGGGTCATCTTTAAATTTTGTAAATTGGTCATTAGTTGAATTCTTGTACATTTTACTATGTAAAATGACAGTAATCACTTTTTCGTACCTATGTGAAAATAGTCTCCTTGTTTGTATGTGTCTGTAGACATGAGGAGCCCACATAACAGACAACAGATTCCTCCTTCCTTCCCCCCTTCCTTTCCCCCTTCCTTCCCCCCCAATCTCTACACCAAGACTGCCAAGACTGGGCTGATGGCCTACTTATTTCCAGAAGCACTTGTACAAGGTCACTTGGATAACAGTTTATATAATGGGATTCTGTTTCTAGTCCAGTAAATGTAATTTATGCTTGTGCGTTTCTATTAATTTTTAATTGCCTTCTTTCTCACCTCCCCCATCCCTGAGGCCTGTGTTTGTTTATAGATTTATTTAATTGTATTTGTTTCCTGAGTCATGTTTTTAGGTGATGTACTGCCTTGAGATGACACCACGTAATTGTGTCTTGAGGAGTGAGGCCTAGAGGGGAAAGCTCGGGAATTGGTAGATGCTTAGGATACTTATGGAGAAGAGGGCCAGGACTGGCACAGAGCCAGGGACCAGAGGGAGGGATGCTGGGGAGGGGGGTGTGTGTGAAATTATCCAAGAATGGTTTGCTAGAACAGTGTTTAAAATGTTTGATCAAAATGGTCAAAGAATACAAAATGTCCTTAGATTAGGTCCTGGTTCCTTTACTGTCCCTCCCCTTCTTGTTCTCATATTGATTGTGTGTTGAGTGGTAGGCACTAGAGATGCAGAAGTGAATATGGCCCATTCTGCCCAGGAGTCCTTGGTGTGTCAGACCTGTTATCACACCGTGTGCTAAGTCAGATAAATGTGGGTGAGGTGGTGGTAACAGCAAGGGGGAAGAAATACAAGCAGCCCAACCTGGGTGGGGGCAGTGGGGTGGGAGGAAGAGGTGACACATTGGCGCTTTTTTGGTTGTTGTTGTTGCAGTCTCACTCTTGCCCAGGCTGGGTCGGAGTGCAGTGGTACATTTCAGCTCACTGCAGCCTCTGCCTCCCGGGTTCAAGCGCCTCAGCCTTCCTAGTAGCTGGGATTACAGACATGAGCCACCATACCCGGCTAATTTCGGGCCATTGGCTCTTCTGTTTTTATGTTGATAGCCCAGAATGGAAGCTATAGACTGTGAGAAAAAGACTTTGTTACTAATGATAATTTTGACTACTGGACTGGACTCCCCAGTCCCCTGGGACACGTGGTAGTAATCCTGGTTCTCTTCCCCAGGGCAGCCTTGGGCAAGGCTCTGTCTCCCTGTGCCTTGGTCTCCTCTGCTGTAAAAGAGATATTAGAGTGGATGGTCTGTAAGGCCCTGGGAAAGAAATTCTTGGAGCTTCTTTCTGGTAATGAAATTGGGTCACAATCTATGTATGAATTCATGTGCATGTTGTTGAAAAACAAGTAAAAGAATGAGGTAAGCCAGGCGTGGTGGCACACTTGTAGTCCCAGCTACAAGCTGGTGGCTGAGGTGAGAGGATCACTTGAGCCCAGGAATTCAAGACCAGATGGGGCAACACAGAACACAGGCCAGACCCTTTACCCGCCCCCACGCCGTCACCCCCCACACACACCAAGAGTGAGATGGTACAGTTGGTGGGTAACGCTGGTTCTTTGATCCCTTTCCTTCACAGGAGAGCTGGGGTCTGGACCAGCCCTGTGCCACTGTCCCAACCCTGTGGCAGGTTGTAAAGTTGTGCTGATCTCCCTTCACTGCAGGCTGTGATGTTGGAGGGAAGGAAAAGCAGATTTTCTCCACCTGTAGCCAGCTCTGACAGGTGTTTAAGACGAGGCTAGTTTAAGCCCCAGCAGTCTCTCATCCTTTCGTATGAATAATCAAAACTGAGTCATCACAAAACATATCTGCAGGGGATTCTGCCTATGGTGCGGAAGTGTTACCAGACCAGGACCCCTGGATACGTTAAACCATTGGGTGATTCCCGACTGGCCATTTTGTTGTCTACATTATTACTTTCTCATATCAATTTGGAAAGAAAAAAAAATTCGATTCCCCCTGCCTTTCCTTGGAATGGTTTACATCTTCCTGGATGGGTATCCACAAATGCAATAATTTTGGTACCTTAATTTTTTAGAACTACAACTTTATTTGGGGATTCTCAATCCTCCTCGAGCAACGGTATTGTGTGGTAGAAAGTATAAGAGCTTAGACCCAAGGTTGGGACCAGAGTCCAAACACTGACTCCACTGGGATTAGCTCTGTGACCTCAAACTAATTGCCTCACATTTTTTAGTTTGTTGTGGAGATTAAATGAGATGAGAACATCCCAACATTAAAAATGGGCAAAGGGCATGGGGGAGTAGGAAGACCAGGAAGGAAGCATATGAAAAGATGGCATCAATTAAAACAGGGAGATGTTCTTTTTTGGTAAAGATTAAAAAGGAGGACAGTGGCCGGGTGCGGTGGCTCAGACCTGTAATCCCAGCACTTTGGGAGGCTGAAGTGGGCAGATCACTTGAGGTCAGGAGTTCGAGACCATCCTGGCTAATATAGCGAAACCCCATCTCTACTAAATAATACAAAAATTAGCTGGGTGTGGTGGTGGGCGCCTACAGTCCCAGCTACTTGGGAGGCAGAGGTAGGAGAATCACTTGAACCCGGGAGGCAGGGGTTGCAGTGAGCCGAGATCGCACCACTGACTCCAGCCTGGATGACAGAGCAAGACTCCATCTCAAAAAAAATAATAATAATAATAGGAGTACAGTATTCACTGTCAGTGTGGATGACTTCATGCTCTTGGGTATACAACGAGAGGATAAATCAGTGTGACCTTTCTTTTTGGTGGGAGGTTAAGGGTGAGAGTGAGGGGAATAGCTTGATTCTATGCTAACTGACTTTAAAAGGTTGGGTTCCCTTCGTAATATGTTTCCTCCGGAAGTAACCAGATGATGATGTGTCTAGGAGGGTGTTTATGTGTTTTCAGTTATAGGAAAAATCAGAAACAACTCATAAGCTCATTGATTAGCAATTGATAAAGCAGTTGGGTGGGGTGGCTCGTGCCTGTAATCCCAGCACTTTGGGAGGCTGAGGCAGGTGGATCATTTGAGGCCAGGAGTTTGAGACCAGCCTAGGCGACATGGCAAAACCCTGTCTCCACAAAAAATACCAAAATTAGCCAGGTGTGGTGACATGCCTGTAGTCCCAGCTACTCAGGATGCTGAAGTGTGGGGGCATCGATTGAACCCAGGAGGTTGAGGCTGCAGTGAGCTGTGATTGCGCCACTGCACTTCAACCTGGGTGACAGAGTAAGACCCTGTCCCCCCCGTCCCCCCCAAAAAAATTTGATAAGGCAGACCACATTTACCTATATTCTGGCAGGGGAGTTAGAGATCCGACAGAAGACAAACCACTCTTCCCCTGTGAACTGAATCTGCTTTAGAGAAATTAAGTCTTCGGGACAACAAAACCAACTAAAGTTGTAATCAATGGGCATCCAACTTGGAGTTCTTCGTTTTTTCCCTTATTTCATGTTCCTATGTGATGTGGTCAGTTTTCTGTTTTAAGTAGAGGGGACAGGAAAGAAAACACATTCCTCCAGTCCATCCAGCAGCAGCATTTGTGAAGCAGCCACAGCTTCACATACTTTCTTCCTAGCAGCCCTGGGCCCCACCAGCTCCTCCCTGCCCTTCTAGTGTGGCCTCAGAAGCTGTCTGTCCATGAACTGGCTGTGTCCATCTCTGCCTGCAGACGCTCTGTGCCGTACCCCATGTCTTGCCTGCCCTGCTTCTCTCTACATTTCTGAAATTTGCCCTGTTGGAAGCCCCACTAAGGTCCTGCCTTGACCCCTGCTGTTGACTAAAGGGCTGTCACGTATTTATTATCTCTGCCAATTCAGTGTATAGGACCCATGTTTTATACCCGCTTTTCCCCAAACCCCAGACTTAAATAAAAATGTTCGTTGTTAGAAATGACTCTGGGTTGGTGATGTAGAGATCTATAACTTGTGCCAGTTTTTAAGTATTGCCTTCCTGCTCCAAATTCACCCTCAGTTGCCTGATCTCTGAAAATGGGTCTGGGCCCTTTAAATGTTTTTTCTTTGCCTTTTGTAAGTAGAGGGCTCTGAAGGGGACCTTGTAGGAGGAAGGGATTTTTCTTCCTGATTTCATATGTGTGCATGCGCATGCTTTTCCTGCACTCCTATATTCCTGCAGGGCACACCTTTCTCCAGCATCTGTTGCTCTGTTTTCTGCAGCTCTGGCATCGGTGGTACCAGGAGCCTAAGACTGGGTGGTCCTTATCCAACCCAGATCATTGCTTCCTACAGCCTCTCAGCCCCCATGTGTGTACCCCAAGCCCCCCTGGTGCTGGCCATCTGGTGAGCTAGCCACCTGATCTTTGTCCTCAGCACAACCCTAAGCTGCTCTGGCCTAGGGTATACATTGACGTGGTAAGCTCCTATGGAGGGAGGCCTCTTCACTCTGGTCCAGCAGCACCTGATGACTCCCTGTGTGTGCCCCTCCTTCCTTCTGTCTGCTTGACTGTCTACACCCAGACTTGCTTGCCTGTACCCTAGAGGGTTGCCCCTGCTGCTTGGTGACTGTGGGGGATCTCTGGCCTAGGTACCCAGGAGTTTTTCTGCCATCTATACTTTCTTCAACAAACTCAGAAAAAACCCCTGCCCTACCAAATTTTGGGAGATATTTTTCATCTGTTCCAGGGCATCCTTTAGATTGTTATTTCATCTTTATAGTTTACTCAAGTGTCATATTTATTGTATTAAACTTCCCTTTCTTAGATTACTGTTTGGTTTCTACCTGCTGGTTGAACCCAGACTGAAAAACATTCTATGCAGCTCACCTAAGCAGGCAGAAGGATGAATCAGAGAGAAGTCTTTAGAGATTTCTGAGGGCTCACTGAGAGGCTGCCAGAGTACACTTGCTTGTACACAGGTCCTAGAGGTTGGAGTGGAAGCATTTACCAAGCCACGTACAAGCTCTTAACCAAGGGCTTCCAATATGCATTAAGCTCCCCAAAAAGGGACTGCTTGCATTCCGGTGTTTTTTTTCTAAAATGACTGTCAGCTGGGGCAACATGAGGAGACCTCGTCTCTACAAAAAAATTTAAAAAATTAGTTGGGTGTGGTGGCACATCCCAGCTGCTCGAGAGGCTGAGGTGGAAGGATCGCTTGGGCCTGGGAGGTTGAGGCTGCAGTGATCAGGCAACTGTAGTCTAGCCTGGGCGACAGCGGAGACCCTGTCTCAAAAACAAAAAATGATTGTCCCACCTTAGGTAAGTAGATGCCCCCAGGTTGCAAATCTGTACTAAGGATCTTCCTCTAGATATGCTTCCCATGACTGTCATGGCCTTGTAGGTTACAATTGCTGGAGGTCCATCCCTCTCCAGAAAGGAGGTAGAGATGCCCCATTTTGGGATAAGGGTGCAGGAGGGATAATGGGTCTGCTGCGGAAGAAGATGGCACCCTCACCTGGAAGCACTGCTCAATCCCACACACCTGCACACCCATGAGTCTGCTGCCTTTGGTGGTCTGGGGCTGACTGTGGGAAATGAGGGGGCGGCTGTACTTCTCACCCCAGTTTACCTCTTCAGATCTTGCCCCCACCCTCACGTCTAACATGGAGTCAGCACTGCTGAAATTCTTATCTCCCCTAAGTCTAGCAAGTTATTTAAATTTTTCTGTTACCCTTTAGTTCTTAATAAGTGAGACAGTTTTCTATAAACATGTCTGTAATTCAGCACACATGTGATTTTTCCATTGTCATCTCTTAGGAGAAAGGGTGTATATATATATATAATCTGGTTTCTACTGAACACTGTGTTCAGTAAACTTGTCCAGATGACCAAAGTATCTGTTCCTTTAGCAAATGCTGGGTAAGTCTCAGGTACCACGTGCTGGAGTGTAATGGTGGTGCAGTGTGAAGACCTTGACTGCGGAGGGTTCCCAGGCAGAGGCATCCTGATCAGGAGCAGATACCCTGACTCCTGGGCAATGAGGCTGGTGTTTAGGCTGGGGCATACCCTTGGGCAGGAAATCTCTAAGAGAAAGAAGTGATGAAACCCTGAGTTCAACCTCTGGGAATGGAGAAGAAAGGAGTTCTAGAAAACAACAGACACATAGCTAGAGTTAGGCTCTGAGGGAACAGTAGCATATTGGTGGTGGTCTGGGGGAACTGTGGGAACAGCATGAGCAGGGAGGGTGTGTCCAGGGGACTGAAGACTTGGGAAATAAGACATATTTGGGAACATAGTGGGAAAGGAGGCTGTAGGCTATTGCAGGCTCTGGAATAGAGGAGAGATGAGGAGGGAGCTACCAGTGGCGTAATAGAAGCACCTGGCTCCTGGCTGAATGCGCAGAGCAGGAAGCAACTCAAGGTAATGTGGGGTTTTCACCAGGTGCCTGAGAACTTGATCCATTGCACACAGAGGCCCGAGGAAGAGGGACTCTGCAAGGCATGTGGAAGCTAATATCTGGAGTTAGTTTGTTGACCCATGAACCCTCCTTTTGGAGGTGATGCTCATGGCATTGAATGGAGGAGTTTGTAGAGAGAAGACTACTAAAGAGGCAGTGAAGGACGGAACTTTGAGAAATGTGCTTCGTTTAGGGTTTGGTGGAAAAGGCAGACCCCTGAAGAGCTATTGGAGGTTGTATCATCCCATTTTACAAAGGAGGAAAGTGAGGCTTAGAGAGGTCGGGTAACTTGCCTAAGGTCACACAGCCAGTAGGTAGCATAACCAGAATTTAATCCTGGTCCTGTCACTCCAGATGCCAAACTGGTTTTCCAGTCTGAAAATGGATCTGGGACATCTCCATCCTCAAACGTCTGCTACCCTTATTTTTAAATTGCATAATCTTTCCACCTAGACCTAAAACCCTCTTTAGTTTACTAAAGGCAGGGCAGAATGGCCTCTGGGAGGGTTAATTCCCTTCTCCTCTTTTCCTCAAAGGTTCTGTATGTGTTTATTTGAAGAATACTTCTAGTGGCTAATTTGATTTGAAATGATGAATATCATTTGAGAAAATCGGCCACACTGGGCTTTCGGGGGGTTGTAATCAGTGGGGGCCAGAATATGTCCTGCCAGATGCTTTGATCTATAATGTTGCCTGTGGGACTGTGTAGGTGAGTAGATTCATTATAAATACGTTTCCCTTTTAATTTGAACATGAAGGCTAAAAGTAATGGCTGGGAACCAAATTCCTTAAATCTAGCTGACAATAGTTCTGTGACTTACAGACTGGAGAGCAGAGGTAGACCATCATCTTAGCTGAGTGCCAGCCTCTTGGTGAGGGAGTCCAGGGAGTCCTGAGGCTCCCTTGCCCCGGTGAAAACCCAGGCCAGGCCTCTTTCCGCAATCAAGGAACAAGCTGTAGGTGTGGCCCAGCTCTTCTGGTCCCACTGAGCTGCTCCACTCACACCCTTATCACTCCACCATCTGCCAGCAGTGCTGGGAGCTATTCTCTCCCCTAGAGCCATTTAGCTGCAAACTGTCTCTGTCTCTGTTTATCCGAGCAGAACCTGGAAGGGGCTGGCAAGGACTAGGCAACAGATGGGACAGCCAGAGAGGTGAGGACTTAGGTAAACCACTCTTGCCAGACTCCCGGAGGTGGTGGGGAGGGAAAGGGCAGAGTGAACGTGCTCCTCTGGCCTCGTGATATGGCAGGGGGCTTGGGCTCTTTCTGAGGATTTGTGTGTCCTGTTGGAGCAGGAAAGTGAACAGGAACCAGGATGCCCTCTAGAGATGGAGGCTGCTAGCTCTGACACTCCTGGGGTTTAGTCAGAAGCTTGGATTTCCAGCCCCTTTCTCTCAGCCTGAGTGGGTGGGGGTGACTGGTCATTTTATTTCACGGTTACAAGGAGGCCTTGCTTTTCTTTCATCCTTAATCTTGGTAGTAGGAGAAAGTGCAGGGCAGCCTTGGCACAGGTCTTGGGTCTGGCTTGTACGTATTGCTCGTTCTGTCCCTGGCTAGTTACTGTCGGGCATCTTTTTAGCTTGCCTGAGCCCATGGCGGGGGAGTCAGACCCTGCCTGAGTTCTGGGAGAGAGTCCTCATGGCTGTTGGTGGCCACATTCAAATGTTTTCTGGCCAGCAGTTTTGCTTCAGTGCTACAGGGCTCTCAGAATTGAAGGGAACCTTTTTAGGGTCATTGGGTTCAGGGATTCCCAGTCTAGTGTCCATGAGTGAAACGTTGGAATTGTTTCAGTATTTGAGTCCTAAGGAAAACAGCCTGTGTGGGCTAAGTAGGTATTGAAGACCTTTGCTTTGGTCAGAGTGAAACCAGCTGAAGGTCATCTCATGTGGATGGGTGGGAGGGAGGCCTGGGGGAGGAGGGATCATAGCTTCTGATTTTTCTTTTTTTTTGTTTTTTTTAAAGAGATAGGGTCTCACTCTGTCACTCAGCCTGGAGTACGGTGGTACAATCTCAGCTCACTGCTGCCTGGATCTTCTGGGTTCAAGCAGCCCTCCCACCTCAGCCTCCTGAGTGGCTGGGACCACAGGTGCATGCCACTACACCCAGCTAATTTTTTTTTAATGTAGACATGGGGTCTCGCTATGTTGCCCAGGTTGGTCTCGAACTCCTGGGCTCAAGCAATCCTCTCACCCTGGCTTCCTAAAGTGTTGGGGTTACAGGCGTGAGCCATGGCACCCAGCCCATAGCTTCCGATTAATAGAACGGTGGGACAGTAGGAAAATGGGCGCCCTTGAAAACCATGGTTTTGCATGGGAGAAAAAAAAATTAAAAACAGCCTCTTAGCTAAGAAACTAAGGTCTTGAGAAATTGGCTTCCCCGGGGTCATAAAGTCCACGTGAGTCACTGTCTGTTTTCACAGCTTGGTAATCTTTCCCATGTTCCAGTACAATGTGTAGAAGAAACTAGAACTAGAAGGCCTGGGCGCAAGCCCTGACTCCATCACTTGCTGGCTGGGAACCTGGGACTCTCAAAGCCTCATTTTTTCTCATTTTCTTTTAGGGGAGAGATGAGTGGGGGCTGCATTTTGCCCAGAGCCTAGCCTGTAGAGTCACTAATGTTACTTAAGATAGTACACTGCCTCCCATATCTGATGGTTGACTCGTAGTTTTGTGGGTGAAAATGTATAAATACAGAGCTTTTAAAAAGTTACTTTAAGAAGATTAACCATGGAAAATTAGACACAAATCCCTTCAGTTCCTGCGGTCATAACCATACGCAGCAGCGTTTGCTTCCGTGATTGTGTGATGGTTGAAAACTCGCACTCTGGAGCTATCATTGCCTGGGTTTGAGTCCTGGCTCTACCATTTACCAGCTGTGTGACATTGGACAAGTTCAGTCACTTGTCCACCCACCCCGTGCCCCCTACCCTGTGCCTCAGCGAAATAAGCAGTGGGAATTTAGAGTATCTGCCTCAAAGGATTGCTGGTGCTTGGTACATATTTGTTAAGGCAGGTGTGTTCATGTTTCACTATTACATGTAGGAGCCCTTAGGACGTGGCACAGGCACAAGGGAAGGTGTGCAGGTAATAGGGATGGGTGTTGTGACAGCCTCTATGCAGCACTGTAGGGGTCGAATACGGCGATGCTGACACAGGCTGGGGGTGGGCTGTGGAACAGGGAACCCCGCATGGGGCTGTGTGCTGTATCCCGGTCCCCAGCGTGCGGCGGAAGAGGCTGCTTACAGGGCAGACCTTTGGGCAGCGTTAAAGGATGTGAAAACACCCTCTCATCCCACCACCCTGAATAAACCCACTTTGTTTTTGTGTAGTATTTTATCTAGATTGTCACATAGTTTCAGCATCATGTCTACTGTTTTGTAAGCCATTTTTCAGCTAAGGTTTTCTCTGTTATACTGTCTTTCTAAATATTTTCATTTCATTAAACAAAACCAACTGAAGTTTCAAAACTGTTCTGTCCCTGTTGGGGACAAGGTAAAAAGCTAAGGTTGCTTTGTGTTTGTATATGGGGTTTTCTCTTATTTCTGTTACAACAGAAAGTCTGTGTTTCACAGCGAGAGTTTATAACATCTTCCCCCAGCTTTGGGGTGAGTTTTCTTAAATTCTTCTTACGCAATGTAACTTCCTGCTGAAGAAAGGACATTGGAATTGGGTTTTCTGTCTGCGATGGGAATGTTTAGTCAGATATTTAGAGAGCTTTTTCCCACAGATATTTTTATGGGGGTCACTGCTTTATCCTCCTTTCCATGAACTTGGCTTTGTTCTAAGAGCCTACTAGAAGCCGAGTTCTCATGCAAGACACTGTGCCCAGGTCACAAGTGCACGATGACATTTAACCTTGATGGAAATGTGCAGTTGAGAATCTTGTTTTCTCCACCTTCCTCTTCAGATTGGCTTGAAAGAAATACCCTTTAGCAAGTAATGGGAAGAGTTGCCTCAAATTGAGCCTTTGGGAATCTGAAGTCTTTTACAAGAAAGGCTGATCTGTTTCCTGAGGTGGGGCTGGGAGCTTGTAGGTGCCCCCATTTCTCTTTCTTTGGAGCCTCTTTAACTATCAATGTACCATGATCCCGTGCCATAATCAGCCTGTGGGACTTCACTGTTGACCTGGTCCAGGTAACTAGAATGTGGTTGAGCCTCATAGAAAAAAGAGATCCAGAGAGTCCTGGATTGGGAGCCAGAAGGTGGTCTTGTCTAAGCCTTGTCACGTAACTCTTCCATAATATTCAGGCAAATCATCAGTCCCCTCTGAGCTTCCATTTTCTCCTGGTAAAGTGGCATCCCGTGCAATGAGAAATGAGCAGGAAAATGCCCTGCGGGCTGGAGGCCTTGAGCACTTAAATGAAAGTTGAGGGTGGTGTTCCCGGGAAGGCCATTCATTAGTCCCTGTGTCTTGAGCCAAGGTGATGTGAGAACTGTACCTTGACGTGGCCTTGATTGAGGAAATAAAAGGCTGAATTGTAGCAGATGAAGTTGGAAATCTTGCCAGGGGTCAGCAAGCTTATTCCTCAAAGCATCCTCAAAAGAAGGATTGGTGTTTTCCGTGATAGAGGCTTCAAGTGGTTATGGCTGGATTCCAGTTATTCATGGCCTCTCCCATAATCTAGATGTATAAACTTGTTAAATTATCTGGAGTCATTTTTACATGTTATTCACTCTGTATCTTTCCTAGGAGAATTAGCTCTGGAAGTTCACAGCCTCCTATGTAAAGTACTGTGCTTCCCTTTTTTCTTCCCTAAGCTGTCCTCTTTTACTCCAGAAATTTTGGTAAAGGTCTATTAATGTTTAAATCCCTTTACTGAGTTAAATTTTTGCCGGGTATTAAGCTGTTCATAGTATGTGCTGTTTTTTCCTGAGTAGTTTTGCTCTGTCACCCAGGCTGGAGTGCAGTGGCACGATCTCAGCTCACTGCAACCTCAGCCTCCCAAGTAGCTTGGACTACAGGAGTGCACCACCATGCCTTTTTTGTATTTTTAGTAGAGGCAGGGTTTTGCTGTGTTGGCCAGGCTGGTCTCAAACTCCTGGCCTCAAGTGATCTGCCCACCTCGGCCTACCAAAGCAAAGTGCTGGGTTTACAGGCGTGAGTCACTCTGCCTGGCCCCTTTGCAAATCTTTTTCTTCATTGTAGTTTTTCACCATCACACATTTCCTGTTGCCCTTCCTTCCAGACTAGGAAGGGCCTGAGACCTAGAGACAGCAGTACTGGGTCAAGGGCTCACTTTAGCATTAGGAGAATTGTCCCAAGTTAGAGAGAACCTTTTCTTTTTGAGAAGTATTTGAGAAATAACTGGAGTTATCACGGAAGTCTCCAAAGGTATGAGGTTAGGTTTTTCAAGAGTAGTTTTGTGGGCAGGGGACCAGGGAGTGGGTGCTGCTGATTGGCTGTGGATGCAATCAAAGCCATGTGCTGAGTCTGCAGGGGTTGGGGGGAGTCATGAGTCTCTAGTCTGGGTGGGGTAAGTCTGAGAAACATTCAGAAGACCAATCTTAGTTTCTATAATAGTGGTGTTAACTACAGGAGCACTTGGGGAAGTCAAAGATCTTGTGGCCTCTGGCCACATGACTTCTGAGCAATACGGGATTATAAAAACTGTGCTTACATTTTAGCAGAATTCAGGCCCCTCTCAATCCTAATCTTGTGACCTTTCATTAGCCTCAGCCCCCTGAACAAGGAAGGGATCAGTTTTATGGAGGGACTGTTACCATCTTTGCTTCGAAGTTAAACTGTAAACTAAATTTCTCCCGTGGTTAGCTTGGCCTATGCCCAGGAATGAGTGGAGACAGCTAGCCTGTGAGGGTAGACGCAAGATGGAGTCAGCCATGCTAGATTTCTTACTGTCCATAATCTTTGCAAAGGTGGTTTCAGCAGTAGTAAATACAAGCAACCAGATAAAGGTCTACTAGGCAGATCTTTACAGACACACAATAGCTTGTGAATTCCTGTTGATCTCATCTGGGCTCTCTAATATGTAATAGTTTTACAGCATTCTCAGCATGACAAATATTTTTCTACTTTACCGTTTGTTAGAATCCAGTGAACTTAAAAATCCTCTCCTTTCAAAAAGCAAATACTAGATTAAAATAGTTGCAAAGCTTTCTTTTAGGGATTGGAGAAGTGTAGCTACCTTTTGGCATGGTACAGACTTGGAATCTGTTTGCCTTGGCTGGTATTCCAGTCTGCCCTTCTTTAAATGTGTACCTCCTCAGGTATAAAATGGGAATGAGTAATAGTACCTAAGGATAAATTCCCAGTTGAATTAACCTGATAAGAAAATCTTCAGCTCTTTATAGAACATTGCCATCCCACTTTTTTGGGCTATCTTTTAATGTCACCTTGGTTTAAATGTTCATTCTTGTATAGGTCATCCATGTCAATAGTGTTAGAACCTTGGATATCCCCAGCAAACCATCTCATTACTCATTCTTTATTCTTCCATTGCCCACAGCCTGAAATCTTTTGATATTTCACTAAAATATCATTTGTATTTCCCTTTTTGCTACAAACAATAGAGATCTTAAATATACACTTCAGGTTTGACATATGCATACATCCGTGGAGCCTTCATCAGGATCAAGACCTACATGGTACATTTCTGTACCCCAGGAAGTTCCTTCCTATCCTTCTCTAAGCCCACCACCTCCATCACTTTCAGATTTCTAGAACCTAAATTCATTTTGCCTGTTCTTGAAGTTAATATAAATGAAAATTTGGGTCTGGCCTTCATTCACAATGTAATGTTGTAATGTTTCATCCACAATAGTTTCCCTTTCTATTGCCGAGGGGATATACCATTGTATGCAGATGCCACAGTTTGATCATCTGTTCTGTTGATATTGGGCTGTTGCCAGTTCTTGGCTATTGGGATAAAGCTGTCCTGAGTCTGCTTTCATTTTCTCTGTCTGAGATGCTCTGTGGTTCCTGTCTCCTGCTTCCTAGCCCTGCAACCTTGGGCAAGTGTCTTAATCTCTCTGCTTTGGTTTCCTTATCTGTAAAATGGTAGGTTGGAAAATAACTCAGGGTTGGGACTAACATTAAAAAAAAGAGAGAGAGATAGGGTCAGACATGCCTATAATCCCAGCACTTTGGGAGGCTGAGGTGGGAGGATCACCTTAGGTTGGGAGTTTGAGCCCAGCCTGAGCAACGTAACCAGTCCCTGTTTCTACATTTTAAAATCTCAAAGTTTTTCAAATGAAATAGAAGAGAACTTGAGAGTGAATGACATGGAACTGCACACAATGCGTCACACATGTAAATAGAGTTTTGTGTATGTATGTGTATACTAAACACAGTATAAAAATGTATTTGTTATAATTTAGGCAAATCGGTTTGCCAAGCACTGTATGTGCCATTGTAAGCAAGGAAGTTGAACTCTCCTGAGGTTATTTAGTAATAGGTATTTCTAGCTTCAGCATGTCTCAAACAGTCACTTACATAGTGCTTGCTGTGAGCCACGCGCTATTTTAAAAGCTTTCCATATAACATCATATACTCACAACCATCCTTTGAAGTGGGCTTGATTCCCATTTTATATATGGAGAAGTTGAGACAGGGACTATCCCACTTGCCCATGATCACAAAGCTAGAAAGGAAGGGCCAAGATTTGAACCTAGGCAGTGCAAGTGTAGAGTCTTTGCTGTAAACCACTATTCCTGGGGAGACAGGTAAAATAAATTGTATGTGCAAATGCAAATTGATAAGTAATTGATACAATACTCCACCCCTTTATTCCAGATATGAGAAATGAGTGTTGGACGTCGAAGAATAAAGTTGTTGGGTATCCTGATGATGGCAAATGTCTTCATTTATTTTATTATGGAAGTCTCCAAAAGCAGTAGCCAAGAAAAAAATGGAAAAGGGGAAGTAATAATACCCAAAGAGAAGTTCTGGAAGATATCTACCCCTCCCGAGGCATACTGGAACCGAGAGCAAGAGAAGCTGAACCGGCAGTACAACCCCATCCTGAGCATGCTGACCAACCAGACGGGGGAGGCGGGCAGGCTCTCCAATATAAGCCATCTGAACTACTGCGAACCTGACCTGAGGGTCACGTCGGTGGTTACGGGTTTTAACAACTTGCCGGACAGATTTAAAGACTTTCTGCTGTATTTGAGATGCCGCAATTATTCACTGCTTATAGATCAGCCGGATAAGTGTGCAAAGAAACCTTTCTTGTTGCTGGCGATTAAGTCCCTCACTCCACATTTTGCCAGAAGGCAAGCAATCCGGGAATCCTGGGGCCAAGAAAGCAACGCAGGGAACCAAACGGTGGTGCGAGTCTTCCTGCTGGGCCAGACACCCCCAGAGGACAACCACCCCGACCTTTCAGATATGCTGAAATTTGAGAGTGAGAAGCACCAAGACATTCTTATGTGGAACTACAGAGACACTTTCTTCAACTTGTCTCTGAAGGAAGTGCTGTTTCTCAGGTGGGTAAGTACTTCCTGCCCAGACACTGAGTTTGTTTTCAAGGGCGATGACGATGTTTTTGTGAACACCCATCACATCCTGAATTACTTGAATAGTTTATCCAAGACCAAAGCCAAAGATCTCTTCATAGGTGATGTGATCCACAATGCTGGACCTCATCGGGATAAGAAGCTGAAGTACTACATCCCAGAAGTTGTTTACTCTGGCCTCTACCCACCCTATGCAGGGGGAGGGGGGTTCCTCTACTCCGGCCACCTGGCCCTGAGGCTGTACCATATCACTGACCAGGTCCATCTCTACCCCATTGATGACGTTTATACTGGAATGTGCCTTCAGAAACTCGGCCTCGTTCCAGAGAAACACAAAGGCTTCAGGACATTTGATATCGAGGAGAAAAACAAAAATAACATCTGCTCCTATGTAGATCTGATGTTAGTACATAGTAGAAAACCTCAAGAGATGATTGATATTTGGTCTCAGTTGCAGAGTGCTCATTTAAAATGCTAAAATAGATACAAACTCAATTTTGCATAGAAAGGTGTATTTTGAATAGTTCCCATGTTGTGTTCTCACATTAGAGTAATTTCTATATTAAACCATGAAAATTGCCTTTATGAGTGATACCCATTTGAGGGCCTCTAAACCCTTCAATTTGGTACTCACGTGAAGAGGGAAAGCGGAAGATGGTAATTTTTTTTTATGGATGATATGGCAGGATGATTGGTTCTGATCTTACCGGCTAGTGGTCATTTTTAAAAAACTTGTACCCTCTTATCTGAAATCCTGTTTCTGGAATTTGGCCATTTTAAGTGATTTTGTTTGCCCTCTTCTATAATATTCCTACTTCCCATAATAATGACTGATTTATTTGTAATTCAGGTATTTATAAACCTATTGGCTACAAAGACTTTGTTAAACATTATCCAGTGGTTTTCGTGAAATGGAATTATGTTTATTTTTATGGGATTTGGGTAAATTTTAAATTGTCTAGAAAACTGAAATTTCAGTTGTCAGTTGTGGAATTCAGTTTTTCAATTGTGGAAATTTCCTGCCACCCCAACAGTATTTTTGTGTGTTAATTAATTTTGCAAAATGAGAATCATGGTGTGACACTCATCTAATTTATCTTGTTGTGATGTTATGGTCATAATAAGGAGAAAGAGGGTTTAATTTTTCTTGTATTTGGTTTCCTGGTGGTATCATAGTGTAATTTTAGTATTTGAAAATCAGTGTGATTCCTTAATGGCCAACTGAAGATTGAATTGCCGCTAACAACCATATCGTGTTAGTGAATTTTCAATATGGACCAGGAAGGCATATGTATTTTGAACTTGAGTGAAAAGGTTGAAGTTACAGACTTTTGCATAGATGGTTTGTCAATTTAAAATTCCAGAATTTATTATTGCCATATTTTCACATGCTGCTTATACAAGATTATTATTGAGTAGTAACTGCTTCCCTGTCTATGTAGAAGTGCCTGTGTTTTTATTTATTGTTCAGATCAAAGACCAAAACATTTTCTTAAATATATTTTATGTAATATTTTATTTGTATACAGTGTTGTTGATGAAATATTTAACTAGAGCATGATATTTTAAATGTTAAGGTGTAACATATGTTAAATAAAACTGTTATTTTTGAATTTTAAAATTTGTTTTTTGGGGGTATGAACTACTAGAGTTTAAAATTCTGCCAAACTATTACTTATATGTACTATTGTGTAACATACTTTCTTGAAATATTTTTGTTTATAGAATTGAAGGTTCTTATCAGATGGGATACTGGGGACTATAAACAATGGAAATAAAGCCACTGTATTTTTAATTTTTTGTGTAATGTGTAATCTATAATCCTTTTGTTTCCCATATTTGAGAACATTTTTCCCTGAAAGAGGCCAGTTTCCTCCCCAGAAACCATTACAGTAGTGTTGAACTATCACTGTCTCTCAGTGCGTCATCCATCTTTGCATTTAAAATCCCCAAAGTGCTTTCCCATTTAAAGTCTTTAAAGAAAAGTGAGAATATTTATTTATGCTTCCATTTTCAGTGAGTATAAATAATTTAATTAGGGAGTGGTGTGGCATTGTAAAGATTGTGTTATCCTAAGCCATTTCTATTTTGGAGTTTGTAGCCACAAAGATGAAATATAGAATCAGCCTTGACTACTCAATTTCCTTTCATAGACCCATGTTGAGAAGACACTACTAACGTCCAGTGGGAAACAAGTAGACAATTGATGAAGCTCAAAAAACAGAAGGGTTAGTGTTGTAAGAGCAAACAGTCTAATCCTGTTTGGAATGTGGAAGCCATTTCTGAGCAAGTATGAGGACACAGGTGCTTGATTTGAGATTGAAGACTGTTTTCAGCCTGGTCTTCCTGAAGGTTTCCTGGGGCCTGCATCTGCCTTCTACTCCCATGGCTGCTAGCACACACCTCCCAGAGGGCCATATTGCCACATTATGGCTAGAGAAGAGTAAAGAAGAAAAGAAGCTCTGAGAACATTCACAGGTAATTGGATCACATTTGCATTTGTCCAAAAAACCTGACCACGCATTCTCAGGTAATAGGTTTCTCCTCTCAGAGGAATTTCAATTTTTTTTCTTGTTAGAGATTCCCCTTCTCTGAGGTTTCAAGTCTCTTGTAGAGAAAGAAGAGATGGAGCAGGTTTTGAATGAGGTGTGGAGGGCCACTGGGGGGCCTTTTGTGAGCCTTCAGTCCACATGTGTGCTGTTGTTTGAACATGAGTTCTTGGTGCTGATGACATTTGGATGAGATGATCTCTGGCCCTTCTTCATTTGGCAGAAGTTCTTGTGCAATGGCTGCCCAAGCCCACCACACTGGTCATTGCTGCCCTGTGAGATGGACCTCATGGGCTTTTTAGCAGAGCACGTTAGGTTTTAGAGCTTTACGCATGCTTGGGCTCTGTTATGGCGCAAACCCTTAAATCCAGGAAGGCCTCTCTTGGTGCCCACAATATGGGTTCTCACCTGATCCCCCATCTCACGGATGGAACTGCTGTAAGTCTAACTTATTCTTTGAGAACTGTTTAACAATTAGGCCTCAAGGGAAACTGGTATTTTGGGCCCTTTTCTTGGCTATTCCCAAGTCATGTTGATTTTGAGTTTGAAGGTCAAAAAGGCTGAAAGCATTGCCAGGGTTTGGACTATTCAAAAACCCAAGCAGGTCTTAAAAAAAGGATGCAAGAGACAAGAATGGCTCATTCCCCTTCCTGATCCTGGTTATACCCATGTCCTTTCTTGAGATGGTCAAGAGAGGCTGGAAAGAAGAACAGGAAATTGGGGGAGTGCTTTGTTACACTTGGAAATTGAGTCAAGAATTAAAGACACCCAAAGTGGGCCATCTCCTACTTGTCCACACCTGATTGGTGGTGATGCGGAATATTTGATGTCCCGGGTCATCTTGACTTTCTCAGATGCAAAAAGGGAGGGTGACTTTACTAATGGAAAGGATGGGAAGCTGAAATGAATGAAGCCTTCAGTTGGGCCAAAGTTTAACTTCCCCGTGATTTGCCTTCTGATGAAAAATGCCAGATGAAGTGAAAATTCTTGTTTCTTGCCTAGAACAGGAAAATACATACTTTACATGCTGGGCTATTGAGGCTATGAAATTAGGTTTTCCTTAATGTAAATCCAATTGCTAGAAACATTTGCCAAATAAGATTTTTTGAACTGAACTTTGTTTGCATTAATCTGAAAAACTGAAGTATTCTGACTCATGAAGTTCTCAAAGTAATACACTAAAAAAGTTTTGCCCTTAATA
Source organism: Homo sapiens (assembly GCF_000001405.40). NCBI lineage: Eukaryota > Metazoa > Chordata > Mammalia > Primates > Hominidae > Homo > Homo sapiens. The sequence continues at coordinate 62,226,687 of NC_000002.12, forward strand.
CCATTATATCTTGTAGAGGCCAAGAATGAGGGACTTCTGTCTTTAAAGAGCCCTAAAAATCTCGTTTGCTCACATGATATGAATTACCGTATTTGTTGTAAATGCGCAACTTTGTATACACTAAAAGCACTGCCAATATGATTTTTTATCAGTTGTGCCTCAGTTAGAGATATTAAAATGTGACATCTTAAATATTACATATTAGAATAATTGAAATACAGCATGAGTCTTTATATATTTTTTTAAACCCTTAAATTGAAAGATGGAGTCCTAGGCCGGGTGCGGTGGCTTACGCCTGTAATCCCAGCACTTTGGGAGGCCGAGGCAGGCGGATCATGAGGTCAGGAGTTCGAGACCAGCCTGGCCAACATGGTGAAACTGCATCTCTACTAAAATTACAAAAAATTAGCCGGGCGTGGTGGCGGCACCTGTAATTCCAGCTACTCGGGAGGCTGAGGCAGGAGAATGGTTTGAACCCAGGAGGCGGAGGTTGCAGTGAGCTGAGATCACACCACTGCACTCCAGCCTGGGCGACAGAGCGAGACTCCATCTCAAAAAAGAAAAAAAAAAGAGTCCTGTTCAGGTGCATTTCCTGCTTCTGTCACTTTGACCTGTGTTTATGAATTCTCATCCCAACCAACCCTGGTGGCTTTTGAGCTTTGTCAGTTGCTTTCTTCTTGGCTGTTGTGCATGGTGAAAGGGGATGTGTTAACTGCACTGAAGCAGCGAGAGTAGTTTTAATTTGATTGTAATCCAAGGGCTTATTTCTAAGTCAGGGGCCTGGCAGTTGAACAAAGTGTTTGCAGCTTCCTGACAGCTGACCCACACGGGATTGGAGGGTGGGCCTTTGATGCTCCTCAAGCAATAAGCCACATGGAGAACTTGCATCGTAAGTGTTAGCAAGGGCTCACCTCACTGCCTTGGAAACCTACCATCCTGTGACTCGCCCTTTCCCAGCCTGTCTTCAACTCACATCCTCTCTTCCTGCTCATCACCCCAGGCCTTCCTGAAGTTGGCTTTCCTAGCTATTCTACTGGGCACCAACTTCCACCACCTCTTTAAAAAGTATCTCAAGTACAAAATAAACATTATCCTATCCTTGGTTTGGGTTTTTCCAGAAAACAGACTTTAAGACAGGGATTCTAGCTCAGGTAGGCTTTGGTGGAAGTGCAGGCACAAAGTTCAGCAGGAAGTGGCCCTTGGAAGGCAGCAGATGAGGAGTGTGAAGCCACTGCCACTGTGGGATTGGAGCTCAACCCCACAGGGAATCTGGAAAACAGTGCAGAATGCATGCCTCAGAACGCACCTGTCTGAGGCTTGAAGGAGCTGAACTTTTTTTTTTTTTTTTGAGATGGAGTCTAGCTCTGTTGCCCAGGATGAAGTGGGCGCAATTAGTGGCGTGATCTTGGCTCACTGCAACCTCCATCTCCCAGGATGAAGCAATTCCCCGCCTCAGCCTCCCGAATAGCTGGGATTACAGGCGCCCATCACTGTGCCCAGCTAGTTTTTGTATTTTCAATAGAGACAGGGTTTTGCCATGTTGGCCAGGCTGGTCTTGAACTCCTGACCTCAGGTGATCCACCCACCTCGGCCTCAGCAAAGTGCTGGGATTACAGGCGTGAGTCACCGCGCCCGGCCTGAACTACTTTTTATTTCTATTTTTTAAGACGGAGTCTCTCTCTGTTGCCCAGGCTAGAGTGTAATGGTGCAATCCCAGCTCACTGCAACCTCTGCCTCCTGGGTTTAAGCAATTCTCCTGGCTCAGCCTCCCAAGTAGCTGAGATTACAGGCATGTGCCACCCGTCCAGCTAATTTTTGTATTTTTAGTAGAGATGGAGTTTCACCATGTTGGTCAGGCTGGTCTTGAACTCCTGCCCTCTAGTCATCTGCCCGCCTTGGCCTCCCAAAGTGCTAGGATTACAGGCAAGAGCCACCATGTCTGGCCTTAGTAGATTGTAGAATTCTGCCGGAACCATCACTCCACTACAAAGCCAATTTGGTTTTAAGTCATGATGATTCTACCCGCCCTCTAGAAATTTTTTATTTTGGCCCTCTTTTTTTCTTTAAAAAATTTCTGAAACAGTTTGTTCTCTGATTGCTCCTCTTTCCATAGGAGCCTGTTCTTCATGGATGTAAGGACTGTGTATAAGAAAATGAATTAGAGTTTTTTTTTTTTTTTTTTACAATTCTTATCTCAGGGATTAGGTGAGTTGTTCACCCTAATTCTTATGGAGAAGAACAAATACTAAGTGATGCTTGGTCCTTTAATGCAGGACTGAACTGATTTGTAGAAGTTCCTAGGAGGTGTTTCTTTTTCTGGGCTGTTTACCCACAAGGCCACTTCCTACACTGGAAGGCTGGGTGAGGGTCACTGTATGGACGTATGTCCTGGCTTCCTTTCAGGGACTGAGCAGGTTGGGGGCAGGTAGACTTGACCCCAGATCTTGGAGCTGCCTTTCTTCCCTTTGCTCTGGGTCTGTTTCGCGGTATTCTACTCAGCTGCTTCAACCTGAACCCTCTACCTCCCCTTCAGTTTAGGGAGCATTCCTTAGCAGGTAAGCATCTGAGCTCACGTGCACTTAACCTGTGTGTTTGCGTGTGCGCATGTGCGTGTGCATTTGAGTCTTGAAGAGTTGGTGAAGCCAGCCCCCCAGTTAGTCACCCCTTCTGCCTCCTCCAAGCTGGGAGCCTTTCCAGAGAAGTCTTCCTGTAACCCACATCCCGTGCAGCCTTCTCCCCATCGTGTGCTGGGCTGTGGTTTCCTCTTCCAGTTTGTCCATTAATACAGTGCCGGATGTTTCCCGTCTTTCACAAAATGAATTATTTCTCTTGGTGGTATTGTCTTCACTGCCAGTGCGGCCTTGGGCTTCTTCATTATATCTTTTGTTATTTAGATAGGGAAGGAGGCAAACACTTCTGACCATCCACTATTCTGACCTGGGAGCCCCCAGCATTTTAAGTGTATTAATTTAATTTTTTGAGATGGTCTCACTCTGTTGCCCAGGCTGGTGTGCAGTGGTGTGATCTAGGCTTACTGCAATGTCTGCCTCCTGGGTTCAAGTGATCCTCGTGCCTCAGCCTCCCAAGTAGCTGGGACCACAGGTGTGTGCCACCACACCTGGCTAATTTTTTTTTTTTTTTTTTTTGTATTTTTAGTAGAGATGGGGTTTTGCTATGTTGGCCAGGCTGGTCTCGAACTCCTGGCCTCCAGTGATTCACTTGCCTTGGCTTTCCAAAGTGCTGGGATTACAGATGTGAGCCACTGTGCCCGGCCTATTTATAATTTTTTTTTTTTTTTTTTTTTTTTTTTTTTTTTTGAGACGGAGTGTCGCTCTGTCGCCCAGGTCGGACTGCGGACTGCAGTGGCGCAATCTCGGCTCACTGCAAGCTCCGCTTCCCGGGTTCACGCCATTCTCCTGCCTCAGCCTCCCGAGTGGCTGGGACTACAGGCGCCCGCCACCGCGCCCGGCTAATTTTTTGTATTTTTAGTAGAGACGGGGTTTCACCTTGTTAGCCAGGATGGTCTCGATCTCCTGACCTCATGATCCACCCGCCTCGGCCTCCCAAAGTGCTGGGATTACAGGCGTGAGCCACCGCGCCCGGCCTATAATTTTTAAAGACAGGGTCTCTGTCCCCCAGGCTGGAGTGCAGTGATGCAATCATAGCTCACTGCAGCCTCAACCTCCTGAGCTCAAGTGACCCTCCCGTCTCAGTCTCCTGAGTAGCTGGGACTCCAGGTGTGCGCCCCCATGCTTGGCTCCCCAGCATTTTTTCTTGTCTTTCCTGACCTGAGGCCTTCACCACATTGACCTCCACACCTGGAAATTCTCCTTCCTGCCGTGGTTACGGCATCTGTTGCCCGGGTTCTTGAATCTCTGCCTGAAAGCTTTCTTTGGCTGCTAAGTGCTGGGCCTGATCCTCCCACACTGCACCCACAGCCTCTTCCTGGGTCTCTTCCTTGGCCTCCCTGCGCAGTCCTCAGAGTTATCTCTGTGGGCGCCCTCCCCGAAATATTTCCACCTCTCGTTCCTTTCTGAGTCAAGCCCACTCTTGAGTCCACCTCCGTGAAGGGGCTGTTGGCCCTTCATACCAGGAGAACCCTTCTAGGTTTACTCCTAGCCCACCCATTCCCAGCGTCAGCGCCCTCGCCCTTCTCTTTCACTGGAGTCCAATCAACCCTCCATTTCAAACAGTTCTGTCTCTCCAGCCCTCAGTCTCTCCCTGAATGTGCAAGTCAGCCTGTCCTTGAAGCCAGCACGACTCTCGGGGTCCCCTTTGCCCATCTGTGTACACTTCTCAGCTTCAAACCCAGCAAGTCTCCTGCCCCATCCCCTTCCTGGGGAAATGGGTCTCTTTCGGAGGCCCCAGGCCTGAGGGAGGTCCATTTTGTAGAAATGGAAGGGGTTCCATTTTATGGTTTCTAAGGTGTATTTTCCACAAATTTAAAAGGATTGTCAGCTGGATTTGGTGGCTTATGCCTGTGATCCCGGCACTTCGGGAGGCTGAGGCAGGAGGATTGCTTTAAGGCCAGGAGTTTGAGGCCAGTCTTGGTGACTTAGTGACAACGTGCCTCTATTGCAAAAAAAAAAAAGTAAAAGGACTGTCCCTTGGCTCCTGATCCTTTTAAGTGCTCTTAGCTCTGGGGCAGGCCCTCAGTTCCCTTCCAGGTTGCTCTGGGTTGCCCAGGAATGTGACGGAGGTGAGAATGCCCCTCATATCAAGGCAAGAACGTGAATATCTAAGGTCGGCACCTCCATCGTCATTAGGATCAGAGTGCATTCTACTTTGCTTGTCCTAGTGGATATCTGCCCTGTGCTCAGAGTCAGCTCCCCCACATTCCCCCACTCAAATGTAGGAGCTTCCCCTCCTCTGACTGCCTTTGGGTGAGGCCCCTGCCCCTTGTCTACCGGAACTGGGTGGAAAGGACCTGAGACAGAGCTGTCTCCCTCTGCCTTATCCTCCTCCTCTGCCCCTTCTGTAGAGCTCAGTAGTGGGAAAGTGGCCTTGGGAAGGGGCCTCTGGGGCTCGTCCACAGACACCTGACCATGCCCAGGCGGCATCCCTTCAGCTGTCAGAATTCCTGGGGTGGGTGGGTAGGAAGCAGCCAGGCCCTTCCAGCCTCAGTCTGGCTCTATCCAAGACCTCCCTGGACACTAGAGAAAGCCCCAGCTCTCACCTCCTTTTGACTCACGACCCTCTGGGGCTCTTCCTCCTCTCATTCAAGGGTTCAAGGCAACTGGGGTTTGCCTTTTCTACTTTTCCTACTCTTTCTACCTTTTCTACTTTTCCAATCTCACTGCAAAATGTGGCATAGTAATGAGCTGTTAACTCATCACTGGATAATTTATTTATAGTCTGGCGTGGAGAGAGGGGAGTGAAAATGTAGACTTTTGTTGACACAACATGAAGACTGCAGTGGGAAAGGCTTGCAGGAAACCGAACTGGGCGGAGATTCGGCAATCAGGCAACAGGTGCCAAGGCGCTGCGCAGGGACCTGGCCGGGTCCTGCCTTGTCGTTTCAGCTATTGGAACCTTTGAGGACAGACCTACCTGCTTCCGAGCTGCAGTCAACCAGGAGGCCAGAGCTGTGGCTACCTTGGCAGCAGCTGTGAAGCTGCTGTTTTTCTGGCTGGGGAGGTGGGAGAACCCAGGGAAAACCTCAGAAAAATAAAGAAAATCTGAATATGGACAAGCTCAGATGTCTTAAATAGCAACAATATCACATTAATCTTTCCTCTTGTGGGATATGAGAAATGAGTGGTAGACACTGAAGATAAAGTTGTTGGGCTTAAAGTTGGTGGGAAATGCCTTTATTTATTTAATTGCAAAAGTCTCTAAAAGTGAGTCGCCACGGAAGGAATGAAGAAGGAGGGGTTGTGATGGACTGTCAAGAAAGCTGGGGAACTTTCCCACTCACTGTCTTGAAGAACAAGACAAAGAGAAGATGCAAAACCACCCCACTGAGGCTGGTGCTGGAGGCCTGGGGAGAGCATTTCATTGTTGGGGGTGGCCTGTCTCACTGGTCCCTCCTCCAGAAGTTGGAGAGATGCTACCTAGCTGAGTGTTGAGCACTTGTCCCTGCAACTGAGTACCTGCTCGACAAATAGGGGCTGCCATGGCAATAAAAAACCCAGCTGTGGCAGATGTTTATTATTGCAGACAATTAGAAATATTCTCTGCATTATCCCAGGTCTTGGCATAGTTCATTGTTGGTAGACCAACCCAATAAATTACTTTTCTGAGATAACATTGATGTGTTGGGTGAACCTTTCACTTAGAAAGCTATTTTATTTTATTTTAATTTTTGAAACAGAGTCTTACTCTGCCATCCCAGCTGGGGGAGTACAGTGGCACGATCTCGGCTCACTGCAACCTCTGCCTACCAGGTTCAAGCGATTCTGCTGCCTCAGCTTCCCAAGTAGCTGGGATTACAGGCGCCCGCCACCACGCCCAGCTAATTTTTTGTATTGTTAGTAGAGACAGGGTTTCTCCATATTGGCCAGGCTGGTCTTGAACTCCTGACCTCAAGTGATCTGCCTGCCTCGGCCTCCCAAAGTGTTGGGATTACAGGCGTGAGCCACCGTGCCCAGCCTCACTTAGAAAGCTTTAAATTGAAAAGTAAACATTTTCAGTTTTGAATTAATTTTGACTTACTGAGAAGTTATAAAAATAGTATGCAGAAGCCAGCCGCGGTGGCTCACGCCTATAATCCCAGCACTTTGGGAGGCTGAGGTGGGCGAATCATGAGTTCAGGGGTTGAAGACCATCCTGGCCAACATGGTGAAACCCTGTGTCTACTAAAAATACAAATATTAGCCGGGCATGGTGGCGGGTGCCTGTAATCCCAGCTACCCGGGAGGCTGAGGCAGGAGAATCGCTCGAACCTGGGAGGTGGAGGTTGCAGTGAGCTGAGATCGTGCCATTGCACTCCAGCCTGGGGGACAAGAGCGAGACGAAGTCTCAAAAAAAAAAAATAGTATGCAGAGAACCCATATGCCTCTACCCACGTATTCCCAATGTTAACATCTTACATAATCGTATCATAATTATCAAAATCAACATTGGACCAACTAAGAACAGCAATGAAATTAACATTGCTATTATTCTATTAACTGCACTGCAAACCTGACTTGAATTTTACCAATGTTTTTCACTAATGTCCATTTTCTTTTTTGTTCTTTTTTTAATTTGACACAGGGCCTCACTCTGTCACCCAGGGTGAGTGCAGTGGTGTGATCATGGCTCACTGCACCCTTGACTTCCTGGGCTTGTGTGATCCTACAGGTGTATACCACCACGCCCAGCAAAGATGTCCACTTTCTGTTCCCAGATGCTATTTAAGGCCCCACATGGCATTTGGTTATTTTTCCTTGGTTTTCTCCCATCTGTTTCTCAATCTTTCCTTGTCTTTCATGACTTTAACACTTCTGATGAGTACTGGTTATTTGTAGAATGTCCTTCCATTTGGGCTTGTATGGTGTTTTGCGTGATTAGAATGAGGTTATATATTTTTGGCAAGAATACCACAGACGTGATGTTTTGTCCATCTCGAGGCCTCACATTGGGAGCTCTTGATGTCACTGTGTCCTATTCCTGGTTATATTAACCTTGTGCACTGGGTTCCTCCACAGTAAGGTATTGTCTTTCTCTTTGTAGTTAAAAAGTATCTTGGGGGATATTAATATATGTAAAATGTGCAAATAATTCAGTGAGTCAATGCATGTAAGGTGCTTGGAGCCTGGCATGTAGTAAGTGCTCGATGAATGAGTAGCTGCTGCTTTTGTTGTCATTATTAGTGCTGCTTCTGTGCCAGTTCTCTTCCAGCCTCCCTCCTCTGCTGTTCAGTCCTTTGACTCTCTGTTCATTGTCCTCTGCCTCTTGGGCTGATCCTCCTCCGGCTGGTTGCTTCCTTACATGAGGATTGACTGTCTTGCTCAAAATGTCTGTGTCCTTAAGCAGGGCCAAGAAGAGCTCCGTTCTTCTCATCAGCGTATGGGGTTGGGTGGAGGAGGAGCCTACTATTACTCAAAGGTAAGAGACAAAGCTGTGCTAACAGAACAGATGCCTCTGTCTTTGCAAGTTGTGCCTACTTCTGAGGTGACCTTGGGGGGACCCCACCTGGTCCACATCCCTGGACCAGAACGCGTCCTGGAGGGACAGGTCAGAGGAGCAGCCCACCTGGCTGAGGCCTGGAGGCAGGAATGAGCCAGAGGTGAAACTCCTCCTGGGGGAGGTGGTGGAGTTTTCTCCAAGGAGCGGCTGGGTTGCTGCGCTGAGCAACCTCCAGGGGCAGGAGAGCCAGGGCGGGGGTGGAGGGAGCATCAGGCCTGCTGGGGGAGGCCTCCCCTGCCCGCGACGGGCAAGGCAGTGCCAGTTAAAGCAAGCTTAGTTCCCTCTGTAGATGAGAGCAGGGGTTCCCTCCTTCCTCAGTCGGGGTTAGGAGATGCCAGCATGCTCCAGTTGCTTTCTGGGGCTCCCATACCCTGGTCTAGCACACAGAACTCTATCTGCAGAATGGCTGTTCTTGGCAGCAATCTCAGCCTTCCAGACTCCGCTCCAACTTTGGAGCATTTGAGCTCTATTTTTATGCAGAGAGGAGAAGTTTCCCATGTTTGAAAATAGCTGCCATGCAGAGGACTGTGGTAGCTCCTGTTGTTGGTTGTCCTTCTGTCCTCCTTTTTCTGGAGATGGACTGTGCCCCGGGGCTGTGGGGTGATAAACGGGCCTATTGGAACCCTCCTGGGGACTGGGAGAGGGAAGCTCTTCTTCCACTGGTGTTGCTAAATGGGCATGGTGGAGTTGCCTGGCCCTCTCCCTAACAAGTCAGAATGAGGGCAACACTTGTGGAAGGAAGAGGGGCTGGGAGTGGTGCCAGCGTCCGTGAGCCCCTTGCACCTGCCTCCATCCTGGCCTTCCCAGCCACGTGAGCCTTTTTCTTTTTTGCTTAAGCTGACTGGAGTCGGTCCTGACTGATACCATGAAGGCCTGCTTCCTTCCCTGAGTTCTAAGGTGAGCCCAGCTGCAGGTGCCTCCAGATTCCCACCCTGAAACACCCAATTTTAAGACTGTGATAGTTGCTTCCAGTAGGCAGCTGGGGAAGAAACTTGATGTACCTGCGTTAGGCCAAAAATCTAAGTGGAAAGACTTAGGAAGCAGGGAACACCTTTCTTCAGCTGTTCAATGTTCAGTGTTCAGTGTCGGTCCGAAGACCCCTGGGTGAGAGATAACAGTTTCTCTTTCAGCGTCAAGTTTATACATTTAGTTTATAGATGTTTGCTTTGGTGACAAGTGAAGAGCTGAAAAAAGAAGGAGTGTGCATGCAAACCCAGTTCCTTGGGAGAGGAAGATGCTGGTGGGCTGGGAAGAGATTTCAAGGGGGAGAGAGGTGCTTGGCTGCCTGTATAGTCATTGTGGGGTGTGGGCCAGATGTGTCAGGTCTTATGGCCTAGGAGGGAGAGCTGGGTTTAGACCCTCACTCTTCCATAGCACAGTAACAAACAGCCTGGCCCGCCCAGAGGGGAAGGTGGATGCTCATTAGAAATTTCTGTGCTCCAAGCTGCCCTGGGTTCTCCTGGGCCAGAGCAAGCTGGGGTCTGGTCTTGCCCCTCTGCTGAGGCTGGAACAGCTGACCGACAGCCCCCTGCTGTCACATTCCTGGAAATATGCAGGGACCCCTGTGCCCCACCTGGGGGAGAATTGGGGTCTGGCTATGTGGCAAGCACTCGGGAAGCAGGGAGGGAAGCGTAGTATGCCTGTGTGCTGTGGCCCACTCATCCCAGTCCCGGCCCCTTCCTCATGTAACAGATGAGCAAAATGAAGCCAACCCAAGTTTAAACAACTAGCAAGTATTTTATACTTGGGGCCAGGATTTATACCTGCAGTCTCTGATTCCATTGCCCGTGGACTTTACCCCGCTATGGGACCGTCTCCCTGAGCCTTCCAAAGGAGGACATGTGCCACCAAAGGGCTACCAGCACTGCAAAGTCTGTCAGCTCCCTACCCATGAACTTGTATTTGCCTTTTGCCCTTTGACCCCACTGTCCAGAGATTTTTGTCTCCATCAACTGCCTCACTCAGGCGTCGTCAGCCCAGAGTCTGACCCGAGTCCCACTTTTGCCTCACTGTGCAAAGCTTGGGTTCCTACTCACAGACCTACAGTGTTTGTCAGTAAAGAGGTGGGCCACCCCAGAGTAGACATGTGTTATTAGATTAGATGAGAAAACTAAGCCTCAGAGGATGTGATTTTTTTTTTTTTTTTTTAGACGGAGTCTCGCTCTGTCGCCCAGGCTGGAGTGCAGTGGCACTATCTCTGCTCACTGCAAGCTATGCCTCCTGGGTTCATGCCATTCTCCTGCCTCAGCCTCCCAAGTAGCTGGGATTACAGGTGCACGCCACCACACCCAGCTAATTTTTGTATTTTTAGTAGAGATGAGGTTTTGCCATGTTGGCCAGGGTGGTCTTGAATTCCGGACCTCACGTGATCCGCCTGCCTCAGCCCCTCAGCCTCCCAAAGTGCTGGGATTACAGGCTGAGCCACCATACCTGGCTGAATTTTTATGTTTAAAAAGACAGCCTCGCTCTGTTGCCCAGGCTGCAGTGCAGTGGCACTATCATGGCTCACTGCAGCCTCAAATCCTGGACTCAAGCAAGAGCCAGCTTGTGTGTATATGCATGTGTGTGTATATATATATGTGTGTATATATATACATATATATATACATATATACATATATATACATATATATATACGTATATATATATGTATATATATACGTGTATATATATATGGTTTTTTTTTTTTTTTTGGTAGAAACTGGGTCTATGTTGCCCAGGCCTGTCTCAAACTCCTGGCCTCAAGCAATCCTCCCCTCTCAGCCTCCCAAAGTGCTGGGGTTACAAGGATGAGCCACTGTGCCAGGAAGAGGATTTAACCTTTTAATTTCAAATAGGCAGTAAAAGGTAAGGCAGGTTGGGGTTGCCTAGGTTTTGAAGTTGCTGTAGGGAAATGGGGAGTGACTACTATGGGATGTAGGGTTTCTTTTCGGTATGATGAAAATATTCTAAAATTCACTGTGGCAATGGTCGAACAACCCTGTGGATATACCAAACCCCATTGAATGATACACTTAAAATAGGTGAATTATGTGGATGTAAACTATATCTCAATAAAGTTGTATTAAAAAATAAAATTCCAGCCAGGTGCAGTGGCTCACACCTGTAATCCCAGCACTTTGGGAGGCTGAGGTGGGTGGATCATCTGAGGTCAGGAGTTCGAGACCAGCCTGGCCAACATGGTGAAACCCTGTCTATACTAAACATACAAAAATTAGCCAGGCGTGGTGGTGGGTGCCTGTAATCCCAGCTACTCGGGAGTCTGAGGCAGGAGAATCACTTGAACCCGGGAGGTGGAGGTTGCAGTGAGCTGAGATCGCACCACTGCACTCCAGCCTGGGCGACAGAGTGAGACTCCGTCTCAAAAAAAAAAAAAATTTCACTGAATCTAAAAAAAAAAGTTCAGGCAGGGCCTCAATTCCAAATCTTGTAATAACCAGAACAAATCGATCAATTCAGACTGCCCCTCCAATACCAGTAACAGACAGGACCTTCATGTGATGCGCTAATAGGCTTACTGCCCACCAGAAGTCTCCTTTTAATGTCCTCCTCTCCCCCACCCCCGCCCAGGGTTGGGGCGGACCGTCCCTGAGGTGTCCTTCACAGTTCTGATGACGAATAAAAGCCTAGGGACTCTGCGGAGACTGAAATTTTATCACTGATTCATGATGCCATGAGCCCCCTCCTGCTTGTGAGCTGGTTGCTTGGAATCCGGGGTGCAGTCTGGGGTGAAGGGCTGTAATTTACTGGGCATAGTCACTCCCCTTCCTCGCTTGTCATACCATTGGATTAGGTGCTCACACAGGGTAGAGACCTGTCTACTCATTCCGGAGTCCCAGTGCCTCCTGTCCTGCTACTGCACTCAAAGGGTGTATTACTTTGTTTGTACATTGTCTCCCACTCACTAAAATAAAAGTTCTGCAAGGCAGGGGCGTTGTCTCTCACGTCCACCTCTGTGCCTTGCCCAGTTGTAAGCTGGGCACAGTGGCTTTTGCCTGTAGTCCCAGCTACTCGGGAGGCTGAATGAGGTGGAAAAATGGCTTTTTTTTTTTTTTTTTGAGATGGAGTCTCGCTTGTTGCCCAGGCTGGAGTGCAGTGGCGCGATCTCTGCTCACTGCAAGCTCCGCCTCTGGGGTTCAAGTGATTCTTGTGCCTCAGCCTCCCAAGTAGCTGGGATTACAGATGTGCACCACCACTCTTGGCTAATGTTTTTTGTTTTCTGTTTTTGTTTGTTTTTTTTTTTTTGAGACAGAGTTTCGCTTTTGTTGCCCAGGCTGGAGTGCAATGGTGCAATCTCGGCTCACTGCAACCTCTGCCTCCCGAGTTCAAGCGATTCTCCTGCCTCAGCCTCCCGAGTAGCTGGAAATACAGGCATGCAACACCATGCCCGGCTAATTTTTTGTATTTTTAGTAGAGACTGGGTTTCACCGTGTTAGCCAGCATGGTCTCGATCTCCTGACCTTGTGATCCACCCACCTCGGCCTCCCAAAGTGCTGGATTACAGGCGTAAGCCACCGCACCTGGCTATTTTTTTTTTCTTTTTTGTATTTTAAGTAGAGAAGGATTTTTACCATGTTGGTGAGGCTGGTCTTGAACTCCTGACCTCAGGTGATCCACCTGCCTCGGCCTCCCAAAGTGCTGGGATTAGAGACATAAGCAACCACACCCTGCCTGAAAGATGGCTTGAGACCTGGAGTTTGAGGCTGCAATGAGCTCTGATGGCACTACTGCACTCCAGCCTGCAGCCTGGGCGACTGAGTGAGACCCCATGTCTTAAAAATAAGTAGTTGTAGAATACAGTTGTTGAAGAAGTATGTGAGTGAATAGATAATAGTTTCAGATTCCCACGGTGTTTCTGATAACATTTTGTACTCATCAAATCGACTGACAATATAAACGTAATCTTCGTTCTCTTCCAGTGTTTATGTGACAGTAAGTGATAAGTTCTGCAAGGGTAAGGCTGTTCCCTGTGGCGTTCACTTCCACACCTTGTCCGTAATAAGTGTCCAATAGATAGTTGTTGAATGAATGGATAAATGAACCCAATAACATTTGTTGTAGGAAGAAAAATCACAGTGACAATCAGAAGGTCTCCAGAGAAGGGAGGCAGGAAGAGCAGGGAAGTGTTGTTCCATACAGTTGCTAACTCTTTATTACATCCTTTATGTCTGTCCCATCCTGGCTCCTCGCCTGGGCCCACACTGCCCATGCAGGGATAACCTGGGATAACCAGCCGTGGGTGCTCACTTACCTCGAGGAAGTTGACTCTTGTACAGTCTTCCAACTCCCATTTGCCCCTGCCGTTACATTTCCCCCAAATTTGCAAAACTCCTAACAATATACATGGCATTACCAATAATGCATTGTGAAGCTGAAATAGACTTTTCTAAACTGTCAATGAAAGGCAAATTTTGATCAAACGTGCTAGAGGAAAGACTGAATTATCCCTTCTGTTCTCTCTAGAGAAAATCATATCATAAGATTGTTATATGAAGTCGCAATCAGTGTGCAGACCCTACTCTCTGGTCTGAAAAAATATTATAGAGGTGTGTCAGGCAGTTTATGAAAATATTTTATAGGCCGGCCATGGTGGCTCATGCCTGTAATCTCAGCGCTTTGGGAGGCTGAGGTGGCAGGTCACAATGTTGGGAGTTCAAGACCAGCCTGACCAATGTGATGAAACCCCATCTCTACTAAAAATACAAAAATTAGCCAGGTGTGGTGGTACAGGCCTGTAATCCCAGCCACCGGGAGGCTGAGGCAGGAGAAACACTTGAACCTGGGAGGCGGAGGTTGCAGTGAGCGGAGAGTGCCATTGCACTCCAGCCTGTGCAACAAGAGCGAGACTCCATCTAAATAAATAAATAAGCAACAAAATTGCATAAGCTTTAGGGTCCACACAGCCTGGATCTATTCCAGTCCCCTCTGAGTAACAGTGGGGAAATTCCCTGGTGCAGGAGTCACAGTTCCTTCTTTCTGCTTTTCCACGTCTCATTCCAGCCGTGTCTTACGTCCTTAGGAGAGCTCACTGGGTTTTTGTTTTTTGTTTTTTGTTTTCTGAATTTAATTGACTTTGAGGAGAGAGGCAGAGGGGACACATGACCCAAGGTGTCCTTCGTCAGAAAGGCGGCCAGGTTGGGAGGAAGTAGGGGAGTCCTGTGTGAATTCAGAAGATGTCAGAGCCGGAATTGTGGTGGAAGTCACATTCACAGAGACTTCAGTTAATTGAGAGAAACACCTTTCTCATAGTTGACCTTCTGCTGGCAACGCTGCCTGGGCAGGCAGGTGGATTCCATGGTATCTGAAGTCTCCCCTTTCAGCACCTAGATGCTGAGGGGAGCAGTTAAGGCCTCACAGGAGGGACTGGTACTTGGAGGTTGGACTTGACACGGGGGCAGGGCGGAGCCTGGTCTCACAAACCCTGTGCCTTCGATGTTCTGCTAATATTAACAGGAATATATCATAAGTTCTTAGATGATATGTGAAATTATATAATACCATTTGAAAGTTGACTCTGATAAGTTGGATGTATACTATAAACCCTAAAGCAACCATTAAAGAAACAAAGAATTATAGCTAATAAGCCAATAAAGAAGATAAAATAGAATCATCAAATATGCTCCATTAATCTATAAGTAGGCTGAAAAAGAAGAAAAGAGAAACAGAAAACATGTAGGACCAATAGAAAACAAATTTCAAGATGATAGACTTAATCCTAATTGTATCAGTAATCACATTAAATAAAAATGGTCTAACACTCCCAATTAAAGGCAGATAATATCAGATTGGATATCAAAGCAAGACCCAACCATGCTGACTTCATGAGGTGCGCTTAAATATAAGAACACATAAGGTAGGCCAGGTGCGGTGGCTCATGCCTGTGATCCCAGCTCTTTGGGAGGCCGAGGCGGGCGGCTCACCTGAGGTCAGGAGTTCAAGACCAGCCTGGCCAAATGGTGAAACTCTGTCTCTACAAAAATACAAAAATTAGCCGGGCATGATGGTGGGCGCCTGTAACCTCAGCTACTCAGGAGGCTGTGGCAGAAGAATCGCTTAAATCTGGGAGGGGGAGGTTGCAGTGGGTAAAGATCGTGCCATTGCACTCAAACCTGGGTGACAGAGTGAGACTACGTCTCAAAAAAAAAAGGGTCAGGCGCGGTGGGTCATGCCTGTAATCCCAGCACTTTGGGAGGCCGAGACGGGTGGATCACGAGATCAGGAGATCGAGACCATTCTGGCTAACATGGTGAAACCCCGTCTCCACTACAAATACAAAAAAAAAAAAAATTAGCCAGGCGTGGTGGTGGGCGCTTGCAGTCCCAGCTACTCAGGAGGCTGAGGCAGGAGAATGGCATGAACCTGGGAGGCGGAGCTTGCAGAGGGCAGAGATCATGCCACTGCACTCCAGCCTGGGCGATACAGCGAGACTGTCTCAAAAAAAAAAAAAAAAAAAAAGAACACGTAAGGTAGGTCAGGAGTTCGAGACCAGCCTGGCCAACATGGTGAAACCCCATCTCTACTAAAAATACAAAAAAAAAAAAAAAAAATTAGCTGGGCATGGTCGTGGGTGCCTGTAATCCCAGCTAGTCAGGAGGCTGAGGCAGGAGAAGTGCTTGAACCCACGAGGCGGAGGTTGCAGTTGCAGTGAGCCAAGACCACACCATTGCACTCCAGCCTGGGCAACAAGACTGAAGCTCCATCTCAAAAAAAGAAAGAAAAAAAAGGTAAAAGTAAAAAAGATGGAAAAAGTTAGACATACAAACACTAGTCAAAAGAAAGCTGGAGTGGCTAGATTAATGTTAGACCAAGTTGATTGCACAGGGATAGTGCATTTCATAATGACAAAGGGGTCAATTCACCCAGAAGACATAAAAATCCTAAATGTTTATGCACATAGATCTTCAAAACACATGAAGCAAAAACTGATAGAATGGTAAGGAGAAATAAAGAAACTTCCAATTATGGCTGGAGATTTCAATACCTCTGTTTCAATAATTGGTAGAGCACGAAAATAGAAAAATAATTAAGGATATAGAAGATTTCAACATTATCAACAGACATGGCCTGAAAGAGTCCACCCAAGAACAGAACACACTATTCAAGTGCATGCCCATGGAAGATTTACCAAGGTAGATCATATTCTAGGTTATAAACCAAGTTTCAATAAATTTTACAAGATTAGAATCATGTTAAGTATCTTCTCTGGCCACAATGAAATTAAATTGGAAATCAATAATAGACTTCTGGGAAATCCTCAAATGCTTATAAACTTGATAACACACTTCTAAAGAAGCCATGGGTCAAGAAGAAATCAAAGGGACATTACAAAGTCTTCTTTGGATTGAATGAAAATGAAAACACAACATATCAGAATGTTGGAGGTATCGTTAAAACAGCCGTTAGGGGAGAATTTATAGCACTAAGTGTCCAAATGAGAAAAAAATAGAGGTCTCAAATCAATGTCCTCAGCTTACACATTAAGAAACTAGAAAAAAGAGACCAAATTAAACCAAACTAAGCAAAAGAAAGGAAATAATGAAGATCAAAGCAGAAATCAGTGGAACAGAAAACAGAAAAATAATAGAGAAAATGAATGAAACTGAAAGCTGGTTATTTGAGAAGATCAATAAAATTGATAAACTTACTACCAGATTGTTTAAAAAAAAAGACTCAAATTATCAATCAGGAATGAAAGAGGTGACTTCCTTAGATATTCTGAAAATATTAACAGGAACATAAGGAATATTTTTGTGGTGTTATGATGTATATTGGTTTTCATCCACAGTTTCTGGCACATAACTCCCATAGCCCTTGTTACAGTCTTTTGTTGGGTGTATTAGGCCTCAGGGGCAGGCCTCTGACCTGCCCTCTTCACTTGCTCCAAGGCAGGACTCTAATGTTCCCCTGCCTCTCTCATTGTGGGTCTTAAGACCCTCCTATGTGAACTCCCACCCTGTGCTCTGGGGGAAGGAATCCTTCCATTAAAAAACGAGAGGACAGGGTTCAGGGAGCTTCCAGATAGCTGAACATGTGGAGGTTCCTGCACAGTGGCACCCAGGAAGGGCATGGAAGCTCCGCACCCCTTTCCCCATACCTCACCCTACGCATTTCTTCATCTGTATCCTGTGCCTTATCCTTTATAATAAACTGGTAAACTAAGTAAGTGTTTCCCTGAGTTCTGTGAGCCACTCTAGCAAATTAGTCAAACCCAAAGAGGGGGTCACTGGAACCCTGACTTGAAGCCAGTCAGAAGTTCCAGAGGCCTGGATTTATGACTGGTGTCTCAGAGTGTGGGACCGAACCCCCAACCTGTGGGATCTGACACTAGCTCCAGGTAGATGGTGTCAGAACTAGATTAGAGGACACCCGGCTGGTGTCTGCTGCTTGGTATGTGGAGGAAAGTCCCCACACATTTGGTCACCGAAGGCTTCTGTGTTGATGACTGTCATGGTGTGAGAGCAGAAGAAAGCACGAATAGTTTCCCCTACACAATTGTGAACAACGTTATGCCAATAAGTTTGACAACCCAGACAAAATGCACAAATTCCTTGAAAGACCCAAACTAGCAGAGTTCTCTCGAGAAGTAGGTTACCCGAATAGTTCTATATGTGTTAAAGAAATTGAATGCGTAGTTAAAAATCTTCCCAATAAGACAGATCTAGCGAATTCTACCAAACATTGAAAGAAGAAATAATAGCAATTCCACACAAATTATTCAAGAAAATTGAAGAGAAGGATACATTTTCCAACCCACTTTATGAGACCAGCATTACTTTAATATTAAAGTCAGATAAAAGACATTATAACAAAACTACGGGCCAATACTCATAATGACGAAAAAATTTAAACAAAATTTTAGCAAAGTGAATTCAACAGTATATAAAGGGGGGATTTATTCCAGGATTGCCACGTTGGTTCAATATTCAGAAATGAATCAATCTTCCAGAAATTTTTCCAGATTAAAAAAAAAAAATCAAGCTAGGTGTGGTGGCATGCACCTCTAGTCCTAGCTACTTGGGAGGCTGAGGCGGAAGGAGGGCTTGAGACCAGGAGTTTTCCGGCTGCAGTGCACTGTAACCATGCCTTAGAATAGCCGCTGCGCTCCAACCTGGGCAACACAGCAAGGCCTCATGTCTGAAAAAAATAAAAATAAATGAATCAATATAGTCATTTTAACAAATTAAAACAGAAAACCTAGATGATAACCTCAATCGATACGGAAAACACATTGACAAAAATCCAACATCCACTCCTGATCAAAAACTTTTGGCAAAGAATAATTAGAAGGGAACATCCTCAACCTGATTGGTGAAGGACGTGTATGAAAAACCTGCAGCCAAAATTATACTTAAAGTGATAGACTGATGATTTCCTCCCATGCTTGGGAATAAGACAAGGATGTGAGATCTCACCTCTTCTAGGCAACATTGTATTGAGGTTTCTAGCTAGTGGGGTTAGGCAAGAAAAAGAAACAGAAGATAGCCATGCGATAAAAGAAAAAGTAGGCTGGGTGTGGTAGCTTATTCCTGTAATCCCAGCACTTTGGGAGGCCAAGGCAGGAGGATCAATGGAGCCCAGGAGTTTGAGACCAGCCTAGGCAACATGGTGAGAACTTGTCTTTACAAAAAATTAAAAAGTTAGCCAGGCTGGTGTTGTGCGCCTGTGGTCCAAGCTACTCAGGAGGCTGAGGCAAGAGTATCACTTGAGCCCCGGAGGTTGAGGCTACAGTGAACTGTGTTCACGCTACTGCATTCCAGCCTGGGTGACAGAGCAAGACCTTGTCTCAGAAAAACAATAAAAGAAACAAAAAAGTAAAAGTAAAATTGTCTTTATTTGCAGACAACCTGATCATCTATACAGAAAGCTGACACAATCTATTAAAAGGTACTAGAACTGGGCCAGGCGCAGTGGCTTACGCCTCTAATCCCAGCACTTTGGAAGGCCGAGGTGGGCGGATCACAAGGTCAGGAGTTCGAGATCAGCCTGGCCAATATGGTGAAACCACTTGTCTACTAAAAATACAAAAATTAGCTGGGTGTGGTGGCACACACCTGTAGTCCCAGCTACTGGGGAGGCTGAGGCAGGAGAATTGCTTGAACCTGGGAGGCAGAGGTTGCAGTGAGCTGAGATCGTGCCACTGCACTGCAGCCTGGGTGACAGAGTGAGACTTCATCTCAAAAACAAAACAAAACACTGCTAGAACTAATGAATGAGTTTAGCAAGATTACAAGATACAAGACTAATATATTAAAATAAACTGGCTGGGCACAGTGGTTCACGCCTGTAATCCTGGCACTTTGGGAGGCCGAGGCAGGTGGATTGCCTGAGCTCAAGAGTTCAAGACCAGCCTGGGCAATGTGGTGAAACCTCATCTCTACTAAAATACAAAACAACAACAACAACAACAACAACAACAACAAAAAAAAAACCACTAGCCAGGCATGGCAGTGTGTGCCTGTGGTCCCAGCTACTCGGGAGGCTGAGGCAGAAGAATTGCTTGAACCCGGGAGGCGGAGGTTGCAGTGAGCTGAGATGGTGCCACTGCACTCCAGTCTGGTGACAGAGCGAGACTCCTTCTCAAAAAATAAAAATAAAATAAAAATAAATTGCTTTTCTGGGTATGAACAATGAGCCATAGGAAATAAACAAAAATTTTAAAATATGCCACTAATAGCAACATCAAAAAAATAAAATACTTATGGATACATTTATCAAAAGATGTAAGAAGACCTGTACATTGAAAACTACAGAACACTGATGAGCAAAATTTTATTTTATTTTATTTTTTATTTTTATTTTTTGGAGAGAGAGTCTTACTGTCATCCAGGCTGCAGTGCAGTGGCATGATCTTGGCTCACTGCAACCTCCGCCTCCCAAGTTCGAGTGCTTCTCCTGCCTCAGCCTCCTGAGTAGCTGGGATTACAGGCACCTGCCACCACACCTGGCTAATTTTTGTATTTTTAGTAGAGATGTGGTTTTACCATATTGGCCAGGCTGGTCTCAAACTCCTGACCTCAAGTGATCTGCCTGCCTTGGCCTCCCAAAGTGCTGGGATTACAGGAAAGAGCCACCACGCCCGACCTGATGAGCAAAATTTTAAATGACCTAAATTAATGGAAAGATCAAATTGATCCATAGATTCAGTGCAATTACAAATACAATCCCAAGAGGCTTTTCTGCAGAAAATTACAAACTGAATCTAAAATTTACATGGAAATTCAAATGACCTAGAATACTAAGAACCATTTTAGAAGAGAAGATCAAAGTTGAAGGACTAACATTACCCAATTTCAAGACTTATTTTTAAAAATTTTGGTATGTAATAATAAAAAGTAAAAAAAAGAATGACATGAAAAGATATGATCCTTGAAAAGATAAAATAAAAATTCTAAATATGTATTTTTTAAAATTGATATATTATAGTTGTACGTATTTGGGGGGTACACGTGATATTTTGTTACATGCATACAATGTGTAGTGATCAGATGGGGCAATTGAGATATCCATCACCTCAAACATTTATCTTTTCTTTATGTTGAGAATATTCATTATTCTAGCTATCTTGAAATATACATTATTGTTAACTATAATCACCCTAGGGAACTACTGAACACTAGATCTTATTCCTTCTATCTAACTGTATTTTCGTACCCATCAATCAATCTCTCTTCATCCCTCTCTTCCCATCCTCTCAGCCTCTGGTCACCACCAATCTGCTGTCTCCATGAGATCCACTTTTTTAGCTTCCACATATGAGTGAGAACATTCGATATTTGCCTTACTGTGCTTGGCTTATGTCACTTAGCATAATGATCTCCAGTTCCATCCATGTTGCCGCAAATGTTGGGATTTCATTCTTTGTTATGGCTGAATGCTGTTTTCAGTTTTGACTTCTTATGCAACTACAATAATCAAGACAGTGTGATACTGATGTGAAGAAAGAAAATGGATCAATGGAATAGAACAGAGAGACTGGAAATGGATTTTCAATGAAGATACAAAGGCAGTTCAGTAGAGAAAGGATCATCTTTTCAACAAATGGTGCTGGAAAATTGAATATTCATAAGGCAGAAAAAATTAACTTCAACCCATACATTGCACCATATATAAAAATTAACTCAAAATAAATCATAGACGTCAATGTAAAACCCAAGATTATGAATCAACTTCTAGAAGAAAGCATAGGAGAAAACCTTTTTGACCTCGAGTTAGACAAAGATTTCTTAGAAACGGTAACAAAAGTACAATCTATAAAAAGGTAAATTGATAAATTGAATTTCATCTGTTGGGGCTCAGAAAACAATACCCCAAAGTGAAGACCTCAGCAGCAGCCTCAGAAGCAAAAGTTTTTCTCTGTCCTTCTTCTTCCCTCTTATCTCTCAGTCCCATTCTGTCCCGAGGCTAGCCGTAGAAACTAGAAATCTCTCTTCCCTAAAGTGGGTCATGGAAACCAGAACCTCTTCTCCCCAAAGCTACTTATAAAACCTAAAAATATACTCTAATTTTCCATCCACCTTTCTGCATAAAAGCTGATCATAAAGAAACTATCTGACCTATCCTGTTTATACCTGTCATAAGACCCCCCGCTCCATCCCAGAGAGGAAGGAATGCATGCTCAGAGAGGCCAAGAAGAATGTAGACACACAGGCCATACTGGGTTTCCTTAACTCAGTCTATTAGCATTAGATCATATTCTTTTTGTCCAATCATACTTCCTCACAGCTGTCTGTACTTTGTTGAACCGAAACATCAAAATGGACAATTTCTCCTGTATCTTTGGGTCTTCATTCTGAAGGCTCCTGTGTATACATGCTAAATACATTCGTGTGCCTTTTCTCCTATTTATCAATCTGCTTCATGTCAGTAATTTTCAACGAACCTCAGAAAACAATCAAAAGGAAACACTTTGGCTCTTTGACACGCTGTTAAAAGAACAAAGGCAGGCTACAGACTGAGAGACAATCTTTGCAAACCATATTTCTTTTTTTTTTTTGAGATGGAGTTTTGCTCTTGTCGCCCAGGCTGGAACGTGATCTCGGCTCACCGCAACCTCCATCTCTTGAACCCAAGAGGTTGAGGCTGCAGTGAACTGTGATGGCGTCATTGCACTCCAGCCTGGGGGACAGAGTGAGACACTGTCCTAAAATAAATAAATAAAAAGCCTGAAAGGAGATATGTCCTGAGTAGCTGGGATTACAGGCATGTGCCACCACGCCCGGCTAATTTTGTATTTTAGTGGAGTTGGGGTTTCTCCATGTTGGTCAGGCTGGTCTCGAACTCCCGACCTCAGGTGATCCACCCGCCTCAGCCTCCCAAGGTGCTGGGATTACAGACATGAACCACCATGCCCAGCCTGCAAACCATATTTCTAAAAAAGGACTTGTATCTAGAATACATAATGAACTCTCAAAGCTCAACAGTAAGAAAATAAAATACCCAAACTTAAAATGGGAAAAATTTAGGCTGGGCGTGGTGGCTCACACCTGTAATCCCAGCACTTTGGGAGGCCGAGGCAGGTGGATCACCTGAGGTCAGGAGTTCAAGACCAGCCTGGCCAACATGGTGAAACCTTGTCTCTACTAAAAATACAAAAGTTAGCTGGGCATGGTCGTGCTCACCTGTAGTCCCAGCTACTCGGGAGGCTGAGGCAGGAGAATCTCTTGAACCTGGGAGGTGGAGGTTGCAGTGAGCCAAGATCACACCACTGCACTCCAGCCTGGGCGAGAGAGTGAGACTCCATCTTATAAATAAATAAATAAATAAATAAATGGAAAAATCTGAATAGACCCCTCACCAAACAGGATATATGGATGGTACATAAGCACAAGAAGAGATGCTCAATATTATTTGTCATTTGGGTCACTATTGAGGCAACAAGCAGTATGAAGAAGTCAGTTCCAAGGAGAATAACTGAAGTCTATATAGTCAGTGAAGGTATACGCATGTTATTTAGGAATGTAGAATAAATACAAACGTTTGAGTGGTTGCCTCTGAGAATGAGGTTGGTTGGTAGATAGTGGTAGGGCAGGTCCTGCTGTTTTTTGTTGGAGGTCTTATAGTATTATTACTATACTTAAAGCAAAACTGTGTATATATATTACTTTCATAAGAATAAAATTTTAATAAAAGAGAAAAACATAGCAGGTGAATGTGAAAGTATAGCAATATTACTATCAGATAAGTAATCTCAAGGCAAAAACTTATAATTAACAAAGAGGGATGTTGCATAGTGGTAAAAAATACTATGCATGAAGACGATAACAAATTTCCATAAACACTTAACGTTTCTAACAACATATCTTCAAGACATATAAAGCAAAATGATAGAAATATATATTCACAAACTTACACTATGGGGAAATCAACATACAAACAAACAGGCCTGGGGAGGAATCACCGCCTGTAATCCCAGCTCTCTGGGAGGCTGAGGCAGGAGGATTGCTTGAGGCTAAGAGTTTCAGACTAGCCTGGGCAACAAAAAAGAGATCTCTACCCTGCCCTGCCCTTCCTGTCTCTACAAAAAATTGAAAAATTAGCCAGTCGTGGTGGCAAGTACCTGTTGTTCCAGCTGTTTGGGAGTCTGAAGCAGAGGGATCGCTTGAGTCCAGGAGTTCCAGCCTGCAGTGAGCCGTGATTGCAGCACTGTACTCTGTCCTGGGCAGCAGAGCGAGACCAATAGATTTCACAGTAACAGTGTACAAAATATTCATTGTTAGGTTTCAGATTCCATATTGCAAATAACTTTTAAGAAACTACCACTTGCACTTAGAAGTTTAGTATCAAAGAAGAATATATACAATTATTGGAAAAGGCTTTTTTTGGTTTGCTTTTTTTTTTTTTTTTGAGACAGAGTCTCGCTCTGTCGCCCAGGCTGGAGTGCAGTGGCGGGATCTCGGCTCACTGCAAGCTCCGCCTCCCGGGTTCACGCCATTCTCCTGCCTCGGCCTCCCAAGTAGCTGGGACTACAGGCGCCCGCCACTACGCCCGGCCAATTTTTTGTATTTTTAGTAGAGACGGGGTTTCACCGTTTTAGCCGGGATGGTCTCGATCTCCTGACCTCGTGATCCGCCCGCCTCGGCCTCCCAAAGTGCTGGGATTACAGGCTGGTTTGCTTTTTAGAGATGAGGTGTCTTGCTACATTGCATAGGCTGGACTTGAACTCCTAGGCTCAAGTGATCCTCCCACCTCAGCTTCCCCAGTAGCTGGGACTACAGGTGTGCACCACCAAGCCTGGCTTAAAATGCTATTTTTTTTTTTTTTTTGAGACAGAGTCTCACTGTTGTCACCCAGGGTGGAATGCAGTGGCAGGATCTCGGCTCACTACAACCTCCGCCTCCCAGGTTCAAGCGATTCTCCCGCCTCAGCCTCACAAGTAGCTGGGATTACAGGTGCCTGCCACCACACCCAGCTAATTGTATTTTTAGTAGAAATGGGGTTTCACCATATTGGCCAGGCTGGTCTTGAACTCCTGACCTCAAGTGATCTGCCCGTCTCGGCCTCCCAAAGTGCTGGGATTACAGGTGTGAGCCACCACGTCTGGCCAAAAGGCTATTTTTAAAATTCTCCATTTTCCACCTACATATATGTGTAGTATCCATTTTTTTCATATACTTCAGCCAAAGCAATATAACAACAGACTGACTGCAAACAGATATGAGAATCCAGCTGTCTT
This sequence comes from Homo sapiens, assembly GCF_000001405.40. Taxonomy (NCBI): domain Eukaryota; kingdom Metazoa; phylum Chordata; class Mammalia; order Primates; family Hominidae; genus Homo; species Homo sapiens. The sequence continues at coordinate 62,251,471 of NC_000002.12, forward strand.
TTATTAAGTCAGATATTACAGAGATTTGCAAAGATGCAAAACAAGTCTACTCTTCTCACTGTTTTATTTTATTTTGGGAAAATATTATTTTCATAAAAATATTTTATTTCTATTAGTATGTAATATGCTCATTATTGTGATATATAGTTATATTTAATGTTATATATATTTTTTTATATTATATTAATGTCTATAATTATTTACATATTTAAAAAATAAAGTTGTTAAGAATGTAAATGGGGCCAGGCATGGTGGGTCATGCCTGTAATCCCATCACTTTGGGAAGCCAAGGTGGGTGGATCACTTGAGGTCAGCAGTTTGAGACCAGCCTGGCCAACATGGCAAAACCCTGTCTCTACTAAAAATACAAAGTTAGCCAGGCATGGTGGCGCGTGCCTGTAGTCCTAGCTACTCGAGAGGCTGAGGTATGAGAATTGCTTGAACCCAGGAAGCGGAGGTTGCAGTGAGCCAAGATCGTGCCACTACACTCCAGCCTGGGGGACAGAATGAGACCCTGTCTCAAAATCAAAAAACAAAAAAAGAATGTAAATAGATCCCGAGACCAAAAAGCTTAAGCACTAGAATAACACAATTAATAAGCTTGATTTAACATATTATATATTATAATTATACACAATTATAATATGCTGTTATTATTATATATTTTGTAACAAATAGAGAATACTTTTTATTTTCAAACATTCAAGGAACATTCCTGATAATTGACCATGTATCATCAAGAAATGTGAATTGCTTGATTGTATCATCAAGCAATCAAAAAAATTGAAACAAATTACAAAAACAAATTACAGGGACTCCATTACACCATGATACAATAAAGCTAAAAGAGAACAATCAGTAGAATAGCCAAAAAACAAACAAACAACAAGCAAACAAAAAAACCCACGCCTACTCTCTTAGAAAACTAAAAACACCCTTTAAATAACTCTTGGGTTAAATAGATAATCAAAACTAAAGTTACAAATTACTTAGAAAATTAATGACAATGAGAACACTTTATATCAGAATTGGTGGGAGGCAATTAAAGACCAATTGAAAGACAATTAGTCGTTTCAAAAGCTTTTCACAAAAGGGCAAGAATTGGAAACAACTGTACAAAATAACTGCACAAAACAACTGAAGATGGAGAAAAAGACGACTCTTAGAGATGTCAGAAAAAGTCGTCTCTAAAAAGTTATTTTGATCTCACTCTCTCCAAAATCAAACAAAAAAATGTTAAGGAAAATATGTAGAAAACCCAGTCTTCTACAAAACTAGAAAATGTGCACAACCTCAAACCTCAATCATGAAGAATGCTTGGCATCTACGATGAAATCAGGATCAATCTGAAGGCTCAGCACTCAGTGATTATTTGGCTATTTGGAGAAGTAAACATTTGTGGGTGGAGTTAATGGGGAGGAGGTGGGGCTTAAGATTTTGAGGTCTTAGGCCCTGTGCATTTTATTCCCCCCTGAGACAGGGACTCACTCTGTCACCCAGGCTGGAGTCCAGTGGCAAAATTATGGCTCACTGCTGCCTCAAATTCCTGGACTCAAGCTAACCTCCCACCTCAGCCTCCTGAGTAGCTGGGACTATAGGCATGTGACAACATGCCTTGCTAATTTTCTTATTTTTGTAACGATGGGATGCTCCTATGTTGTCTAGGCTAGTCTTGAACTGCTGGGCTCAAGCAATCCATCCACCTCTGCCTCCCAAAGCATTGGGAATATAGGTGTGAGCCACCTTGGCAGACCAGGCCCTGTGCTTTAATCACACCTGCCCACTCTCCACTCTCCACTCTCCACGGAGAATCTGTCTCAGTGCGACTCAAGACTGCAAAAAGGGCGCATCCTCGGGCTGCATTGCCCCTGGTGACTTGGCAAGGGGCTTATGGTTAGTTTGAGATAAGTGGGGCCGGGCATGGTGGCTCACGCCTGTAATCCCAGCACTTTGGGAGGCTAAGACCAGGTGCATCACGAGATCGGGAGATCGAAACCATCCTGGCCAAAATGGTGAAACCCTGTCTCTACTAAAAATACAAAAATTATCTGGGCATGGTGTTGCACGCCTGTAGTCCCAGCTACTCAGGAGACTGAGGCAGGAGAATTGCTTGAACCAGGGAGGCAGGGGTTGTAGTGAGCCGAGATTGAGCCATTGCACTCCAGCCTGAGCGACAGAGCGAGACTCCATCTAAAAATAATAATAATAAGTGGAGAATGGTGGACTGTTCCCAAACTTTATTGCCAAGAGGTTTACAGTATTTAGGAATTTAAGGAATCAAGAAACTTTGGATAATGTGTTCATCCCAGTGAAGAGATCCACTTCAGTGTGGCCAAATTCTGACCCATGAATAATGGATCCAGGTCAGCAGGTGACAGAACTTGCACTGTTCCATTTTTAATGACACTGCTTACATAGCCACCTTCCAGGCCTGGCCAAAGAAGAGTCTTAGCCTGTTTAAAATTGGAAAGGATCTGGTCTCAACATATCCCCTCTCGTTCTCTCTCAAAGCTGCCAGGAAATGAGGGGTGCCCCTCTTTCTATGTCTTTTACCACTGTGTGCAGACTGTCAACACTCACACTGCTTTCTCAGAGCAGAGCTTTATGCAGGCATATTGGTGTAACAACACTTTGTGTGCTACATCCAACTGGTATCACAATGAGGTCACATTTTACTTTTGTAGCCAGCTAAGATGGCCTTAAGCCACCACTTGGGATGTCCCTTCAGGGGTTCTGGGAATGCCCAGGGTTTGGACTCAGATAGCTCAGGAACCAGTCTGCTTGGATTCTTCCACTTAGTTTGAAAAAGCTTCCAGGTATGGTGCCCCTGTGATACCAGCGAGATTATGTACAGGCACCCCTGCTGCCCATCTCTACCGGAACTAGCGCGAGTTTTCAAGCACAGAGAATTTTCAAACCATATTTAGGCAACACGCGCCGCCATACCCACAACCCGCACCCCCAACACCCACACACACCCAAAACAAAAATCACTGCCTAAGGAAACAAATTCTGAAGAGATTTGACTCTGCAAAGCATAGACACCCTATTACATTATTACAGAAAGCAATTTAGCTCAAACATTTCCTGCTTAATATTTGCATAAAATTAATGAACCAGGCAGGTGTTTTTCCAAGAACAAAGGGAGATTGAGTCTTTGGTTTATTGCAAAACAGAAAACTGCTCCCAGCTTTGAAATGACAGCTTTTTAAATTTTTGTTTTTCTGGCTTCTACCAAGCTGTGGGTAGCCTCCCCCAGCAATCTCTAAAAGGAGGCAGCTCCTTCCAAGCACTTAGAGTGTGTCTGGGAACTTAGCCTGAGGCATTGGCAGGAGAAGCTGTGTTAGCCCTCAGCACCTGCCCCAGGGATCTCTCCTGCCTTCTCTCAGGCCTGCAGGGTCTCCATTTCTCCAGAATAATTCATTAGAGGAAGTGTCTTGGTGAGATTTGGGTGCTTGTGCTCAATCATAGTTTGCCAAGGTAGAACTCATTCATCTACTGGGTATGGCCTCTGCTGGGAACTGAGGGCTACAAAAATGAACAATGCAGGACAGGATATTTGCATGGTGCCAACATGTTACTCTATGAGTTATTTATTAATTGCAAGGGAGATATCTGGTGATCAGAACTTTAACCATGCAATCAAATGTAGGTCACTAAGAGTGGGACACCTGACATGACATGGTATGCCCTAGGAAGTATAAAGCATCACCTATGAAATCATTTTACCAAAATGGCTTAACCTGAATCATCCAACCTTTATTTATTTACTTTATTTATTCATTACTGTCTTTTTCAGACGAGGTCTCACTCTGTTGCCCAGGCTGGAGTGCAGTGGCACAATCATGGCATAAGTGATCTTCCCAGACTCAAGTGATCCTCCCCACCTCAGCCTCCCAAGTAGCTGGGACTACAGGCATGAGCCACTGTGCCCAGCCCCAACCTCAATTTAATAGGAAGCATAGGTGATAAAGGAACCAAGTAAATTGCACCACACACACACGCTGAATCAAGCTTGCTTGGGTTGGAATCTTGGCTCTCCATATATTAGCTGTGAGCCCAGAGGGAAGTAGCTCAGCTTCTCTGAGACTCGGTTTTCTCTTCAGTAAAATGTGTGTACTCAGATATAACAGAGCCTTTTTAGGCAGCTCAGATCTGGACTTAATGATTAATGATGCGTTAAGAAACAAAACAAGCCGGGTGCTCTGGCTCACGCCTGTAATCCCAGCACTTCGCTGAGGCCGAGGAGGGTGGATCACCTGAGGTCAGGAGTTCAAGACTAGCCTGGCCAACATGGTGAAACCCCATCTCTACTAAAAATACAAAAATTAGCCTGGTGTGTTGGTGCATGCCTGTAATCCCAGCTACTAGGGAGGCTGGGGCAGGGGAATCACTTGAACCTGGGAGGCGGAGGTTGCAGTGAGCCGAGATTGTGCCACTGCACTCCAGCCTGTGTGACAGAGCGAGACTCTGTCCAAAACAAAACAAAACAAAACAAAAAGGCATAAACACACACACAGACACACACAGAGACAATGTGACATTTTAAAAGACAAATGGCTTGAATTCTTCAAAAAGTCAACATCATAAATTATAAAAATAGTTTAGGGATTGTTCTTGTAGGGGCCAAGGCAAAACTTATCCTTCAGCCTCTGAAGATTCACAGAAAATCAGCTGACAAAAAGCAGATTAATAGGAGAAAGGGCATATTAGAATTTTTTTAACATGCATAGCACCAAGGAATCACAGGAGAGAATGATTACCCAATAACCCAGTAGGGTACAGAAGCTTGTGTACCCTTCTTCATAAGGGAGTGGGGGGACAATTCTTTTGAGGGGCAGTAAATGATTTTCAGGGAAAATGAATGAGTCCAAAGACCAGTGGCCTGGGAACAAGTTTCCCTGGGCTCTGGGGGAGGTGACAGCACAGGTTATGGAGGAGGATGTCAAGCAAAAGCTGTCTTATTATGCAGATGGAAATATCTCAGGTCGTCTCTGATATGGTTTAGCTCTGTGTCCGTACCCAAATCTCATCTCGAATGGTTATCTCCATAATTCCCACATGTCGAGGGAGGAACCAGGTGGGAGGTGATGGGATCATGGGGGCATTTTCCCTTATGCTGTTCTCATGACAGTGAGTGAGTTCTCATGAGATCTGATGGTTTTATAAGGCACTTTTCCCTGCTCTTGCTCGGTCTCTCTTTCCTGCCACCATGTGAAGAAGATCTTTGCTTCTCCTTCACCTTCTGCCGTGATTGTAAGTTTCCTGAGGCCTCCCCAGACATGTGGAACTGTGAGTCAATTAAACCTCTTTTCTTTATAAACCACCCAGTCTTGTGCATTTCTTTATAACAGTATGAAAATGGACTAAACAGTCTCGGAGCTGCCCTCAAAAAGGATAGATGGTAGCCTGTGATTGACATAACCTTTTCTAGATCTGGAAAAAGGATGAGTGGAGGCACTCAGAGGAAGCATGACTGTTCATTTCACTAACCTAGATTTTTCTGTATAAATGCAAATCTCTCCTACAAAAGGCAGCTTTTCAGGGCTATTCCTTTCTGCAGGTCCTCTGAATAGCTGTCTCAGAATATGTCAAAGAAGTATATTTTGGGGCCAGGCGTGGTGGCTCATGCCTGTAATCCCAGCACTTTGGGAGGCCGAGGCAGGCAGATCACAAGGTCAGGAGTCACCAGCCCGGCCAACATGGTGAAACCCCGTCTCTACTAAAGATACAAAAAATTAATCAGGCGTGGTGGTGCATGCCTGTAATCCCAGCTACTTGGGAAGCTGAGGCAGGAGAATCACTCAAACCTGAGAGGTGGAGGTTGCAGTGAGCCGAGATCGCACCATTGCACTCTAGCCTGGGCCACAAGGCGAGACTCCGTCTTAAAAAAAAAGTATATTTTGGGGTGAAATATGGAAATATGGAAATATGTTTGGTTTCTTTTCGTCTCCCATTTGAAACTTTATTTTCAGGAAGTTTTACCTATTAAAATAGGATTGATAGTTATGGAGAGAGAAATCAGGTTAGTAATTGAGTGGCAAGAAATTTGCAAAGGGAGAAAATAACACAGATTAGGATGAGAATAAGCACATAGAAAAGAACAAACCTAAGCACTTTCCCCCACGCCCAATTAAACCAGTCTCACATTTCAGGGAATAGGCCAGTCCAATTAAGCAGTGGTATATCATTCTAGAAGACGGCGTTGCAGATGGGTTGTCAAAGCTATGCCTCTATATGTGATGTGGGCAGTCTTTAATAAGAGGCGTTTCTGTGGAAACAGAAGAACAAAGGTTAATGTCTGGAGTAGTCTTATAAGCTAGTTTTTCTAGAGTTTGGAGGGCAGTCCATTGCAAAGATTAGTGGCAATCTGACAGATTTTTCTGGTTTGCAGTTTGCATGTACAACATTTGTCCAAATACAAGTTGTTGTGGTGATTTTTCTTCAAAGCCAAGCTGACTAGCTTCAGCTTGTAGGCCATTAGGGAAAAGACGGTTTTAATTTCTAGTGATTCCAAGTCAGAAGGATGGGAGAACAATTGGAAACATTAGTCTGGAGAGCTGCAGCCAGATATTGGAGAAAACTGAAATTCTGGATTCGGCCCGGATAACAACAGCAACAACAACAAACCCCTCAAAAACAAACGGACAGGGCTAGAATCTAACGCACTATAGTTTTCTTCTGAAAGATAAGCTTTCTCTCGCCATTTTCTCATTTTTACCAGAGATATTTATAGCAAGACTAATTTACCTGTAAAATAAGTTTAGTTTCATTAACTTGGCCTGGTTATTTGCATAAAATGCAATAACGATAGTGACTCATCATACAGACTCTTGTTAAGTTGGCTTTGCTGAAACTTCATAAAGAAATGTCAAATTAGTCGTTTAAAAGCCACTTGAGGCTTAGGAGTTAAGCCAAAGACTGTAAGACCAATACAAATTGAGTGAATTTCTCTCTTCCTGAGGTCCCCCAAATAACTTGAGGTTCCTGGGCCTGTCAGAAAGTGACATTCTTTACTTACTTCAAGGTTAGGAACCTTATTAGAGTACTGTGTAGACAAGGTACCAGGCCAGTCTTTCCAAAGGGCTTTTTATTGGCTCCATACAAGTCAACCTCAGTCCCTCAAAGCAGTCTAATCATATTTCAAAATATGACATTCTAGTTAAAGCCTTGGTAAAATAACCAGTTTTTCCAATTGTGTTTTGTGGCAGATGAAAACAATCTTACTGAACTTACGCAAATGACAATATTGTCATAAAATAAGAATACTCACAAATAGTTTCCAAATTCTAGAGAGATTAGGTAGAGAGAGAGGTAAATGTTTTAAGTCTGTTATGAAAGTACACTTTACTCAATTGCTGTAAGCTATAAATAGCCTTAAATAAGAAGAAAAAAGTTTTCTTAATTCTGGAAAACAAAACATAAAAATCAGCAATATGTTAAACAAAAAAAAGTCATAAAAAATCATTTCAGTCTTCTACCAGTTCAGTCCCATCTAATTAGTTCTTGTTCTGCTTGATGTTAGGTGGGCGATTTTACGAGTCCAGCTTTTCTAGTTTTGTTTTGTTTGTTTTTTAGTGTTCTGAAGTTTTTTTGCCTAGTCCAATGGTGTGATCTCAATGTTGTCAGAAACATGTATTTGTCAGAGTTCTTTCCATCCTTTCCACAAACCTCCTTGAAGACACAACATTTAGGATTTGCAAAGAGCTTTCAGGAAAAAAAGTATCAAAATAAACAATTAACTGTGGACAACAGGACTTAAAATGGCCATACTTAAATAAATAATTGATTTTTAAAACTTGGTTATTTTCTGTGGTCTGCAACAATTTTACATAATCGCCATAATTATGAGTTGATAAGATGTCAGATTTTTAGGATTTGCATGCAATTTTTGAACACATTAATGACATGTTCATACAAATATAACTCAAAAAAAGGCTGAGCATCATTTTTTATTTGACAGTGCTTCCCATATAATTTAACGTACCAATAGGCCTGCTTATGAGCTCTCTTTTGGATGCTTCAGGGGCCCCTTTGAACATCTCAAAGTTAGTTTGAGGTTGAAAACACTTAATTTTAAAAATAAAGTTTGATTTGGGGAAGCCTGTGAAATATGTAAAAGCTTGAAAACACTTCATCAAAATAGGAAAGGTTTAAAAGGTTTAAAACACTTTATCACAATAGGATCACAGGTCACTGTAAAACAATAGTCATTTAGCCAAAGTTGTAATTTATTTATAAAAGATTTTAAAAAGCAAAAATCTTTACTTTTTGATAGAGAGGAGACAAATATTCAAATAATTAAAAGATCTAATAAAGTACACAGAATCTGTTTCTGTCCTTCCTTTTTTTTTTTTTTTTTGAGACGGAGTCTTACTCTGTTGCCCAGACTGGAGTGCAGTGGTGCAATCTCGGCTCACTGCAACCTCTGACTCCTAGGCTCAAGCGATTCTCCTGCCTCAGCCTCCCAAGTAGCTGGGATTATAGGTGCCTGCCACTGCACCCAACTCATTTTTGCATTTTTAGTAGAGATAGGGTTTTTGTTGGCCAGGCTGGTCTTGAACTCCTGACCTCAGGTGATCCACCTGCCTTGGCCTCCTAAAGTGCAGGGATCACAGGTGTGAGACACTGTGCCCGGCTTACTATCTTTTATTAGTAGTACACAAAAATTTTGTTCAAAGAGAAAACCAAAATTTACCCATGTTTCAGTGTATTGATACTAAAGCTAAATTTAATACAACTTTATAAGCTCATCTTTATGAACTTTATAAGTTCATCTATTCTTAATTAGCTTTGACCACACAAGATTTCCATAAGCCTTTTATAACCTAACCTGGTACGAAATTTTTTCTATTCTCTTTCTTTTCCCAACTTTCTATATTCACTCAATTTTATGTATATCATTAAAATTTTGAAATAAGGCCGGGCGCGGTGGCTTACGCCTATAATCCCAGCACTTTGGGAAGCCAAGGCAGGAGGATCACTGGAGCCCAGGAGTTCAAGATCAGCCTGGGCAACATGGTGAAACCCTGTCTCTACAAAAAATACAAAAATTAGCCAGGTGTGGTGATGTGTGCCTGTAGTCCCAGCTACTTGGGAGGCTGAGGTGGGAGGATCACTTGAGGTGGAGAGGCAGAGATTGCAGTGAGCTGAGAATGTGTCATTGGACTCCAGCCTGGGTGACAGAGTTAAGACCCTGTCTCAAAAAAAAGGAAAAAAAGAGAGAGAGAGAAAAAAAGAAACAACTTTTAACTGCAAAACTAGACAAAAGTATTTTTTAAAAACAAAAACACATGTCCTTATGCCTTTTTATAACTCTTTTCTCACCAAAAACATCTTGGGTTTTTTGTATACTTACTATACAGGATTGTTTTCCCTTATTTCTAGTAGTTTCAATTTCATATACTTAAACCAATATTATTTTTATTCACCAAAGATTACTAAAAAGTCATATGAACTTGAAAAGCACTTTGGTTTTATTTACTTAATTTATGAGCATTCATTTACTTACAAGTCAATTTGGTACCATGTAGACAATATAGAAACACAGATACATACACATGTATACATAAAAACACAAACGTAAAGCCTTTATAGTTTGATTTTTTTTTTTTTTTTTTTGGTGTGAGAAGGAGTTTGTGAGATGGAGTTTGTGAGACAGAGTCTTCCTCTGTCGCCCAGGCTGGAGTGCAGTGGCATGATCTTGGCTCTCTGCAACCTCCACCTCCCAGGTTCAAGTGATTCTTGTGCGTCAGCCTACCAAGTAGCTGGGACTGTAGGTGCCCGCTACCATGCCCAGCTAATTTTTGTATTTTTAGTAGAGATGGGGTTTCACCATGTTGGCCAGGCTGGTCTCGAACTCCTGACCTCAATTGATCCAACCCCCTTGGCCTCCCAAAATGCCTGGATTACAGGTGTGAGCCACCACACCAGCCCTATAGCTTTGATTTTTAAAACTAGCCATGAGACACATAACATTCACTAGTTTAAAAGGATAGTTGGATTCAAACTATGTCTTGTAAATAGAACAAATTAAAGCTTATCTGTCCCACATAAAGGGAGGCTTTATTGAGTTTTAGAGGAAACAGGATAGCAAATTTACATCTCAAAGCCCAGAGAGAGAATTTAAGCTTTTTCAAGGAGTTTGGATGTGTTAGAGGAAGATTAAAAATGGATGCCAATGCCAGGCTGAACACTTGGGGAGACCGAGGTGGGCGGATCACTTGAAGCCAGGAGTTCAGGACCAGCCCGGGCAACATGGTGAAACCCCGTCTCTACAAAAAATACAAAAAATTAGCAGGGCATGGTTGCGTGTGCCTGTGGTCCCAGCTACTGGAGAGGCTGAGGTGAGAGGATGGCTTGAACCTGGGAGGCGGAGGTTGCAGCACACTGCACTTTAGCCTGCATGACAGAGCGAGACCCCGTCTCAAAAATAAAATACAATAAAATAAAAGATGCCAAAGGTAACACAAAATCACAGGAATTTGCCATAGGATTTAATAAGGATACCAATTTTAGTTAGATAGGTAGCTTCCTATTGTCTTTTTCAGCTGGATGACTGAGCTCAGGGTGGAGGCCGCTGAGGAGCGAAACCAAGCATTTGCAGCCTCTGGGGCCCAACACTCACACATGGAAAAGGCAGGTGCAGCTTGCCTTTTTCTCCTTTGTAAAACGGGTGTAACTGAAGTATAACAGACCCTTCCTGGGCAGCTCAGATCTGGCCTTGCCAGATAATGACACATTAAAAAACAAAACAAAAAGATATAAATCTGACTGTGAAAGGATTAAAGTATAATATATTGTATTTCTTTGAAATTGGGACACATTTTGAACTGATGGGCGCTTGTAATTGGTGATTCTCTTCCTTCATACCTTTCTTCCTTCCTAAAATATGATGTGTCTTTTTTTTTTTTTTTAAAGAGATGAGTTTTCCAGGCTGGGGTGCGTGTTTATTCATAGGCATCATCCCACTACTGATTAGCATGGGAATTTTTACCTGCTCTGTTTCCAACCTGGGTTCACCTCTCCTTAGACACCCTGGTGGTCCTCTGCTCCTGAGAGGTGACCACATTGATGCCAGACTTAATGCAGACATCCAATCAGCATAGCACACTATATCCCAGAACTCCTGGGCTTTGTGAGATCATCCTCTCTCGGCCTCCCGAGTAATGGCACTACAGGTATGTACTACCATGCCCAAAAATGATGTATCTTGCCATCGATTCTATCTTACAGTCATTCACATCTTGGATTAGATAAAATATGGCAGATTCAATGCTGAGATTTTCCTGGAGATATGGAAGAAAGAGTAAGTGATACTTCACGTACCAGAACTTTGAAAAATCCTCTCCAAATGTCCCACTATTTCCACACAAATCCGCCTCCCCTCTGTTGTGGCCATGACACCTTCCCCTCCTCTTGAGCCTGCCAGCCCTTGCCAGGTTCCTCCCAGCTCCTCATCTTTGCCTTCACTTTCTCCTTACTCTCCTCTTCCACCCCTTAATCTGCCCCCCTCCCGCAGCCCTTCCGGGCCTTCATCTCTTTATTCTAATTTAGGCTTCTCTCTCTCCCTTCACTTTTCCACGTCCTGTCCCCAGCAGCACCCCATCAAGTAAAATAAAGAACCCTCCAAGGAATCTACCTTCTTAGAAATTGAAGAGCAGGGAGACAATTATACGTACTTAACATTTAATATTTTTTGTGTTTCATGGATAATAATATCTACCTCATGAGGCTTTCGGGAGGATTAAAAGAGAGAGGGAATGTACACTTGGCAAGTGGCTGGCACATGTTAAGAATTCCCCAAATGTTTGCTGACATTATTTACTATTGTTCTGTAAATGATTGTACAATCAACACTGTAACAACACAGGGAAGAGGAAAGAAGAAAAAGACCAAAGGAATAAGAATCACCTAGAGAATCAACACCATATATTTTTCTAGTAGTAATCGTAAACATGCCACAGTGAATTTGATTTTTGTGCTTTTCCAGTGACAGAGCATTCTTATGAATCATAGCTCATAAATGAAAATATCAAAAGGTGGAAAGAAAGTCGTGTATTTTTAATGTATTTTAACATGTAGCATTTTGTGATGTTTTTAGATCGTGACAAAGAGGAAATTACTGTCATCTTCGTCCTTTATCTAGTATGAAGCTCTTTTTTTTTTTTTCTCTTTTTTTGAGACTGAGTTTTTGTTCCTGTTGCCCAGGCTGGAGTGCAATGGCACTACCTTGGCTCACTGCAACCTCTCCGTCCTGGGTTCAAGCGATTCTCCTGCCTCAGCCTCCTGAGTAGCTGGGATTACGGGCACCCGCCACCGTATCTGGCTCATTTTTTTTTTTTGAGATGGAGTCTTGCACTGTCGCCCGGGCTGGAGTGCAGTGGCACAATCTCGACTCACTGCAACCTCTGCCTCCCGAGTTCAAGCAATTCTCCTGCCTCAGCCTCCTGAGTAGCTGGGATTATGGGCGCCCGCCACCATGCCTGGCTAATTTTTTGTATTTTTAGTAGAGATGGAGTTTCACTATGATGGCCAGGCTGGTCTCAAACTCCTGACCTCATGATCTGCCTGCCTTAGCCTCCTAAAGTGCTGGGATTACAGGAGTGAGCCACCGCACCTGGCCCACCTGCTAATTTTTTTTTTGTATTTTCAGTAGAGATGGGGTTTCACCATATTGGCCAGGCTGGTCTCGAACTCCTGACCTCAGGTGATCTGCCCGCCTTGGTCTCCCAAAGTGCTGGGATTACAGGCATGAGCCACTGCGCCTGGCCTGAAGCTCTTTTTCTTTAGAAGACCATGCTGCAGAAACTTCAAAATACAAAAGAATGCTGCTATCTACTATCTGGTGAAGTATTTTAAGAGGACTGCAAAAAACTAGGGTAATAGTTTTTAAAATGCTTCCTTGTTTCTAGTAATGGAATGTAAGAGGGAAACTTTGTGGAGTTTAAGTCATAACTTGTGGTCTTGGTTGTCAATTCACATCATGTGATTGGAAATTGAAGATACTGCCCCAAAGGCTGAGACTGGGAAACAGACCCTATGCTGTGGACTGAATTATACCCCCCCCACCCCAAATTCACATGTTGAAGCTCTAACCCCCAATACGGTAGTATTTTCTTTTGGAGATAGAGTTAGATGAGCTCATGAGGGTGGGGCCTTCATAATGAGATTGGGGTCTTTATAAGAAGAGGCACCAGAGAGTTTGCTCTCCTACCACAAAGAGGTCATGTGAGCCCACAGCAAGATGATGGCTGCCTGTGAGCCAAGAGAAGAGGCTTCAGAATGAAACCTACTTGCTGGCACCTTGATCTTAGACTTCCAGCCTCCAGAACTATGAGAAGTAAATTCCTGTTTAAACACTCAGCCTATAGTATTTTGTTACAACAGCCCAAATTGACTAATTACAGTCTGGTGGCCCCCAGTATCAAAGTCAGCAACAAAGTTAACATAGAGCTTTCTTAGGCCAGCTTTTCCACACAGAGGGCAATCTCCTAAAAGTAGTGTGAACACTGGGACAATGTGATCCTTCTGTAGTTCATAAGCATCATGCCTGGGTTTTCGCGTTCCCATGTGAGCTGTGCCTCCCTCAAACCTTGTTATGGCATCGGCACATTATCCATCTGATGTGAAAAAGAAAAAAAAAAAGGAAGAAAATATAATTAAAAGGAGAATCAATGTGAGAGGGAAGGACATAAGCATAATACTGTAAAACCAATGGAAGGCTTGATGAAACTTAAAACTAGGAAGTTCTATTTTAAGAAATTGCAACATGCAGTTTAACTGTTTCTGGATTTCTTTGCCGGCTGAAAAGTGGGGATGATGAATTGACACCCACTGCAGGGGCATTTTGTTGCCTCAGCAAGTTTCATGCAGCTGCTTCAGTACTGACTACTGCGGTAGCTGCTGACAGCGTCTCCCGAGGGTCCCCAGCTAAGAGCCCTTAGACTACATGAGTGGACTAGGACACAAATTACCTGTGCCAAAAAGGTTTGCCTTGCCTTTGGGAAAACCTCATCTTCCCTAGAGGGAAATTCTTTTTTTTTTTCCTGAGACAGAGCCTCAGTCTGTCACCCAGGCTGGAGTGCAGTGGTGCGATCTTGGCTTACTGCAACCTCCACCTCCTGGGTTCAAGCAATTCCCATGCCTCAGCCTCCCGAGTAGCTGGGATTACAGGTGCACACCACCACGCCCAGCTAATTTTTGTATTTTTAGTAGAGAGGGGGTTTCACCATGTTGGCCAGGCTGGTCTTAAACTCCTGACCTCACGTGATCCTCTTGCCTTGGCCTTCCAAAGTGCTGGGGTTATAGGTGCGAGCCACAGTGCCTCGCCGTGGGAAATTCTTAATCCAGGTCTTTCTGGGGCTCTGAGAGAGAGTATAAATATGGTGAATTAAAGGCAGTTTCCCAGGGAGCTACGTGACACTAAAAAAAAAAAAAATTCTTCTTCTCTTCCTCCATTTTGCCATATATTTGTATTGTTCTTTCACGTGTAGTGGGAGAACATTTTACTTCTTACTAAGAGAAATGTCTTACGTTGAGGGGAAATGGTTCTTAGTTTAGAAAATTACCTTGCTGGCCCCTAGGGTTGCTGACGGTGAGACTCAGCTTCGGGGCAGAATGGGCTGCACAAAGAGGGTATTTGGATGTGAGACCTTTGGGAGATAATTTTGAATTGTCCTGCCCAGTAAGGTAGGATGAATATTGAATTCCTGGAGATGGTTCTGGAAAGAGGGTCAGGGAAGAGAAGGGAGGGACTGTGGAAAGGTTTGCAGGGGTGTCCAATCTTTTGGCTTCTCTGGGCCACATTAGAAGAAGAATTGCCTTGGGCCACATATAAAATACACTAACACTAATGATGCTGATGAACTTAAAAAGAAACTCAAAAAAAAAAAAAACCACATAATGTTTTAAGAAATTTTATGAACATTTTCACTGCTGTTCGGTTCTTGAAGGAAAAAAAAAAAAAAGAAAGTTTACGAATTTGTGTTGGGCCACATTCAAAGCCATCCTGGGCCACGGGTTTGACAAGCTTGGTTTAGAGGAAGGAAAGTGGAGGGGCTGACTTAATGTGCAGGTAGCCCAGTGTGAGGCCTGAGAAGGGAGAGCCAGCAAAACATCCAAAATGGCAGGGATGCTTCTGGATTCTAGCAGTCAATGTGAAAATGGTGGCTGTGCAGTGTTGGGAGGAACGTCTCTCCAAAGCTGTATAGAGATCTGCTGCACACAGCTGCTTTGGGCAAGTTACGGCTCCAAGAAATCAAGAGGGATCTAGGGTCCAGTGGTAGGACCAAGAGAAGGGAACAGCCACAGTGCAAAGCACAGGAATTCAGTGGGAATAGGAAATGGGAATGGGAGCTGGCCACCAGAACAAAACCCCAGGAATGCATAGCTTGAGCTATTTAGATGCAAAGGTTAACAGAAAGGGCAACTTGCTGAGGCTGAGGATTTCCCAGCTGTCAGATCTGAGTCACGTTAAGGAGTAAGGGTGCGGTTGTACTCTTGGGCACTGGAAGAGATCAAGTCCCATCCAAGTAGGGGACGGGGGTGGGGGGTTGGGGGGGCAGTAGGGGGATCCAGAAGAGGGAGGACATGCCCACAGCTATCCTCGACAGTCCTGCCCATCCTCTGGTGGAAAAGTCAAACCCCAGATTTCAAAATGGCTTCAGAGCAAATTCTGATCTGCTTCATGGTCTAACTTTAGAGATGTCTGAGGGTGTGAGTGGGCAGCTGGATGGATGAGATGGTTTTTTTATACTTTTAAAATTTCTTCTGTTTATTCCCATTCTTTCATATTTAGCAAAGTCATTTTGAAAGCCTGCTACAACTGTGTTAAGGATGTCAAATATAATTTTCAAATAGTGAAGAATATAACATAAGTGAGCCCTTGTCAAAGATGTGTTTAGCTCACTGATTATGACAGCAGCAAGATGGCAACACCAGTTCAAAGGTTATATGTAGTTGGTGAAAAGAAGAATGCAGAAAGACGGCAGAGTCAGATACAAAAAAGGTCCTGACAGAGCAATAACTGTAACCTTTGGGCTTATCTTTTCTACCAGAGAGAAATCATTTACCTCTCCACCAGAAAAAAAAAAAAAAAAAAACTTTGCAAAATGTATTAATATTTTATAGATTAAATCTAGCTTTTCAGAACCTAGCCTGATCAACTGTAAATAGTAAGTCAAGATGCCAGGCACAGTGGCTCACGCCTGTAATCCCAACACTTTGGGAGGCCAAGGTGGGAGGATCACTTGAGCCCAGGGGTCCAAGGCTGCAGTGAGCTATGATTTTGCCACTGCACTTCAGCTTGGATAACAAAGCAAGACCTTGTCTCTATTTAAAAAAATAATAAGTAGGTCAAATGAAGTTATATCCCTTAGAAAATCAGATGAGTGTTACGAAGGTTGTTACACAATAGTCAGTCATGTGGCTTTGAGAGGGCATGCGGCAATCTTTGTGCTGAATTTCCAATTTTTGGATGATTTTTCTTAAGGGTAAGCAGGGGACTAGATTATTGTCCTCACTTAACTCACAGAGCTAAAGGGGAGCAACAGAGTCTTGGAGCCACCATGATAGGGTAGAAGTAATAAAGGGAAAGAGGGATAGTTGAAACTCAAGAAATAAAAAGAAGACTGCCTTCTCATCCCTCCCCTCCTGGGGAGTCTTCTTTTACTTCTAAAACCAGATTTTTCTGCTACTGATCTAATAAAGGGACTGCTGGTCTCTTATATCCATCAATACCTTCTTGGGGACCCTTGGCTTCTTGGGGACCTTGGGGACTTCTTGGCTACCACTTGGGGACCCTTGAGTTTGCACTGGAGTCAAAACATTATAGGGAACCCAGGCACTGCCCTATCCACTAGGGGTGAGAGAGTTAAATGTTAAAATCTCTTTGGGACATTTTTGCAATATCTAGCAACATTATTTTTTTAATTGTGGTAAATTTATACATAACTTAAAATTTACCATTTTAACCATTTTAAGCATATGGTTCAATAATATTATGCACATTGATATTGTTGTGCTATTATTACCATCATCCATCTCTAGAACTTTTTCATCTTCCCAATTTCTTCCCCCCACAACCATTGGCAGTCACTATTCTACTTTTCGTCTGTATGAATTTAACTATTCTACTCATGTAAATGGAAATGTACAATATTTGTCCTTTTGTATCTGGCTTATTTCACTTGGTATAATATCTTCAGTCTGTCCATGTTGTTGCATGTGTCTGAATTTCATTTCTTTTTAAGGCTGAATATTCCCTTTTATGTATATACCACATTTTGTTTATCCATTTGATATGGTTTTGCTGTGTCCCCACCCAAATCTCATCTTGAATTGTAGCTCCCATAATCCCCACATGTCGTGGGAGGGACCCAGTAGAAGGTAATTGAATCACCGGGGTGGGTTTTCCCCATGCTGTCCTTGTGATAGTGAATTAGTCTCACAAGATCTGATGATTTTATAAAGGGCAGTTCCCCTGCACATGTTCTCTTGCCTGCCACCATGTAAGACGTGCTTTTGCTCCTCCTTCACCTTCTGCCACGTTTGTGAGGCCTCCCCAGCCATGTGTGAGTCCATTAAACCTCTTTTTTGTTTTGTTTTGTTTTGAGACAGAGTTTCACTCTTGTTGCCCAGGCTGGAGTGCAATGGCTCTATCTCAGCTCATCACAACTTTTGCCTCCCAAGTTCAAGGGATTCTCCTGCCTCAGCCTCCCGAGTAGCTGGGATTACAGGCATGCACCACCACACCTGGCTAATTTTGTATTTTTAGTAGAGATAGGGTTTCTCCATGTTGGTCAGGCTGGTCTCCAACTCCCAACCTTAGGTGATCTGCCCACCTTGGCCTCCCAAAGGGCTGGGATTACAGGCGTGAGCCACTGTGCCCGGCCAAACCTATCTTTCTTTATAAATTACCCAGTCCAAGTTATTTCTTCATTGCAGGATGAAAATGAATGAATACACCACTCATCCACTGATGCCCATCAACATTTAAAATGAACATACTCTTTTGATCCAGCAAGTCTATTTCAAGGACTTTGTCCTATGCATATACTTGCGTATATACACAAAGATGGTATTTGTAGAAGACCCTCTTGGTTGCTACCCAATAGACATTTCATCCTTTCTTCTTGCCAAGGACCTTGAGTTTCTTCAGGTATCAGGATGTTCGGTGATCAGGAAAAGCATGTTCTTCCATAGCTCCAGGGATTAATCTTAACTGGTATAAGCCAATAAGAGTAATTATTTCCCTCTTTAACAGTGATTGGTTTATGGATGGGTATGTTCTAGCTAATGATTTGTGAAGGGAAGTCTGTGGCAGGGCTTCTGGGAAAAGTTTTCCTCCCTGAGAAAAAGAGATGTGCGAGGAGGAATTGATTTCTTGTCTTTGAACGGAACTGAATCATGATGGGATGACTGGGACAGTACATGCTATCTTACTTCCAAACCCAGGGCAAAAAATCAAACACTCTGAAGATGGCACGAGAAATATGGAAAACACTTGGTCCCTTAATGACATTGTTGGACCACTAAATTAACTCATCCTGGGACCACCTAGCTGTAGATCTCTTGTTATGTAAGATAATAAATCCTTATGGTTTACTTATAGTTGGGTGTTCTGTTATTTTCATTCTAAAACACTAATTGATACAGTGTTTATCGCAGCATTGTTTGTAATAGTGAACACCCTAAATGTTAATCAATAGAGGACTCATTAAATAAATTATGTTACATCCATACAATAAAATACTATGCAGTTGTAAATAAAAAGAAGTGGATTTATATGCAGATATGGACTAAGATCTAAGACATAGTGAATAGGAGTCGGGCGCGGTGGCTCAGGCCTGTAATCCCTCTGCCTTGGGATGCCGAGGCAGGCGGATCACGAGGTCAGGAGATAGAGACCATCCCGGCTAACACGGTGAAACCCCGTGTCTTCTAAAAAGTACAAAAAATTAGCCGGGCGTGGTCACAAGCACCTATAGTCCCAGCTACTGTGGAGGCTGAGGCAGGAGAATGGTGCGAACTCGGGAGGCGGAGCTTGCAGTGAGCCGAGATCGCGCCACCGCACTCCAGCCTGAGCGACAGAGCGAGACTCCGTCTCAAAAAAAAAAAGAAAAGAAATAGTGAATAGGAATAGCAAAGTACATAAACATTTCTAAGTAGGCTCCTGTGTGTGTGTTGAAAAATATACGCATATATACGTTTGTGTAAATACAGAAAATTTATGCAAGTGTATGCAACAAATTTTTAATAAGGTACCTCTGGGGAATGAGGCTGGGAGTACCAGGACGGAAGGGAGACTTACTTTTTATTTTATGCTTCTCTTTAAAGTTTGTATTTTTATACCAAGATCATGTATTACTCTTTCAATTTAAAAAGAAAGTTCAAAACCACTACCACCATAGCAAAAACATTAATATCAGTTCACAGTGTAAACTGCCAACTTCCAGGCGCTGTCTTTGGCAGTGAGCCAGCCACGGATCTGCTTAAAGCTGTTAGAGGCTTGGCTTCAGAAGGTAGAAGCAGGACTTTCAAAAGAGGCACATTGTAGGTGGAATCTGGTCCAAGAAAATTTATCCCCAAACATAGGGTTAATTGACCCCCCTGTTTTGTCTTTTGTAACTACCCTAAGGCTGATATTCAGCTAGGATACATTGGCATGGGCATATCATTTATAACTGGGGTCCATTCTGACTGGGCTGGTCCCCTTTCAGAGTATTTTGTGCCCATGAGGGACCAGCTGTTAAATATCTTGAATATCATGTCTAACCTGTTCCACTCAGTATGCCTACCTCTTCTTGTGCCTTCAACCATCTGAATATGTCCTTAACTCTTGGTTAGTAACCTTGTCTCCTGATAGTGAACATTTTTGGGGACGTATTTGGCCACAGGTAATATAATATCAACCAAAATAGCTTCAACAATATACAGTTATTGGGCTGGGCATGGTGGCTCATGCCTGTAATCCCAGCACCTTGGGAGGCTGAGGCAGGAGGATTGCTTGAGTCCAGGAGTTCGAGACCGGCCTGGGCAACAAAGTGAGACCTTATCTCTATAAAAAATAAAAAAACTTAGCCATGCATGGTGGCATGTGCCCGTGGTCCCAGCTACTCAGGAGCTTGAGGCAGGAGGATCGCTTGAGCCTGGGAGGTTGAGGCTGCAGTGAGCTGTGATCACACCACAGCTTGGGCAACAGAGTGAGACCATGTCTCAAAACAAACAAACAAACAAACAATACAGTTATTTTGTATAACAAGTCTGGTTAGTAGTGGGCAGTTTTGGGGTTAATTAGGTGGCTCAATAGTGTCGTTGGAGACCAGAAGCCTTCTCACTTTTTTTTCTGCCATCTTGGCATGTTGACAAATCTCCTTGGCGGTCATCAGATGGCTGCTGTAGCACTGAGTATTGTCTTCACATGACAACACCTTAACAAGATGGTTAAGGAGGAGGATATAGTGGACCTTTTCCTCTTGTGATTCTTTCTCTTTCTTATTTTTAACGAATGAGTAAAATCTTCCCTAACAGCCATGAGTAGGTGTCCACTTGTGTGTGTGTGTGTGTGTGTGTGTGTGTGTGTGTGTGTGTGTGTTTTGAGACAGAGTCTCGCTCTGTGGCCCAGGCTGGAGTGCAGTGGTATGATCTTGGCTCACTGCAACCTCTACCTCCCAGGTTCAAGCAACTCTTCTGCCTCAGCCTCCTGAGTAGCTGGGACTACAGGTGCACGCCACCATGCCTGGTATTTTTTGTATTTTAATAGAGATGGGGTTTCACTGTGTTGCCCAGGCTGGTCTCAAACTCCTGAGCTCAGGCAATCTGCCTACCTCGGCCTCCCAAAGTGCTAGGATTACAGGTGTGAGCCACCGTGCCCGGCCCCACTTGTGTTTTACTAGCCAGAACTAAGTCATGTGACTACCCTTAGACCAACCAATTACTGACAATGAGGATGAGCTTTGGACTAATTATGATTAATCTTTTTCAGTTGTGCATACTGACCCTGAATCAAATCAGGTTTCTGCCTACAAGAAGGAAGAAGAAATGGCAGCTAGGTAAGTAATCAGCTATGACTGGCACTCATACCTCTTTAGTTTATGTTCTCTTTAACTTGGAATTCCATCAATAGTCTGTTGCTTGGCTGGGTACGGTGGCTCACGCCTGTAATCCCAGCACTTTGGGAGGCCGAGGCAGGTGGATAGCTTGAGCCTGGGAGCTTGAGACCAGCCTGGCCAACATGGCGAAACCCTGTCTCTACAAAAATTAGCCAGGTGTGGTAGCTTGTGTCTGTAGTCCCAGCTACTCTGGAGGCAGAGTTTGCAGCAATTAGAGATGGTGCCATTGCACTCCAGCCTATGTGACAGAGTGAGACCTTGTCTTTAAAAAAAAAAAAAAAAAGAGTAGTCTGTTGCTTCTTTCTTTCCATTTTGAAATAATGTTCATGTTTCTTATTATAAAAGTAATGTATGCTCATTGCTAATTAAAGGGAATATAGAATACACAGAGAAAATAAATCAACACGTATGTGTGTGTATGTGTGTGTGTGTGTGAGTGTGTGTATGTATTAGTCAGGGTTCACCAAAGAAACAGAAACTATATGATATATATGTTAATTAATTAATTTATTTTTGAGATAGAGTCTTGCTCTGTCGCCCAGGCTGGAGTGCGGTGGCATGATCTCGGTTCACTGCAGCCTCCGCCTCCCAGGTTCAAGCAATTCTCCTGCCTCAGCCTCCTGAGTAGCTGGGATCACAAGTGCTCACCATCATGCCCGGCTAATTTTTTATTTTTAGTAGAGACGGAGTTTCAACATGTTGGCCATGCTGGTCTTGAATTCCTGACCTTAAGTGATGTGCCCGTCTCGGCCTCTCAAAGTGCTGGGACTACAGGCGTGAGCCGCCACGCCCGGTCTGAACCAATATGATATATATGGATATATAGTAAGATATATATTGTGACGGATTGGTTCGCATGATTGTGGAGGCTGAGAAGTCCCATAATCTGCCATATGTAAGCTGTAGATTGTGACATTGTGGTAAAATAAGAAATACATATTTGTTCTCTCTGCCTGGTTCCTGGCACAGAGCCCCCAATCCCTTGGAATTCCTGGGTGATAGGAGGATCTTTTGTTCTAATGAGGTGACTCTTGGTAGGCTTCTGGATGGGAGTTGGTCACCAGAAAGACCAAGCCATGATTAGAAGCTTGGAACTTTCAGCTTCAACCCCCATCCTCTGGGAAGGAGAGAAGGACTGGAGACTGAGTCGATAATCAATCATGCCTATGTGATAAAGCTGCCATAAAAATCCCTGAGCTATGGGATTCAGAGAGCTTCCCCGTTGCTGAACACATGGAGGTACCAGAGGGTTGCGTGCTGACAAGGGCACAGAAGCTCCATGCCCCTTCCTGCATATCTCACCCTATGCATCTCTTCTCTTTGGTTGTTCTTCTGTGTTCTTTTTAAGGTCCTTTATATTAAATGGGTAAACATAAATAGTTTCCCTGAGTTTTGTAAGCCATGCTAACAAATTAATTGAACCTGAGGAGGGATTCATGGAAACTCCCAATTTATGGCCAGTTGGTCAGATATACAGTCACAACCTGGAGAACTTGTGACTGGCATCTAAAGTGGGGGCACTCTCCTGGGACTTCTTGTGGGACTGAGCCCTTAACCTGTGGTGTCTGATGCTAACTCCAGGTAGATAATGTCAGAATTGAGTTAAATTGTATATACCCAGTTGGCACCTGATGGAGAATTGGCTGATGACACACATTTTGGTGACTAGAGGTGAAGTATTGTATTGAGTGGTGAGTGTGTGAGGGTAGGAAAAGCGATTTGGTTTTTCCTATCTCAGACACCAGGAGAGTTGGTGATGTAGTTCCAGTCCAAGCCCAAAGGCCTGAGAACCAGGGAAGTCAATGGTATAAGTCCCAGTTCTAATCCAAAGACCTAAGAACAGGGTAGAGGGTGGGGTGTGGCAGATGGCATGTATCCTGGTCAGAGTCTGAAGGCCTAAGAAGTGGGAGGCTGATGGTTCAAGTCCCAGTCTAAGTCCGAAGGCCTAAGAACTGGAAGCACTGATGTCTGAGGGCCTGAGAAGATGGATATCCAAACTTTAGCTGAGAGAATGAATTCGCCCTTCCTCCGCCTTTTCATTCTATTTGGGTTCTCAACAGATTGGATCATGCCCACCCACATTGGTGAGGGTATCTTCTTTACTCAGTCTGCTGATCCCGATGCTAATCTCTTCCAGAAACATCCTCACAGACACACCCAGAGAGAATGTTTTACCAGTTAGCTATACATTCTTAAGCCCAGTCAAACTGAGACATAAAATTAACCATCACAGAATGTATGTGTATGTGCATATATATATATATGTGTGTGTGTGTGTGTGTGTGTGTGTGTGTATGATGATCTAGTTTAATATCTCTGTGCGTGTCTGTGATCTAGTTTAATATCCTACCTATTTTCACTTAACATTTCATGATGAACTTGCTGTTTCCCCTCTTGGTCCCAGCCCCCTCTTCACACATGTCCAAAATAAGGAAAAGAAGCACAGAATACATCATAAGTCTCAGTGAAGTGATTAATTAGATCAAAGTCACATTTGATTTGGAAATGTCCTTGTTTCGTCGCTCGTGACTGGTCTCCACATGGGCATGCCATCTTAACACTGTCCACTGAAAAGCACCCTTGTGGGTTCTGAGGACATTTCAACACCTGGGTGCAATGTGAGAATGAGGGAACATACTCCTCTCCAGGCTGTCTAGAGCTTGACATTGGGACTGACCACACCTTCATGGAGAATCTTGGCCTCATCCTTGCAGGCCTGACATAGTTTAGTTGTGTCGTACCTAAATCTCAGCTTGAATGGTAACTCCTACAATCTCTATGTGTTGTAGGAGGGACCCAGTGGGAGGTAATTGAATCATGGGGGCGGTTCTTTCTCATGCTGTTCTCGTGATAGTGAATAAGTCTCATGAGATCTGATGGTTTTATAAAGAGGAGTTTCCCTGCACAGGTTCTCTCTCTTTGCCTGCCGCCATCTACGTAAGATGTGACTTGCTCCTCCTTGCCTTCTGCCATGATTGTGAGGCCTCCCCAGCCATGTGCAACTGTAAGTACATTAAACCTCTTTCTTTCGTAAATTGCCCAGTCTTGAGTATATCTTTATTAGCAGCATGAAAATTCTGCTAATAAACACCTGTATCTCCAAACAAGCTGATAGCTTCAACTGTTATATAAAGTATACACATGCTCAGTGTTGGTGAGAGGGGTTAATCTTTGTCTTCACGAAACATTGCTCATTCCTTCAGTGTGTCCTTATGTTGGATTATAGGGAGCTGTGCACAGGAGTCTCTCTTGCTAAGCTGGACCTTTGGGAGCCACAGATGGGAAGCCGTTTGCCCCTCGCATAAGTTCCCTGATTATTCAATATGTCCCCAGTATACTGTCACTTCAGGAGGCCCTACTTTAGAAGAAACATGGTCTATGATGGTGCTGTGGATTATCTGTTTTTGTTGTTGTTTATTTGTTTTTTGAGACTGAGTCTCACTCTGTTGTCCAGGCTGTAGTGCAGGGGTGCAATCTCGGCTCATTTAAACCTCTGCCTGCCAGGTTCAAGTGATTCTTCTGCCTCAGCCTCCAAAGTAGCTGGGATTACAGGCACCCACCACCATGCCTAGCTAATTTTTGTATTTTTAGTACAGATGGGGTTTCACCATGTTGGCCAGGCTGGTCTTGAACTTCTGACCTCAAGTGATCTGCCCACCTTGGCTTCCCAAAGTGCTGGGATTACAGGCTGTTTTTCTTAATGTATAGTTAATTTTGGTTACAGAGCTGGCAGAGACAAATGCCTATTGGCAATAGGATTTAGACCTATTATCTGAGGACGGTTCCTCAAAGCTCAAAGTGAAGGAAAAAAGAGATAAAAGCAGATCTTTTTTTGCAATTCTGTTCCTTCAGGCCATGAAACTTAAATGTCATCTTTTAGGTAATGGAGAGCCATGAAAGTCTTTAACCTTAACTCTATGAGGACCTCCTTGGCAACATGTGGCAGATTATATTTTCCAAAGATGGCCATAATGTCTCCCATCCCCCATGCTTTTCTGCAATGTGACCTTGTCATTCCCTCATCAAGAGGTGGATTGAATTCTCCCACTGAATCTGGCTGGCCTTAGTGATTCCCATGTGAGGTTATCAGATTTGGTAAATGAAAATGCAAGATGCCCAGTTGAATTTGAATTTCAGATGAACAACAAATGGCATTTGTTCTATATAAGTATGTCTCATTAATATAGTTCGGATGTTTGTCCCCACCCAAATCTCTTGTTGAATTGTAATCTGCAATGCTGGAGGTGGGGCCTGGTGGGAGGTATTTGGGTCGTGGGGGCAGATCCCTCATTTCTTGGTGATGTCTTTGTGATAGTGAGTGAGTTCTCAAGAGATGTGGTCATTTAAAAGGGTGTGGCACCTCCCTCCAACTTTCTCTTGCTCTTACTTTTACCATGTGAAGTGCCTGCTCCTGCTTCATCTTGTGCCATGAATGAAGGTTCCAGAGGCCTCCCCAGAAGCAGATGCCAGAACTATGTTTCCTGTAAAATCTCAGAACCCTGAGCCAATCAAACCGTTTTTCCTTATAAGTGACCCAGCCTTAGGTATTTCTTTATAGTAATGCAAGAATGGCTTAATACAGACAATTGGTACTGGGAGTGGTGCATTGCTATAAAGATACCTGAAAATGTGAAAGCAGCTTTGTAGCTGGGTACCAGGCAGAGGTTGGAAGAATTTAGAGGGCTTAGAAAAAGACAGGAAGATAAGGATAAGTTTGGGACTTCTTAGAGACTGGTTAAATGGTTGTGACCAAAATGCTGATAGTGATATGGACAGAGAAATCCAGGCTGACAAGGTCTTAGATGGAAATGAGGAACTTATTGGGAATTGAAGCAAAGGTTGTGCCTGTTATGCCTTAGCAAAGAGCTTGGCTGCATTCTGTTCATGCCCTAGGAATGTGTGGAAGTTTG
Source organism: Homo sapiens (assembly GCF_000001405.40). Classification (NCBI taxonomy): domain Eukaryota; kingdom Metazoa; phylum Chordata; class Mammalia; order Primates; family Hominidae; genus Homo; species Homo sapiens. The sequence goes on from NC_000002.12 coordinate 62,277,494, forward strand.
AATTAAAGAGAGATGATTTAGGGTATGTGGCAGAGGAAATTTCTAAGGAGCAAAGCATTCAAGAGGTAGCCTGGTGGCTTCTAACAGCCTATGCTACACTCAAATGTAGGAGCAAGTAAATGACTTAAAGTTGGAACCTATATTTAAAAGGGAGACAGAGCATAGAGAAAATTTGCAGCCTGATCATGTGGCAGAGAAAGAAAATGCTTTTTCCGGAGGGGAATTCAAGCAGGCTGTGGAGCAACCACTTGCTAGAGAGATTTGCATGACTGAAAAAGAGCCAAGTGTTAATAGCCAAGACAATGGGAAAAAGGCCTTGAAGGCATTTCAGAGACCTTCAGGCAGCCCCTCCCATCACAGGCTCTGAGGCCTAGGAGGACTAAATGGTTCTGAGGGCCAGGCCCAGGGTCCTGCTGTTCTGTGCAGCCTTGGGACACTCCTCTCCACATCCTGGCTGCTCTAGCTCCAGCCTTGGCTCAAAGGGCCCCAGATACTTCTCATGCTGTCACTTTGGAGAATACAAGTCTCTATAAGCCTTGGTGGCTTCCACATGGTGTTAAGCCTGTGGGTGCACAGAGTGCAAGAGTGAATGAGGCTTGGCACCCTCTACCTAGATTTCAGAGGATGTATAGAAAAGCCCAGGTGCCCAGTCAGAAGACTACTGCAGGGGCAGAGCCCCACAGAGAACATCTACTAGGGCAGTGTGGAGGGGAAATGTGGGGTTGGAGCCCCCACACAGTCTACACTGGGGCACTGCCTAGTGGAGTTGTGAGAAGGGTGCCAATGCCCTCCAGATCCAAGAATGATAGATCCACCAGCAGCTTGCGCATTGTACCTGGAAAAGCTGCAGGCTCTCAACAACCTGTTACAGCAGCTTCAGGGGCTGGACCCTGTAAAGCCACAGAGGTGGAGCTGCCCAAGGCCTTGAGAGCCCAGCCCTTGCACCAGTGTGCCTTGGATGTGGGACTTGGAGTCAAAGGAGATTATTTTGGAGCCTTAAGATTTAATGACTGCCCTGCTAGGTTTTGGACTTGCATGGGCCCTGTAGTCCCTTTCTTTTGGCTGATTTCTCCCTTTTGGAATGGGAGTATTTACACAATGCCTATGCCCCCATTGTATCTTGGAAGTAAATAACTTGTTTTTAATTTTACAGGTTCACAGATGGAAGGGACTTGCCTTTTCTCAGATGAGAATTTGGACTTTGGACTTTTGAGTTAGTGCTAGAATGAGTTAAGACTTAGGGGAACTATTGGGAAGGCATGATTGTATTTCACAATGTGAGGACACAAGATTTGGGAGGGGCTGGGGTAGAATGATATATTTTGGATGTCTGTCCCTGCTCAAATCTCATGATGAATTGTAGTCTGCAGTGCTGGAGGTGGGGCCTGATGGGAGGTATCTGGGTCATGGGGATGGATCCCTCATGACTTGGTGCTGTTTTCAAGATAGTGAGTGAGTTCTTGACACATCTGGTCATTTAAAAGTGTGTGGCACCTCACCTCCCACTCTCTCTTGCTCCCGCTTTTACCATGAAGTGTCTGCTCCTGCTTCATCTTCTACCATGAGTAAAAGCTTCCTGAGGCCTCCTCAGATGCTGAGCAGATGCTGGCACCATGTTTCCTATAAAGCTTGCAGAACCATAAGCCAGTTAAACCTCTTTTCTTTGTATTTCTTTGTAGGAATGCAAGTACAGCCTAATGCACCCATGCAATATTTGTATTTTATCTGGCAACCCTACTGGCATGTAACCAATAGAATGTGGCAGAAGTGATGCACATGACTCAAGGATAGATTACAAGAAGCCTTGAGCTTCCGCTTTGATCTGTTAGAACTCTCACTCTCCTGATGCTTCTCTTAGGACACTCTCTCTAGCAGCCATTGTATGAGAAGCCAAAACCAGTCAAAGATCTCAGCTGAGTCCAGCCTTCAAGTTATGCCAGCCCAGGCACCAGGCATTTGAGTGAGGAAGCCTCCAGAGCAGCCTTTCCAAAAGAACTTTTTACAGTGATGGAAATGTTTAATATCTGTACTGTCCAATATGGTAGACACTAGCCACATGTGACTAGCAAGACTTAAAATGTGATCAGTGCCACCTAGTAACTAAATTTTAAATTGCATTTAATTTTAATTCACATTTAAATAGCCACATGTGACTAGTGGCTACTGTACTGGACAGTGCAGTTCTCGATGATTTCAGCACCCAGCCTTTGGAGTCACCCCCTACCTGTTTGCATCTTCCTAGCTGAGGCCCCAGGCACTATGGTGCAGAGAAAAGACACCCAAGAGTGCCCTGTTCAAATGCTCAACTCGCAGAATCTGGGAGCATAATAAAATGATTGTTTTATGTTGCTAAGCTTGGGGTGGTTTATTCTGCAGCAACAGATAATCAGAACAAGGTGAAATGTGCTAAGAAGAGACTAAGTAGAAGAGTGTTCCAAAATTAAAGGCCCCGGGGCCAGGAAGTGAGTTAATGAAGAGAACAGGCCTGGGGACTATAGCCAAGGCCCAGGTTGGTGGAAGATCTGAGATCTGGGCTCTACCTCTTACTATCAGGGAGATCTCAAGCTAGTTTTTTGTTTGTTTGTTTGTTTGTTTTGTTTTTTTGTGAGACGGAATCATGCTCTGTCGCCCAGGCTGGAGTGCAGTGGCGTGATCTCGGCTCACTGCAAGCTCTGCCTCCCGGGTTCACGTCATTCTCCTGTCTCAGCCTCCCGAGTAGCTGGGACTACAGGTGCCCGCCACCATGCCTGGCTAATTTTTTGTATTTTTAGTAGAGATGGGGTTTCACCATGTTAACCAGGATGGTCTTGATCTCTTGACCTCGTGATCTGCCCGCCTTGGCCTCCCAAAGTGCTGGGAATTCAGGCGTGGGCCACCATGCCCAGCCTTCAAACTATTTTTAACCAGGCTCTACTTGTTACCAGCAGGGAGATCTCAAGCTACTTTTAACTCTCAATTTCTTTCTTTCTTTTCTTTTCTTTTTTTTTTTTTGAGACAGAGGAGTTTCACTCGTGTTGCCCAGATTGGAGTGCAATGGTGTGATCTTGGCTCAATGCAACCTCTGCCTCCTAGGCTCAAGCGATTCTCCTGCCTCAGCCTCCATAGTGGCTGGGACTACAGGAGCACACCACTATGACTGGCTAATTTTTTATTTTTAGTAGAGTTGGGATTTCATCATGTTGGCCAGGCTGGTCTCGACCTCTTGACCTCAGGTGATCCGCCGCCTTGGCCTCCCAGAGTGCTGGGATTACAGACATGAGCCACCACGCCCGGCCTAATCCTTAATTTCTTAACCTACAAAGAGGGACTAAAATACCTACACAGGTTGGCTTAACATGTTGTTGGAAGATCAAGTGAGCCTGTGATAGGAGAACACATTGTTTGTTCATCACATCAGAATCTACCTCTCTTATACCTGCTCAGTCCTCTACCCTGCAATAGCTTTGAAAACCGGCCATCAAGGCTCTCATTTCACTTGCAAGAACTCTAGTCTTAGGAGCCAAATTCTTACTACACACACATTGATCTTGAATTGAGTTGCTCTGGAAAATTTTCAACTGCATCAGAAAAATCAACATTTTTGGGGCACAATTTAGATGAAAACTCACTGTTAAAAGAAATTCCATTGTTTTTCTGTGGATTCTGTGTGCTCAGTTTCTGTGACACCTTCAACTCTGTGTACTTGGCTAAAGCTGGTTTCCAATAACAGTCATCCAGGTGGTCTTGGGAGGCAAAGCCCACTTGTCTGGATGGACTTGCTTCAGGGACTGGGCATCTGTGTTTTGGGTCTCAATGCCCTCTTAGATTTTGGGAGCATCAAGGGAATTGTTGCTTGAAACTGAATTCTGGCTGAGAAAGAGGAGTGAGCTCATGCGTAATATCTAGGGAAAAACATGTGAAATGTGTATAGTCAATACACACTAGACATTAGGAAGAATGATTTCAAAAAAGGTCAGGAGAAAGATAAATAGCCAAAGGCATGATCCCATGTTTGAACGGAAAGAGTGGAGACTTTAGAATGAGGCAGCCTTGGGTTTGAACTCTGGTTCTGCCACTTATAGCTTCAGTGATCTCTGAGACAGTTTTCTTATCTGTACAAGGGGTATCATACCTACCTCATAGGGTATTGTGAAGAGTAAATTAGGACACAACAATACAGATATTTAATCATTTAAAATAAATATAAAAATATTCAATATACAATAAAATAAATCAAACAGATATTCAATAAATACATAGATATTTGGTAAATACAGATCTCCCTCCAAAGAGAAGGTGGCTCAGGAAGGCTGGGGGCTCTTGAAGATAAAGTGGGACAACACGGCAGCCAATCATCTTGGTGAGGAAGGAAAAGGCAGGCAGCCAAAGCTGTCAGAAATCAAACAGGAATGTGGTTTCACTTTTCCACCTACAAAGAAGCAAAGATGAAAACAAGTAAAAATGTCTAGTGTTGAAGATGATTTAGGGGCTTGTGTTCCCTCACCCTTCTGAGTGGGAAGGTAAATCCCACATACTTCTGGAGGCCAATTTGACAATTTCTTAATATCTTAAAAATCCACCAGTCCTCTTTCTTGAAATGAATCTTAAGGGAATAATTAGAAAAGTTAACCAAAAAGAATATTCAAGGGTGCTGTTGATTAATACCAGAAAACTAGAAACAGCCTAAATAAATAACAATGATAAATTGGCTAAATAATTGCTTTAACTATATAAGAGAATAATGTAGCCATAAGTGTAGACGATGTAGATCTGTATTTATCGACACAGATTGATATTCAAAAAATGTAATGTGACAATGCAGGCTAACAAATAATATGAATAATATATATCTAAAAGTACCTATTTGTTTAATGTGGACCTGGAAATATGCCTGCTATGGTTTGAATGTATCCCCCAAAGTTCATGTGTTAGAAACTTAATCCCTAATGTAGAGGTGTTGAGGGGTGGGATCTTCAAAAGGTGTTTAGGTCATGAAGGTTCTGTCCTCATGAATGGATTTATGCTATTACCACAGGAGTGGGTTCGTTATTGTTGGAGTGGGTTCCCTATAGAAGGATGAGTTCAATCCCTTTTTGTCTCTTTCTAACTCTCTCACCTTCCACTATGGGATGATGCAGCAAGAAAACTCTCACCAGATGCCAGCCCTTCAATTTTGTATTTCCCACCCTCCAGAACTGTGAGCCAATAAATTTCTGTTCATTATAAATTACCCAGTCTGTCGTATTCTGTTATAGCAATATAAAATGGATGAAGACAATGTCTATCTTCATATTAATTGCTTATGATTGGTCGGTGGATAGGATGTGCTTTTAATTGATATACAATTCACATACCATAAACTTCACCGCTTTCATGTATACAATTCAGTGTTTTTTAGTATATTCATGGAGTTGTGCAATGATCATCACTGTCTCATTCCATTTTCATCCTGAAAGAACATTTTCACAACCTGATAAAGAAACCCCATATCCATTCGTAGTCACTTCTCTCTCAAGTCCTTGGAAACCACTAACCTACATGCTGTCTCTATAGATTTGCCTATTCTGGACACTTCATGTAAATGGAAGCATACAATATGTGACCTTTCATGTCTGAGTTCTTTTAACATAATGTCTTCAAGGCACGTCCACATTGTAGCATGTCAGTACTTTATTCCTTTCTATTGCCAAATAATATTACATTGCCATATTTTGTTTAGTCATTCATCAGATGATGGACATTTGAGTTGTGTGTACTTTTTGGCTATCATGAATAATGCTCCTATAAACACTTGAATACAACTTTTGTGTGAACATATATTTCAATTCTTTTGGGTTTATACTTAGGAGTGGAATTGCAGGATCATATAGTAATTCTATGTTTAATTTTTTGACTAATCCTCAAACTGTTCTCCATAGTAGTTGTACCATTTTACATTCCCATCAGCAACATATGAGATTTCCAATTTCTCCACATCCTTGCCAACACTTGCCATTTTCTGTTTTTTTGTTTTTTTTGTTTTTTTGAGATGGAGTCTCATTCTGTCACCCAGGTTGGAGTGCAATGGCGCCATCTCCACTCACTGCAAGCTCTGCCTCCCAGGTTCACGCCATTCTCCTGCCCCAGCCTCCTGAGTAGCTGGGACTACAGGTGCCTGCCACCACACCTGGCTAATTTTTTTTGTATTTTTAGTAGAGACGGGGCTTCACTGTGTTAGCGAGGATAGTCTCGATCTCCTGACCTCATGATCTGCCTGCCTTGGCCTCCCAAAGTGCTGGGATTACAGGCGTGAACCACCGTGCTTGGCCCATTTTCTGTATTTTTATAATAGCAACCCTGTTAATGGATGATGTAACATGACATCTCACTGTCATTTTGATTTGCATTTCCCTCATGACTGACAATGAGCATCTTTTCATATCCTTATTGGTCATTTATCTTCTTTGGAGAAATGTCACAATCCTTTGCCAGTTGGTAGGATTTTGATTGTTTTCCTTTTGCTTTTCTGCATTTCTTATTTGGATGCAACAGCAAGAGTTGCTTGTGTAAGAACAAATAAAAGAACCAGGATAGAGCCAGGTGTGGTGGTACATGCCTATAGTCCCAGCTACTTGGGATGCTGAGTTGGGAGGATTGCTTGAGCCCAGGAGTTCAAGTTCAGCCTCAGCAATGTAATGAGACCTTGTTTCATTTAAATGTGTGTGTATATATGTATGTATGTGCACAAAAGATTTGACCAGACTTCACAAAAGAAAATATATGAATACCTAAGGCTGGGTGTGGTGGCTGATGCCTGTGATCCTAGCACTTTGGAAGGCTGAGATGGCCGGATCACCTGAGGTCAGGAGTTTGAGACCAGCCTGCCCAGCATGGTGAAAGTCTGTCTCTACTAAAAATACAAAAAATTAGCTGGGCCTGGTGGCTCATGCCTGTAATTCCAGCTACTCGGGAGGCTGAGGCAAGAGAATCGCTTGAGCCTTGGAGGCAGAGGTTGCAGTGAGCCGAGATTGTGCAACTGCACTCCAGCCTGGGTAACAAGAGTGAAACTCCATCTCAAAAAAAAAAAAAAAAAGAAAATATATCAATAAACATACTAAAAGGTACTCAACATCATTATTTATCAGAGGAAAGCACATTAAAACCACAATACAATACCACTACCTAACCACTAGAATGACTAGGATTAAAAGATTGACAGAACCAACTGTCAATCTTGCTGGCAAGGATGTGGAACAACTGGAATTCTCATACATTGCTGGTAGAAATGTAAAATGTATAACCACTTTGGAAAATAGTTTGGCAGTTTCTCAGAAAGTTAAGTTAAATATATACTTACAATGGAACCTAGCACTTCTAGGTATTTATCCAAGAGAAATGAAACATACGCCCATGAAAAGACTTACGCATGAATGTTCATGGCATTATTTATAGTGGCCCCAATCTGAAAATGACCCAAATGTCTATCAACAGAGGAATGAATAAACAAACTATGGTATAGTCATACTGTAATTGCCTGACAGGTTCTTCCTGCCCACTGCACAGACAAAACCAAATCACTGAGACCGTTGTATTGTAGTGGAGAAAGGATTTAATTAATACAAGGCCACCTAGTGGAAGGACTGGTGTTATCTCTCAAATCAGTCTCCCCAAGGGCTTGGAAGTTAGGGTTTTTAAAGAATAGTTTGGTGGGTGAGGGACTAGGGAACGAGTGCTGCTGATTGGGTTGAGGATGCAATCATAGGAGTATGGAAAACAGTCCTTGTGCACAGAGTCTGCCTCTGGGTCGGGGGCCACGGACCAGTTGAGTCATGAGTCACAAGTCCAGGTGGGGTCAGTTGGGTTCCAGAATGGAAAAGTCTGAAAAACATCTCAAAAGACCAATCTTAGGTTCTACAATAGTGATGTTATCTGTTGGAGCAATTGGAGAAATCACAAATCTTGTGACTTCTGGCCATGTGACTCCTGAGCAGTAAGGAGTTATAGAGACTATACCTACAGCTGGGCATAATAGCTCATGCCTGTAGTCCCAGCACTCTGGGAGGCTGAGGTGGGAGGATTGCTTGAGCACAGGAGTTTAAGACCAACCTCGGCAACATGATGGGATGCCATCTCTACAAAAAATACAAAAATTAGCTGGGTGTGGTAGTGCACACCTGTAGTCCCAGCTACTCAGGAGGCTGAGGTAGGGGGATCACTTGAGTCTGGGAGGTTGAGGCTGCAGTGAGTTGTGATGGCACCACTGCACTGCAGCCTGGGGGACAGAGTGACACCTGGTTTCAAAAAAGAAAGGAAAAGAAAGGAAGGAAAGGGGAGTGGAAGGGAGAGGTGGAGGCGGGGAAGAGGAAGGGGAAGGGGAGGGAAGGGATTACACCTATATTTTAGCAGAGTTCATGTCTCCTCTCATAATCCTAATCTTATGGCCTTTCATTAGTTTTGGTCCCTGAGCAAGGGGGCAGAGGTTAGTTTTAGGGAGGGACTATTATCGTCTTTGTTTCCAAGTTAAACTGTAAGCTAAATTCCTCCCATGGTTAGCTTGGCCTGTGCATAGGAATGAGCAAAGATGCCAGCCTGCGAGGCTAAAAGCAAGATGGAGTCAGCTGTGTTATATTTCTCTCACTATCATAGTCTTTGCAAAGGCAGTTTCAACACAAGGGCTACTACTCAATAATAAAATGAACAAACCGCTGATGCATGCAAGAACATAGATACTTCTCAAAAACATCATGCTAAGCAAAGAAAGCCATACACAGAAGAGTATATGCTGTGTGAGTCTATTGACATGAAATTGCCAGAGGCTGGGGGTGGGAGAAGGAATTAACTGCGAGGAGGCAGTCAAGGGAAATCAGGGGGTGATGGAAATGTTCTCCAACTTGACTGTGATGGAGTGAGCATCTAAAAACTAATAGAACTGCACAGTAAAAAGGTACATTCAATTGTATGCAAATTATACCTGAGAAAGTTAATTTAAAAAGCAGTAGAAGTAGAGGAGGAAGAGGAGTAGGGATAGAAATAGCAAGAAGATGAACGGTAGAAGAGGAGGAGGAGAATCAGGAGAAGAAAATTACCATGTAGAAATGATAATACGCTCCCAGTCAATCCATCGCCCACGATGTGCCTGTCACTGTTAAGTGCCAGGGAGGGGTATTCTGTAAAAAGTGAAAGACCTGTCCCCTGTCACTAGGAGTTTACAGTCTATTGGAGAGGTGAAATATTCTTCAGAATCCCAAAGTGTGAGAAATGACAAATCAAATTCATATGCTCCCCCCACTAGGGTTAGTGGGAAATCAGTCTCTGTCATTGTTTAGGATTTCCTCCCTCCTCCCCCACTTCATCCACCCAGCCCAAGGTGTGCATGTGACGCCCAGGCTTACACTGTCTTAGGGAAGAGGGAAGAGGCCCCGTCTTCGGTCCAGCATTGGCTGCTTCTCCTCGTGCAATTTGTCCACAGCCCTTCTGATCTCATCCATGCTCATGACTCCTCCTCTTTCTTTTTATTTTTTATTTTTTTTGAGATGGAGTCTCGCTCTGTCGCCCAGGCTGGAGGTCAGGGGCGCGATCTCAGCTCACTGCAAGCTCCGCCTCCGGGTTCACGCCATTCTCCCGCCTCAGCCTCCCGAGTAGCTGGGACTACAGGCGCCCGCCATCATGCCCAGCTAATTTTTTTGTATTTTTAGTAGAGACGGGGTTTCACCGTGTTAGCCAGGATGGTCTCGATCTCCTGACCTCGTGATCCGCCCACCTTGGCCTCCCAAAGTGCTGGGATTACAGGCGTGAGCCACCGCGCCCGGCTGACTCCTCCTCCTTCAAACCAAGCTAGGACACTTCTTTGCAGAGGTTCTCAGGCCTCTGCCTCTGGTGCCACAGTCGCTGACCTTCAGGACGTGTCATTCCCAGGGTGCAGATCCCCCAGTCATGAGGCCTGCAGAAGGCCGATGGCTCACGCACCTCATCCTTCCCTCCACTTTGGCTGCTTCCTTCTCTAGCCTCCTTCCAAGCCATCCCACCAGCTCTTTACTCACTTCCTAAAAATAAAGCCTTCACCTCTCTGGGTAGGGGAAACCCATGCCCCAGGACTTGAGGCCTGGCTATCCAATAGGAGGAGAGGTATAGTTCATTTTTTTCATTATGCGCCTACAGCCCAGAAAACAAGGGGCAGTTACTTTTTCTTTTTTTTGTTGGGCCTCACTTTATCCCCCAGGCAGTGGTGCAATCTCAGCTCACTGCACCCTCAACTTCTGGGGCTCAAGCGGTCCTCCTACCTCAGTCCCCCAAGTAGCTGGGACTACAGGACATACTACCATGCCCAGCTTTGCCATGTTGACCAGGCTGGTCTTGAACTCCTGAGCTCAAGCAATCTGCCCACCTCAGCCTCCCAAAAGTGCTGGGATTACAGGTGTGAGCGACCGTACCCAGCCTGGGGCAATTAGTTTCTTAGCCTGGTTGTTCTATTAGACTGCTGCAGGGGTCTGGTTCTAAAAAGATAGAGGGTGTTGGATGTCCATTGTGGGTGAGATGGCTCAGAGGGTGATTAGTGCCTGTCAGTTGAGTGTGGTGACCTCGTGAGGGGTGGGGCTGGTGGCAGGGAGCCAGGAGCTCCTGAAACAGAGGATGCCTCAGTGTCCTGGCACTGTGCCCAGTCTGTCTGGGGCCAGTCTCTCACCAGCTGAAATGTATGTGGTTACAGGAGAAAGGGCACCACACTGGGTGACAGAGCAGCTAGTTTCAGGAGGTGTGAGCCCAAAGAAATCCTGGCTTTGGGGAATTTGAGGGAGGTGGCAGTTTCAGAGAATCTGAAAGTCAGCCCATAATCCAAAACCAAGGAGAGAAGGCACCAAGCTCCACCCAGCCTCTGGCCACTGGCTAACTCTGAATGGGAAATGGGCCTACTATTTGCTGTGCATAACCTGCCCATCCCCCAGGATTTCTAAGAAGTGCTTGGCCTGTGTTTCTTGGTTCTCCTGAGAGCCAGATGTTTAATAATTTGAGTACATTTGAACTTGAAAATGCAAAAACATCCTTCTAGCTGCATCCTCCTTTTCCTTCCAGGGCCAGAATGATGTAGTGGGAGAACTTGATTCTGAAATCAAATGGAAAGTGCTTTTGTTTCTGGAGGTTAGAAAAAAAAAATTGTCAAAGAGCCAGGGCCTCATCTCTAAAAAGAAAACGTGAAATGGGCCATGAGTCCTGCTTAATAATTCAGAGATCAAACAGAGCCAACAAGAAGCTGGAGTGAACGATCAGATATACTCACACCCTTCTCTTTTTATCAGCTTGCAAATATTCTCGTTGGCAGCTGGTTAGAGAGAAGCAGTCCATCACAAATAAGCTAAACCATGCGTTCATTCACTTATTCAACAAAATCTTCATGACCGCCTCTTATAGCAGACGTCGCTAGTGCTGGGGATGCAATCCAGAACCAGCATGTGTCCCTCTGCTTCAGGGACCTCAGGATCTATATCATGATTCTCAAACTTTCATGTCCATCAGACTCCCCTGGATGGCTTGTTAAAACACAGATTCCTGGGTCCTACCTGTGGAGTTTCCAATTCAATAGGTCTGGGATGGCCTGAGCATTTGTATTCCTGAAGAGTTCCCAAGTGATGCTGATATTGCTGGTCCTGGGACCACCCTTTGAAAACCACTGGGCAAAGCAACCATGTCAGCCAACCATTTTCACCTCTCAGCATTACATGGCTCACTGTAGGAAATTCGAAGCCCTGGATAGGTTGCTAGAGGCCTGAGCTTACCAGCCCAAGAGCTGTGGCCATCCCAGGCCCACATAGCAAAGGGCACAAATATCTTAAGGCACACTTATGTCTAGGGAGACTGTCCAGGGGCCCTGGAACCCTCCCGAGAGAGGAGGAGGTACAGCTTTGAGAGATCTTCTATTGACTTCTCAATGGAAATGGAGACCTCACAGCACCACCATTTCACCACCAGCCCAGTGAGAGCCTAGAGCTCTGGGAGCCTGAGTCTGGGCTGTGGTGCAACGTGTGGTGCAAGGCTTCCACGTTTTCATCCTGCCTCCACCTAGAGCCTCTGCTGATCCCTTCCTGTCACATTCTTGACAACCCAAATAGCTCATTTCCCTTCCATGCTCACAGCTGGAGTAGGCAGGTGAGATCCCAAATGGGCCTCGGAGGCCTTTTCCAACTGAGTGGACACAGAGACATCATATATATCCACATGTAATATAGCAAATGGCAGATCATCTTGTGGGTCAAAATCTGCAAAAATCATTGGTTTTTCTTCTAACAGCTTTATTGACATATAATTTACAATTCACCCATCTAAAGTACACAATTCAGTGTTTTTTAGTACAGTCACAAAGGTTGCCTGTTCATCTTCATAATCAATTTTAGAACATTTTCATCACTTCAAAAAGAAACCCTGTACCCTTTAGTCACCCATCCCTCAACCACCCCCCAGCTATAGGCAACAACTCACCTACTTTTTGTCTCTATCGATTTGCCTATTTTGGACATTTCATACACATGGAATCATGCTATATGTGGCCTTTTGTGATTGGCTTCAAAATTACTTTTAACAGGGACATGGGATGACCTACATGTGAGTCCAAAAGATCATTGGCAGAAAGACAAGGTGGAGACAAATGGTTTAGGTTTACTTAATCTTGGAGTTCCAGTTGTCCCAGGGTGCTAATTCCCACCTCAGGAGGCTGTGGTGGGGAGTATGAAGGACCAGCGCAGACCTGGTTCCCAGATGCTCAGGGTGGAGGAGACTTGCTAGTGAAGAGAAGAGGCCTAGTATAATATTGTAAAATATATATTTGGGCCGGGCGTGGTGGCTCATGCCTGTAATCCCAGGACTTTGGGAGGCTGAGGCAGGTGGATCACTTGAGGCCAGGAGTTTGAGACCAGCCTGGCCAACATGGTGAACCCCCCCATCTCTACTAAAAATACAAAAATTAGCCAGGCATGGTGGTGGGTGCCTGTAGTCCCAGCTACTTGGGAGGCTGAGGCAGGAGAATCGCTTGAACCCGGGAGGCGGAGGTTGCAGTGAGCTGAGATTGTGCCACTGCACTCCAGCCTGGGTGACAGAGCAAGACTCCATCTAAAAAAAATTATATATATATACACACACACACACACACACACACACACACACACACACACATATATATATATATATATATATATAGAGAGAGAGAGAGAGAGAGAGAGAGAGTCTTATTCCGGTCTCCTAGCATACTCCTAAAATCCTTGGGAACTCCAAAGTCTTTTTGTTTGCTAATGAGTTGATCCATGGCTGGCAGCCCCTACCTAACTTCAGGATGTGAGCTGGTCACCAAAAAGACCAAGGCAGGATTAGAGGGATGGAACTTTCAGCTCTCCCTGCAATTCCTTATCTTATGCATCTCTTCATTTGGAGGAGAGGGGGCTAAAGTTTGGGTTAAGCACCAAAGGCCAATGGCTTAATCATGCCTGCCTCCATAATAACCCGAAAAGTTCTGGTTCAGAGAGCTTCTGGACAGCTGAGCATGAGGAGGTTCTGGGAGGGTGGCAAATACTGAGAGGGCACGGAAGCTCCAGACTCCATACCTCAACTTATGTATCTCTTCATTTCCTTTGTAATAAGCTTTATAAAAAAAAAAACGGTAAATGTGTTTCCTTGAGTTCTGTGAGCCACTCTAGCAAATTAATTGAACCCAAGGAGGGGGGCATGGGAACCTGGATCAATAGCCAGTTGGCAAGAAGCACAGACAAAATAATGAAACCACCTTTGCAAAGATGGTGATAATGAGAGAAATCTAACATGGCTGACTCCATCTTGCTTCTGGCCTCACAGGCTGGCTGTCTTCACTCATTCCTGGGCACAGGCTGAGCTAACCATGGGAGGAAGTTAGTTTATAGTTGAATTTGGAAGCAAAGATGATAACAGTCCCTTCCTAAAACATATCCCCTCCCTGTTTGGGGACTAAAACTGCCTTTGCAAGACTAATTAGGATTGTGGGAAAGGACTGAATTCTGCTAAAATATAGGCATAGTTTCTACAATTCTTTGCTGCTCAGGAGTCATGTGGCCAGAGGTCAGAAGGTTTGCAACTTCCTCAGTTGCTCCTATAGTAGAACCTAAGATTTGTCTTTTGAGATCTTTTTCAGACTTTTGTATTCTGGAAACCAACTGACCCCACTGAGACTTATAACTCATGACTTAACTAGTCCTGCGGTCCCTGACCCAGGAGCCGACTGAGGGCACGAGAACTGTTTTCCACGCCCCTATGATTGCATCCCCAAACAATCAGCAGCACCCATTCTCTAGTTCTCTGGCCACCAAACTATCCTTGACAAACCCTAGCCTCCAAGCCCTCAGGGAGACTGATTAGAGTGATAACACCAGTTGTTTCATGTGTCTGGCCTTGCATTAATTAAACTATTTCTTTACTGCAGTACCACGGTCTTAGTGAATTGGTTTTGTCTGTGCAGTGGGTGGGACGAACCTGTCAGGTGATTAAAATAATGGGGCTTGTGATTGACATTGGAAGTTGGGGGGCAGTCTTGTGAGGATGAACCCTCAACCTGTGGGATCTGACACTATCTCCAGGTAAATCGTGATTGAACAGCTGGCATCTGCTGTGGAATTGCTTGCTTGCCTGCTTATTGGTAGAGAGAAATCCCCACACATCTGATCACCCAGGTTTTCTGGGCTGATGGTTGTGGTGTGAGAGCAGAGGAAAAACAGTGTGTTTTTCATTCATCCCTAGTGAAAAGAAGACTAGCTCTGGAGCACTCTCAGATCAAAGCGATCTCGTTATGTATCAGTGGCATGCCCTGGCTTTCGAAAAGTTGAGGTTATGTAAGAGGTATTTTCCCTGCCTCTTATCCAGGAGGTTCTGTCTGAGTGCCAAAGTCAGCAAAGCAGTCCTCTAGGCTCTTCCCACTGAAGAGGTAGAGAAACTTTCTGTCACTTTGAAACTGAAAGTTGCCTAATCTGGGGTCCTTTAAGGACTGCTGTCTCCTCTATATTCCCAGATTTCTCCTGGCTGTTGTCCAGGGCTCTCCTCATTTCTCTGAAGGCCCTGAGCTGCCTGCCACCTGCCAGAGTCCCTGCTACCTGGCGATTACATTTGTCAAGGCAGAAGGCTTCTTGCCTCCTCCGTGTGAGCCCCACCACAGCAGCAGCCCCGTAAGAAGCTAGCTGGTCTGCATCCTAGCAGGACATCAGTGGTTTTGAAAAATATAGGCATTCATAGAAAAGATAGCAGGAAAGAAAACCAGACAGGGCTGTCTGGATCCACAGACCACCCAGATCATCCTCAGACCCACCAGATTCATTCTTGCCCCAGGGTTCCAGACCCATGGCAGGTGGCACAGCCTGGGACCTGGCCTCTCCCTCTAGGTTTCATGGGCACTATTCCCACCGCCATGACTTCGGGTGAGTCCCTCGGCCTTTCTTTTTCTTTCTTTTTTTTTTTTTTTGAGATAGAGTATTGCTCTGTCGCCCAGGCTGGAGTGTAGCGGCATGATCTCGGCTCACCACAATCTCCCCCTCCCGGGTTCAGCTCCCCGTGAGAAGTTCCAGCTCCCCGTGAGAAGTTCCACCATCAGGGACCCTCTCTTGTTTTGTTCAGACTCTGCTTTTCCGCAGCTGGTGTACTGGGGGAAGCCCACAACCCAGGGACGGCAGGTTGCTGAACTGACCCTCTGCCCTAGCCAGTGTCTGAGGTGGAGGCTCTTTCAATGGTCACTTTTTCTGGCTCAAGCCCGTGACGGGAATGCCAGGAACCCACCCAGGGGGAATGAGGTCTCCCAGGATGCTTCTCTGCCCTGCCCAGACACTCAGGCCACAGAGCTGTCACCCCGGTTCCTACCCATACCATCACGTCAGTGGTCTGGGGCTTTCTTGACAATTGTGAACAGAGTTAGGGGTCTGGAGAAAGGGGAGCAGTTGTATTCCTGCCCTCTGCCGTGCTGGTCCCCCACATACCAGTGAGTCCGGGTCTGGGAGTAGAGGCACCTGGGGCACAGGATTGGGAGTGAAGCATGAGAAGGGCATGGAGGAGGGAGGGCAATGAGAGCTTCCCTTCCTTGAAGTGTGCCCGGTGAGGTGTGAATCCAGCAACCCAGGGCAGGGATTGGACGGCTGCCAGAGAACAGTAACCAGAGGAGCTGCACGATACCTGCCCTCCCTGTGGGCGTGGGAAGCAGGCTGGGGCAGGCTGAAGGTCAGGCAGGATGCCCCCACTGGTGGGTGGCTGAGGAGGGTCTTCTGGTTGGCAGCACTGTCGGCCTAGCACTGTGGGGAGGCAGCCAGGGAAACAGAAACCACAGTTCACAGCCCTGACGCAGGCCCTGGGCCCACTGGCTGGAGAGGCCTGAATTATTAACCTCGGGAGAGGCCAGCTGGCACGAAGGCCAAGGGGACTGAATTGACTCCTCCCAGCTCCGTTCAGTCACCTAGGAGGTGAAGAATTCAGCAAGCCCTGGTTCTGGTTGCCCCAGTGTGACCAGCACTGTAAACAGGGCGCCTGGCTGGTCTGGCACAGGCTGCAGCCAGGGCCGTTCGCGCCCCGCCTCCTACCAGCTCCTCCTGGATTTCTCAGGGCTGTGGCCTTTTGTTTACAGGCTCCCGCCTCACCTTCCTCTCCCAGCCCGGAGCCTCTCTGCTGAGCACATGTTTAGCATTCCCTCAGGGCGGCTTTGCTTTTCCCCTTCCCACAAAAGAAGACCCTGCAGCTGCAGACATGCTGTGGTTTCCGGAGCCTTGGCTGTCATGGGGCCAGTCACCAGGGTCCACCTGCACTCAGATGCTGTCCTGGGGGAACTGGCTGGCAAGACCCCTTCCACCCAGCTGGAGGGGTCCGGAGGAGGCCGAATCCACTCCCACATCTGCTCTGGGCTCGCTTTGGAGTTCCCCTCTGAGCAGATAGGGCTAACGTGTCCCATTTCCAATGTCTGAAAAAGAAAGGTCGAGGGGCTGGGCACAGTGGCTGATGCCTGTAATCCCAGCACTTTGGGAGACTGAGGCAGGTGAATCACCTGAGGTCAGGAGTTCAAGACCTGCCTGGCCAACATGGCAAAACCCCATCTCTACTAAAAATACAAACATCAGCCCGGTGTGGTGGTGTGCGCCTGTAATCCCAGCTACTCAGGAGGCTGAGGCAGGAGACTCTCTTGAACCCGGGAGGGGGAGGTTGTGGTGAGCCAAGATCATGCCACTACACTCCAGCTTGGGCGACAGAGCAATACTCTATCTCCAAAAAAAAAAAAAAGAAAAAAAAAAAGAAAAGAAAAAGAAAGGCTGAGGGACTCACCCGAAGTCATGGCAGTTGGAACAGTGCTCATGAAACCTAGAGGGAGAGGCCAGGTCCCAGGCTGTGCCACCTGCCATGGGTCTGGAACCCTGGGGCAAGAATGATTCTGGTGGGTCTGAGGATGATCTGGGTGGTCTGTGGATCCAGACAGCCCTGTCTGGTTTTCTTTCCTGCTATCTTTTCTATGAATGCCTATATTTTTCAAAACCACTGATGTCCTGCTGGGATGCAGACCAGCTAGCTTCCTTAGGACCACAGGACATCCCTGGGCCTCTCCCTTCTTTGATAGCTCAGTTCACTATTTCCTCCCTGGGCACAGCTGTGGGCCTCACATTCCTGTTTCCTTTCCCCTGGGAAATAGGAACAGGAAAATTGTTAGGGAAAATTGTCCAAGACTTGAAAATGGAGCAGAGATTCCTGCAGGTCCTTTGAGTCATGTCAGCCTTGGGCATTGTCTGGCAGGCCTGTTCAAGGAATTACCTGACTTTCTAGGGGTGTAGACCTTTGTCTAACTTGCTATTTACTACTCATTAGGTTATTTTACAACTTTATGACAAAGGCATAGGAAACTGATAGGGTGCAGACTTGTTTTATAGTGACACAAATAAAAGCATTTTAGTGAAAAGGCCAGGGAGGACACTCATTCTATTTTATGGGATGAAATATTGCCCCATAAAAAATTGTAAAAAAAAAAGAAAAGGGGAAAAAAGGCTAAGTCCGGGCACAGTGGCTCACGCCTGTAATCCCAGCACTTTGGGAGGCCGAGGTGGGCAGATCACCTGAGGTCAGGAGTTTGAGACCAGCCTGGCCAACATGGTGAAACCCCCACATCTCTACTAACAATACAAAAATTAGCCGGGCATGGTGGTGGGCATCTGTAATCCCAGCTACTCAGGAGGCTGAGGTGGGAGAATCGCTTGAACCTGGGAGGCAGTGGTTGCAGTGAGGGGAGATCACGCCATTGCACTCCAGCCTGGGCAACAGAGCAAGACTCCATCTTAAAAAAAAAAAAAGAAGAGAAAGAAAGTCTAAGGTTTTATATAAAGTGATTTAGCAATATTACTTTAATATTCTTTCCTTCAGTAATTGTAACTATTTTGATGTCTCCTACATTTTTTTTTAAACCAGCTCTTCCATCCTGCTGGTTCTCTCACTGATTAAATACTTTTTAGATACATGTTCATTCTATATTTGTGTGAAAGCCATGTTTTAAAATTTAATTTTGAAAAATTAACATCTGGCAAAGTTGAGGGTTTTCTTCATTTACAGTTCTATGAATTCTAGCCCATATATAGTTGCGTACCTGCTACCACAATTAGGATACAAAACAGGTCCATCATCCCCCTGAAAAACTCCCTTGGGCCATCCCTTACAACCATGTTTTTGACTTCTTGAAAATGACTCTTTCACAGGATGCAGAGGGTTGTCAGTGACTCGGGAGTTGTGGGTGTGCCCGTCTTATCAATCCCCACAGCCTTGCCTGTGGAGATGCCCTATCTGTCCCCACTCTGTCAAGCCCAGGGAAAGGCGTGGGGTCAGAGGATTTGGCTCTGTCACACCATTCACTGCCTGCCCTTCTTCCCAGCGCTTCCAAGATCTGGTTGTATTAAACACGAGAATGAAGAGAGGAAAACACCTTCGCCCACGGTGTGCTCTGGGGACATCTCCAGGTGTGGGTGGTGGCGTCAGCCACAGGACAGGTAAATAACCAAAGGGAACATGGGTACCCAAGTCAGATGTCCTCTTCGCTCCTTCCCTCAGGAGAACCTGCCTTTTCCTCACCAGGGAGCTGGCAACACCCAGGCTTCCCTGCAAGGGCGGGAGGGACATCGAGGTGCCGGATAGCCAAGGGAGCAGAGGAGGAAGGGGCTCTTCGAGTAAACTTGTTGGGAATTAAGATGTGCTGCTCTCATCGCCTGGGTGTTACTTCAGTTGGAGAAAAAAGAGGCTTCACCATTTGTCTTTGTGCAGTGTTATCCTCAGCAAAGAGGACTGGAAACGTGGTACATGGGAGGAGGGAGCCAGGGATGCGAGTGGCCAGCCACGCCCAGGGAGGGGGAGCGAGGCACAGGGATGTCTCCAGACAAAACCCCTAAATCACATGGAATCAGATACACATATTCTCTCTCTCTCTCTTTTTCACATTCTCTCTCTCTCTCTGTCACTGAGCTATTTTTCACTCAGCATTCAGAGCCTGTGGTATGTGTGGATACGAAGTAGGGCTTCAGGTCTTCATAGGTCTAAAGTCCATAATGCTGTCTCTAGTGCCCTCCCTTTAAAATGTATTTTATAGCCTTTTATTTGTCTTTACCAACGAATGGAAAAGCAATGAAGTCAGACTTTTTTGGGATTTGCTGCATCTAACCGGTGCCCTTGCCCTCTCCAGAGGCCTCCCTTTCCCTGGTGCGAGAGGCATGTGCAGGGCCTGGTAAGAAAAGGAGCCTTAGACACTGACTCCAGGGGTCCCTAGCCAGCCTCATGGGCTTTGTGACAATCCTAACACTTAATGGTGTGTTCTACTCTGACTTCCAAGTTCTCTTTTCTTAAATATGTGTCTTATCTAGGGTGACCGTGTGACTTTTAGCCTCCAAACCATGACATTCTTAAGAGTGAAAGGAGGTGGGAATAATAATTACTCTGGGACAATGTGTGTAAACTGGGACCGTGGCAGGCAAGCAGCGAAGTATAGTCACTCTTATCTTTCAGAGTAAATTGGGAACTTTTTCCATGAAGGGGCCCAGTCTGTCTATCTGTGATAAGATATACTTGGGCTTTGTCCCCAAGAGATGAGTGTCTTTTGTGTGCCAATGAGATGTCCGGTGGCTGGGGGTCCCTAGTTAGCTTCAGGATGGGGGCTGCTCTCCAGAAAGACCAAGGCAGGAGTAGAGGATTGGAACTTTCAGCCCTATCCTGGACCTCCTGGGAAGAGAGAGGGGCTGGAGATAGAGTCAATCACCAATGGCTAATGATTTAATCAATCATGTCTAGGTAATGGGATCTCCATTAAAAACTGAACAGTGAGGTTCAGAGAGCTTCTGAGTTGCTGAATACGTTGAGGTCCTGGGAGGGTGGCATTCCAGAGAGAGCGTGGAAGCTCCACACCGCCCCCTAGTACCTTGTCCTTTACATCTCTTCCATTTGCCTGTTTCTAACTTGTATCCATTCCAATAAACCAGTAATAGTAAGTAAAATACTTTCCTGAGTTCTGTGAGTCCTTCTAGCAAATTATCCAACCTGAGGAGGGGGTTGTGGAAACTCTTGGTTTATAGCTGATTGATCAGAAGTACTGGGGACAACCTGTGACTTTCGACTGGCATCCAAAGTGGAGCAGTCTCATGGGACTAAACCCTAAACCTGTGGTGTCTGCACTGACTTCAGGTCCAATCCAACATATTAATTAATCCTACATATTAATCAGGATGGAATGGAATTGTAGGATGCAATTCCTATGGAGAGTTGGAGACCACCTTGGAGTCCTCTTCCGCATCTAAGAGCTTTGTTAGGAGATGCTTAGTTAACACTGACTGATGGCTGCTTCTTTAAGGGGCTCTCTTCCTAAGAAATTTAACCCAATTGAAGTTTAGAGGGAGAAACTTCTTGGTTTAGTTCAAACACCTTATTATATGTTGGGCTGGCTTTGGTTGTTAAATATCAACTGTTGTGAATGAACACTAAGAGACCACAGGTGACTTGTGATGGAAGGAGACTCTTTCAGAGAAGCCAGCCAAGTTCAGGCAGCTGCAGGCCATGTTTGTCTAATAAGTCACAATTGTGTGGCAGAGACTCCTGTGACCCCAGTTGTGCTGGAGGCAAGAGCTAAGCGTTGGCATGCCCAGATGGGATTTCAGGTATCCACTCTGTGTGAAAACCCACTAGGACTCCTTGAAGAAATGAAGATAATTTTAAGGACTGACTACAGGATTCTAGGAGAGCAGGTTTACATGTCTAGGGGAAAAAAAATAAAGACAAAGGTGACTTTGACCCCTGAAGAATATGCTTGGATGGGCAAAAAAATCACTCCATGGTAGAATCACTGCGGGGAGTCTCTTGCACGTATCCCTGGGTGGTTGATGGTGGTTGATGGTTGATGACTTCTGACCCAGCCCTGGTGGAGGAATCTAGGAGGCCCTAAGAAAATGAAAAGAGCAGGAGTGGTCCTTTTGGAGCCTTATAAACAAGCCATGAAAACTGATCAGGAGAGACATCTCTTCCACTTCAAAGAGTTAGAAACTGGCCAGGCTGTGCCCTACCACATCCCAAGAAGCCCATACACATAATGGACACCAAAGAGAAATCTTTCCAGCAAATGGCAGCCAAGTGTTGCATCCTAAAGTCAGAATATCATGATGGTTTTCTGTTAGAGGAAGTCCAATGTCTTAAGGAAGGGCACTCTTTGGTCTAATTGGCACAGGGGCAATGGGGTAGTGTCAGCCCCAACATGGGGTAGTGGCAACCACGGTCAGAGTACACGGTGATGTCCTCACTGGGGAGTGACAGTGACTACACTGTATTGCTAGTGGCCAACACTAGCAGTGATGTATGGAGTTGGCAACATCACTGCTTGCCTTGATGATGGCCAGGCTGGTGCTCATGCAAAACCTGCTGCCGATCCCACTGAAGCACAGTGGAGAATAGCCCAGAGAGAAGTCCAGGAAGGCTTTATCAGCGGAGGCAGTGTTGATGAGATACTTGGGCCCTGCCAGGAGGAGGAGGAGGAGGGGACCATGGGGTAGGGGCCTAGGGTAAAAAATATTTCTATTCACACTGCAGTTGTGACTCAGTCCCTTAGGATGCTGTGACTGGGAAACTCACATTACACTGTGTATACACATACATTACACTGTAACCTCCACTTCCTGGGTTCAAGTGATTCTCTTGCCTCAGTCTCCTGAGTAGCTGGGCTTACAGGTGTACACCACGACGCCTGGCTAATTTTTTTGTATTATTTTTAGTAGAGACGGGGTTTTGCCTTGTTGGCCAGGCTGGTCTCGAACTCCTGACCTCAAGTGGTCCCCCTGCCTCTGCCTCCCAAAGTGCTGGGATTACAGGCATGAGCCACTGCGCCCAGCCCTGTATGATTTTTTTATGTGCAGCTCACATTCAAAATTACTGCTTGGCTTCTTTGGCGCAGAACCTCCCTTCTCCACCAGGGCCTCTCACTGGGTCTCAGTGGTAGACACTCTGGAGGATGCCTGCCTCACTCTTTGAAGTGAATTATTTTGGGTATCACCTTGATCCTAAATAAGGTCAGACAATCCCAATATGCTCTAAACATTTGTTCAAATCTTATTCAACTATTTTCATGTAGTATAATAAAATTTTATTAATATCTCTTGGTTTAATTCATGATCATTTTACATGTGGTGATATTGACTGAGTCCAAGCACTACCAACTCTGCCTTCGCTTTTTTTTTCAATTTTTAATTTTGAGGGTACATAGTAGGTATACATCCTTCATCATTGTGAAATTAAAATGTGTCTTTAGGCTGAGCACAGTGGCTCACACTTGTAATCCCAGCACTTTGAGAGGGTGAGGCGAGAGGATTGCTTGAGCCCAGGAGTTTGAGGCCAGCTTGGGCAATATAGAGAGACCTTGTCCCTACAAAAATATAAAAGTTAAAAATTAAAAAACAAATATGTCTCTTAGTGATTTTTTTCTTTTCTTAATTACATATTCACTGTAACAAAAAAGTTTGAAGTTACAGGTAGGCAAAAAGAAGAAAATTAAAACACCCCTAGTCCTATTCTCAGAGTTAGCTATTACTTACCACTTGATGTATTTCCCTCCAATCTTTTTCTGTATATGTACATGTGAATGTTTGTGTATAAAAAACTCACACACCTATAAAACATAAATAAGACATCCAGCTACCTCAATAACTGCATTATTCGTTTCTAATATGTATACTTTTTCACGTATTTGCCTATTTTTATTTCATAACCATCTGTTCTTATTTGTGATGGCTATTCTTTCATTTAGTTCCCTGAAGTTTTATGTATACATTTTAAAACCCCCTTCAAGATTGTCTATTATCTCTAGTTCCTTAAGTATAAATTTTCTTCTTTGGGGGGGTCTGAAAACTGCCTTTAGTGTTGTTGATCTTCCTTATAGGGTGTGTAATTCTTGCCTATGAGCTTGTCTTTCATGGGAGCCATCTTTCTTGGGACTTCTCCACTGTGTGGTCTGGGTTTTAGAAGAAGGATTCCGGTGAGGAGGTTTCAGTGTTGTCCTATGGAATAGAGCACTGACTTCAAACCAAGTCTATGGCTAGTGGACCAGGACTGTTGACTGTTTCCACTGATAGCTGGGCAGATGGCTTGTGTTCAGCCACAACCTTGGGCAGCCCTCTTCCTGAAGGGGTGGCATGGTCCTGCCTCCTGGACTCATGGCTTCCTGCTGCATGTGGGGCTCATGACGCATTGAAATTGCAACCACAGCTCATCCAGTCTGAGTCCCCTGTGGGTCTTCCGGCTTTAGCTCCCATTTACAGGCATGTTTTATTTTATTATACTTTGCTTTATTGCACTTTGCAGATATTGCATTTTTTACAAATTGAAGGTTTGTGGCAACCCTGCGTGGAGCAAGTCTATCAGTGCTATTTTTCCAACAGCACGTGCTCACTTCATTAGCATTTTTTAGCAATATTATCTTTTAATTAAGGTATGTACATTGTTTAGACATATGCTATTGCACACTTAATAAACCACAGTATAGGGTAAACATACTTTTATATGCACTGGGAAACCAAAAAATTTTTGTGACTTGCTTTATCATGATATTTACTGCGTGGTGGTCTGGAACTAAACTGGCACTATGCCTGAGGGATGCCTGTATGACTTTGTTCCTACTCTGTCCCTGGAGATTTCCCTTTCTTGCATGGAGCTTGGACATATCAATCTAAAATATATTTTTATATTTTATTAAGTTTTTCTATGCATTTGCAATAGGAGATGACAGCAGTAGGGGGAGTTCACCCTGTGCTCAACATGTTGACCTGAAATTCAATAGTAATTATCCTTACGTTGATTTGTGTTTGTCCTCCATACATCCAACATCTTCTTAACTACTTTAATTGCTTTGTCATTTTCTTCCATGTTCACTAGAATTATCTCAAGATTTTCCTGAGCTGGGAAAATTTCAAGCTTCCTTGATGTTTCTAATTTATCTAATAGCTCTATAAAGCTCTTGTTTTCATCCTGAATTTTTTTCCTTAGCTCTGAATTTCCTTTGCATTTCACTTGGTAGACTTATCAAGTCATCTTTGGGTTCTCGTTTTACTAAATTTCAAAAGCATATTAAATATTTTAAAATTAATTATATACCAAGTTAATACAAATTATTAATTGTTAAATTAATATAATTAACTATTAAATTAAAATGATTAATTAAGTATTATATATTCTTATTTGTTCTACAATGTGAAGCATTCTCAGGAGTTTTCTTCTGTACTTGGGAGAGAGATTTCTCCCAATCTAGATATCTGGATATGTTTATCTTTTTCATGTTGTGTTTCTTGCTTTTTTTGTTCGTTTTTGAGACAGAGTCTCACTCTGTCACCCAGGCTGGAGTTCAGGGGTGCAATTATGGCTCATTGCAGCCTCCACCTCCTGTGCTCAATTGATCCTCCTGCCTTATCCTCCAGAGTAGCTGGGACTACAGGCGTGCGCCACTACACCCTGGTCATTTTTTCTATTTTTCATAGAGACAGGGTCTCACTATGTTGCCCAGCCTGGTCTCGAACTACTGGGCTCAAGTGATCCTCCTGCCTTACCCTCCCAAAGTGCTGGGATTACAGGCATGAGCTGCCGCACTCAGCCTGTTTCTTGCTTATTTTCCTTCTCTTCTTTCTCCTACTCTGCCTTCTCCTTCTTGGTGTTCTTCTTTTTTAAAATCTAGTATGTTGGCTTAGCCTTCATGCTGTCTCTTTTAATTTTGCACAGGTAAGTCTGATCAGACTATCTAACGCTCTGAGAGTGTGAGGACGAATTCTTTTTGACACCTTTTCTAGCTACCTGTCATTTCCTCAATACTAGAGTTTGGGGACTGGGTGGTACTTCCTTCCTGCTTCCTGAGCTCTGAGGGTCACATGGACAGGTGAAGGACAGAGCTGGGCCTGGCTCCCTCCTGACGTGGGCTAGCATCCCACACCTGGGTCTGCTCCACTTGGCAGGCACATGTCCCCTCCTGGGACTTCAGCTCATTCCCTTGGACAGCACAGAGTTCTGAACAGCAGCAAGTCCAGCCAGCCACTCCTCCAGCCGCTGCTGGCTTCTGTGATGGTGCCCAGGGGCTCCTCCTCTCTGGAGCTTCTCCTGGACTCCCCAGGCTGCCTTTAGCATCTTGGCCCTCTTTGTGCCGAACTGAGAGGTGCTGGTGACCCTTCTTGGGATCCTGTTCTCTTACCTTCCCTCATTTGGCTTCAGCTATGTGTGTGGGAGAGAGACAGCTAACATTCCATTCTGAGACCCTCTATTTCTTCCCTCTTGACACCTTTTCAGTCTTATGTCATAAGGTTGTACTATTTTCCATGTGTGGTTGCCTCTGGTTAGCTTTTGACTTTTTTGTTTTTGTTTTGTTTTGAGATGGAGTTTCACTCTTGTCACCCGGGCTGGAATGCAATGGCACAATCTTGGCTCACTGCAACCTCTGCCTCCCAGGTTCAAGCAATTCTCCTGCCTCAGCCTCCCAAGTAGCTGGGACTACAGGCACCCGTCACCACGCCCGGCTAATTTTTGTATTTTTAGTAGAGCCTATTGTCCAGGCTGGCCTCAAACTCCTGACCTCAGGTGATCTGCCCGCCTCAGCCTCCCAAAGTGCTGGGATTACAGAGATGAGCGACTGCACCCTGCCAGCTTTTGACTTTTTTCAAAAAAATTATTCTTTGATCACCTTATGATGTGCCAGGGAGAAGGAGGGGTGCTTCTGGCCTCGCTTGTGCCACCCTTACCCAAAATCCAGGCACATGTGCTGTCGAGGCTCCACGCAAGACCCCAGGAACTCCTGGGTCTTTGCTACCGCCAGAGGGTTGCACCTGCTTCTCAGACAGAAGACCCCCGTCTCATGGTTTCTCTTTCTCAGGCCTCCAAACCCCTGGTTATTTCATCTTTGAAATGAGTGTTTCATATGCAATTAACCTATGTTGAAACTTTACCAACTCTAAAGTGAAATTATACTTCCTTCCTACATCTAACTCTACCTAACCATAGAGTTCCCCTCCCGAGTATTTCTGAAAGTTTCCCAGGGACAGCTTTGCACAGCTCCAGAAAGTATCTCTCACTCTCACTCTACCCTTTTCTTCTTGCTGCCATGATTCTGCCTCTGTAGCTTATGGGACTGGCGACTTAGTGACTCTGCCAGGCCTTGGGAAGGAGACATTGCCCTCCCCAACCCCCCACAGCTCATCTGACCACAGGTTCCACTGAGTTGGGGCATAAAGAAAGCAGCCTTAGAAATTTCCATCTGCCTCCAGAGGAGAAGTGTCTTGTACCCAAAGGCCTCCATTTGGCAGGGGCCACTTTAGCTCCCACCAACAGCAATATACAGGCCCCCTTTCTCCACAGAGAGAGGAAGAAATCCCTCCCTTTCCAGCCCACAACACTCTTCCTTGCCTGCCTTGGGATGACAGACCATGAGGACACCCCTTTCTGTTAGGGGCAATCTCCCTCCTCCCTCCACACCTGAAGGTGTGGTCTGACCCTTTCCCCTCTGAGAAAATAAACCACCATCTTAGTGTCCAGTCTGAGTGTTTTGTTGTCAGAGCCTCAGGCCCGTCTAGGCAGCATTGTTCCCTCCCAGCGCATCGTTACAGCCTTTCCTCCAGCCTGAGGTGAGGAGAGGGTCAGGTCTTCCAACCTCTGGTAACCCCATCTCCCAGGAACAAATGTTGGACAACAAAGCACTCATGTCACCCAGGAGCCAAAGGGCAACCTCAACCAAGATTTTAAAAAATGGACACCTTAGAACATGTGTCTAATTTGTTTGGGGGCGGTTCTACCCATAAACACAATTAATGTTTCCTAACAGGACCCATAATGACTTTGCTCAGAATCACCCCACGTGGGCTTCCTCCAGAACAGCGGAGGCTTCTTGCCTCACAACAGGCGGCCTGCGAATGCTGCCCAACATGGTTAAAATGTGAGCACGCTGGCGGCTGACTCACAGGAAATGGTTCCCAAGGCTATGCCTGAGATAAGGCTGGCTTCTGGAGGCCTCTTTGCAGAGGAACCAATCCCACCCCAACTCCCTGATTGGATAATAAGACTCAGAAGCTCCAGTTCTCCCCTTCCTATGTGGCTTTGCAGGTTCTGTGTCTGACTGGACTGCCACTTTTCTCACGTACCTGTGGTCTGTGCTACAGAACATCCTAGCCACACAAGAAAGGTGGGAGCAGTGGGTGGCTTGAGGCCAACTGAGGTTTCAATCCAGTTCCTCTCCCCTGCCACCTGCCTTACCTGGTGCTACCTCTGCAAACACCACCTGCTGGGACAGTGTGGGTGGGAGGGGCTGGTGAGGAGGATTATTTCCTGTTACTGCCTTGGGGAAGCTGCTGAGGGCATTGCTCACGCCTTTGATCTGGGCATAGAAGGAAGCCACCTGCCCTAGCCAAGGTTTTAGTGCAATGACCAGATGAGAGGCTTCAGGTTACCTCGGGGCCCTGAGTCTGGAATCCAGAGTCACAGAGAATGAGGGAAAGTTGTGGAATCATTGGTGGAGACAGGATTGGAAACCTCTTGCAGCCAGAAAAATCACCATCACAGAGGGAGACTAGAAACCATCTCTGGGCCTGAACCTATCTTTGCTCCCGCCTTTCTTGTGCGGTCAGGTGGTTCTGGGACAGTAACCTCAGGCAGGTGAGAAAAGTGGCAGTGCAGTCAGACAATTCACAGAGGCCAGACGGGACAGGGAGAACTGGAGCTTCTGAGTCTTATTATCCAACCAGCCAGGCAGTGGGGGTGGGCTTCGCTCTTCTCTGCAGAGAGGCCTCCAGAAGCAACCTTATCTCAGGCACAGCTTATGAAGCTCTTTCCTGTGAGCCAGCCACCAGTGTGCTCAAATCTTAACAAACAGCATGACCTTTACTTAATAAAGGCCTGGGGGAAAGCCAGGGCAAGCGTTCCCACTTTAAAGTGCTTCATAAACGACGTGGCACCTGCAGTCACAAGGATGACATGATTAGCCTGCTGTCACCTGAGTCATTTTTTCCAGATGTGGTGAGGGGCAAGGCAGCCAGCTGGTGTCATGGAAAAAGCTCTGGATTCGAGTCTCGGTCAGATGTTGGCTACCCACTCAAACTGCTGCCGTGGCAGCCCTGCCTCCTTGCACGGCCGTTTCACATCTCTGATGTGGGAGATGAAGAGGGGTATGATCCATGCCTGGTATTTTGCAAACAGAATGCATGCATTCATAGATATGAGAGCACTGAAAAAACCCAAGCTCTTGATTCGGCAGCCAGACTGTGTAGGGGGATGTTCACTAGACTTGGTGTTTAAAGACTCAGGTAGGATCCAAGCTAATTCTATTTTTTTTTTTTTTTTTTTTTTTTTGAGACAGAGTCTCCCTCTGTCACCCAGGCTGGAGTGCAGTGGTGCGATTTCGGCTCACCGCAACCTCCACCTCCCGGGTTCAAGCAATTCTCCTTCCTCAGCCTCCCAAGTAGCTGGGATTACAGGCATAAGCCCCCAGCCTGGCTAGTTTTTTGTCTGTTTGGTTGGTTGTTTTTGTTTTTGTTTTTGTATTTTCAGTAGAGATGGCATTTCACCATGTTGTCCAGGCTGGTCTCGGACTCCTGACCTCAAGTGATCCGCCCACTTCAGCCTCCCAAAGTGCTGGGATTATAGGTGTGAGCCACCATGCCCAGATGGATCCAAACTAATTCTTAGTCATGTAAATCTAAGCAAGTGACTTAGTGTCTCCGGATCTCAGTTTTCTCCACTGTGGAATGGAATGGTTATAATCACCCTGCACCCGGCTCTCCTGAGAGGTAGATGAAATCAGATGGGGATGCATGGGAAGTGCTGTGGGGGCGGCGTACTCCGATGTTATTTGATGCTGTCTAAGGTTAAGCCTTCTTATTTGGGCTACTAGGGCAGAGCCCATCTGGGCCTCCCAAGTCCATTCTCTTTCAAGAGAAGAGAGCAGCTGCCAGTTGCCCTGGTAACCCAGACCAGCAGCAGGCTTCCTGCAGGGACTTTCCTGCCCTGGCACAGTTGTCAGTTTCCCTTCTCAACCTTAGCTGAGGCCGAAAGTGTGGTGGAGACACAGGTTTCTCAAGCAGGGCCCTCAGCAGAGCACACCGTGCCCACTGGCATTATTGCCACAACTTCTCCTTGCTTTGTGGAAGAGAATCTGGTTACACATCTTACTGGTTTTTCTGCTTTCTTTCTGTGACTCATCATGTTTGTGAATATTTCAGGTAAACACTTGGAGGGGGCAGCCTTCTTGGCTCAGTTTTCTGCTCTCTGTGTTCTCTGTGCCAGGCTGGTGACCCTCCTCTCTGTGTCCAGCCCCCTGTCCCCTGGAAATAGGTAAGGCATCTGAGATTGCTGGCTGCCTCGTCTGTCTTCAGCCAGGACCTGAGGGGTTTGTCTCTGTAGCAGTGGAGTTCATTCACTGCTATCCTTTGTGAAGAGTGGAAGCTGCCCATTTCTCCCCTGCCCTTCCTGACAGGAAACTAGCACTGGCTGAAATTTCTCCAGGGCTGACCTGCCTCTCGGTGTCCTGGTCCCATGTTCAATATAAAAGTCCTATGAATCGCCACAGTCTTCAGGAGTAACACTTCCTATTCCCAGAAAGTCAGGACCAGCCTGGGAGGACTTCGCACCTTCCTGGGATTTGCTCTTTTGACCATCCCCTATCTGTTTTCCTGTAATTATCTGCTGTGAAACTTACAAAACTAAAATGCCATGAGTGCTTATCTACGGGGCAACCAAAAAAGAGAAGGCCTTGAACCTGAGTCCCTCTGTACATGTGGGTTTCTATGAGGGGTGGGTAGGCACTGCCTGATGAGGGGGCAAGAAAGCCTAGAGCTGACAGGGCACCAGGGAGGGGCCGAGGAGCCTGCCTAGCAAGGAGACCTGTGGGCGAGTCCCTGATCTGTGCCAGCCAGGAAGTTGTAGAAGGCAGGGAGCAGTTGCCATGCTTATGTGATTCTTGTAGGAGTGGTCCCTGAGATTAGTTGGAAAGGCCCTTTATCAAGGATCGGAGCGCTATCCAAACTCTTGGTTCACAGGAATAATAAGTGTAAAAGCATGTAACATCCCTCGTAGCTGTCCTTTATCGACGTTTCCTCTGTGCCCTGCCTTATCTCATGCTCATGTTAAACCTGGGAGGTGGTAGTTTTATCATCACCATTTTACAGAAAAGGAAAACCAAAGAGCAACCACGTGGGCTAGGAATGTCGCATCCGAGTGGCTTTTACAGAAGCGTGCTAGATGCCAGGTGCCCTGCAAGGTGCTTTCCCAAGTACCATCTGGAATCCTCAGAAGAGGTCTGTGGGGTAGGCTCTATTATCCCTGCTTTATAGGTGAGGCCCATAAGGTCTGCAGAAGGTGATGTGCCCAGGGTGTGAGTGCAAGTCTGTCTGTCAACCCCGCTGCAGCTTTCTGCAGCACAGAAAGCTGGTCCAGCTCTTCAACTGGTTAGAAGGCTGGTTAGAAATCAGCCACAGGTCCCTGTCACATCCCAGACCATCACAGACCTCCGTGCTGCTGGAGGATGGCAACCTGCTCTTGACTGGCTCTCCCACCCTCTAATCCCTAAGCAGGCCTGAGAGAGAGGAAGGAAAAGGGAACACCTGGCCCAACAAGGGGCTTGGACCCGGGTCACCTGTACCTACCATGTTTACTTGCACAGTCTCCTCACCTTCTGTACTTATTCTGAGGGTGCATGAGCTTGGCCATTATAAACCAAGGAGACAAACTTATTTATTAGCTGCTGTGAGTCCTACTCTGTGCCTTTCCTGCTCACAAAATCTCTGTGAGGCAGAGAGCAATCCCCATTCCACAGAAGCAGGAATTGAGATAGAGGGGTCACGAATGAACCTCCCGGGTTCAAGCAATTCTCCTGCCTTGGCCTCCCGAGCAGCTGAGATTACAGGCATGCACCACAATGCCTGGCTAATTTTTTGTATTTTTAGTGGAGATGGGGTTTCACCATGTTGGCCAGGCTGGTCTCGAACTCCTGATCTCAAGTGATCTGCCCAACTTGGCCTCCCCAAAGTGCTGGGATTACAGGCGTGAGCCACTGCACCCAGCCGAGGTTCATTCTTACACTTAATAAAAATACACATATCAGACAGTCTGCTTGATGATTTATATTTTTTGTAGCTAAGGTCTTGTCAGATCTGAGTAGAGCATCATGTTTTTCAATAATCACAAGAGCTAGCTTTTATTAAGGGCTTACTGTGTCCAGTGCTGTTCTAAGCATGTCACATACTGTATTAATTCACTTAATCCTCACAACTGCCCTCTGAGGTGGCAACTATTATTATCCCCATTTTGCAGATGAGGAAACAGAGGCCCAGGGAGGTCAGATAACATGCCCATATAGCTAGAGAGTGGCAGAGCTGGGGGGAACCCTGTCGGTCTGGCTCCAGAGCCCATTGTATAGCAGCCACCTCTGCCCACCCTGGCCTGGCTAGGCCTCAATGCCAGAAACACACCATTCTCTATCTCCTGGAGGGTAACAGAGCTGCCATTATCCCAGGAGGCAAGGCTGTCCCAAGAGCATAGACCAGTAGTAGGGTTGGTTGCCAGCTTCTAGGTGTCGCCTCAAGGCTCCTTGCTGCTTCAATTATTATTCTAATAGTTCTGAGCTAGGCATGAGGTAATCTGAGCTTTTAGACCTTGGCTATTTCACTGAGGTTTGCTGTGAGGCTTCAGTTTTGTCATCTAAAACAGCACTGTCCTTCTAGAGTTGCTGTGAGGACAGGAGAGGAGTCTGCCAAGCACTTAGCAGGGGCCTGGAGGGCAGAAAGCATTCAGTGATGGGGAGGAGAGGAAAGCTCACAGAGCCTCGGTCCACGTGGCTCAGCTCTGTGCTGGAGCTGCGATGCGGTCAAAAGACCATGAAACAAAACGTGATTTCAAAATAACTCAAGTCTTTCACGTGTGTTTCTCACACCGATAAGTGAACGTAGTCCTTCGTTAGACTGCACTCGATTCTCACGGTGGCCATGTGAGAGGCACAGTTCTTCTTGCACGTCCCCCTCCGTCTTCTCCCACACATGGCTCTCACTTGCTGCAGGGGCTCCCGGTCTGGCTCTCAGTTTCCGTTTCCTCTGATTTTTATCTCACAAATGGCTGGCAGGGCGGGGCTCCTTCCTTGGAGGGTGGGCTCCAGGAGGAACTGAGGAGAGTGTAACCAGGACCCTCATTAGGGGCCATGGGGGTGGGAAAGGTTGGGAACTCGCCAGTCATTTTTATCCCATCACATGAATTATTATTTTTGGCAGAGGAGAAGGTGTCTGTGTTAGTACCACAAACTGTGGCTTAAAATGACAGAAATCTATTCTCTTACAATTCTGGAGGTTAGAAGTCAGAAATCAAGGTGGTGGCAGGGCCATGCTCTCTCTAGAGTCTCTAGGAGAGGGGCCTTCTGAAAAAAGAAAAACTTCAGCTGAATTACATTTAAGAGTTTAATTGAGTTTAATTAAATGAACAATTTGTGAATCGGACAGCCCCCAAATCAAGCGTATTCACAGAGACTCCGGCGCAGCTACATGGTGGAAGAAGATTTATAGACAAAGGGAAATGATGTACAGAAATTGGAAGTGAGGTACAGAATGACCGGATTGGTTACAGCTCAGTGTTTGCCTTATTTGAACGTAGTTTGAACACTCAGCAGAGTATGAATGGTTGAAGTATAGCCTCTGGGATTGGCCAAGACTTAGTTATTGTTACAGGCGCATACTCCTAAATTAGGTTTTCAATTTTGTCTGACTATTAAGCTAGGTTACAGTTCATCCACAAGGACTCAAATATAGAAGTACAGAGTCCTTCTCAGGACATATATAGTTTGCTTTAACACTTCCTTGCCTCTTCTAGCTTCTTATCGTTCCTGGCATTCCTTGGCGTTTCTTGCCTTGTAGACCCATCATATTCATTTCTACCTCCATCTTTATGAGGTCTTTTCCCTGTGTATTTGTGTCCAAACTTTCCTCTTCTTATAGGGACACCAGTCATTGGATTAGGGACCACTCTAGTTGAGTATGACTTTATCCTAACTTGATTGCATCTGCAAAGACTATTCCCAAATAAGGCCACATTCACAGGTTTGGGGGCCAGCATATATCCTTTGGGGGAACATAATTCAACCCAGCCTGTAACAATGTCATATCATTCAGATTGATTCTGAGCTAGCCCATTCCCAGTCTAACATCTCCAAACCTGGTTCCCCTAGACCCTTGAGCTTGTCTGCGACTCTTGTCCAAATGAAGCTGTGAGGCGAGCTGCCCTGCTGACCAATGGCAGGGCCTCCCTTCTGGCTCCAGGCTCTGCACTGAAGTGCAATGGGCCAACCAGGTACTTGCCCAATGCCATGGGTGAAGCCAAGGAGGGCATAGCCAGTAGGAAATATATTCTACAGAAGTGATCACTTTTCAGTTTAAAAAAAAAAAAAAAAAAGGCCGGGCGCGGTGGCTCACGCCTGTAATCCCAGAACTTTGGGAGGCCGAGGCGGGTGGATCACGAGGTCAGGAGATCGAGACCATCCTGGCTAATACGGTGAAACCCCGTCTCTACTTAAAAAAAAAAAAAAAATTAGCCGGGCGTGGTGGCGGGCGTCTGTAGTCCCAGCTACTTGGGAGGCTGAGGCAGCAC